>NC_000014.9:55975349-56278379 GCF_000001405.40 Homo sapiens
AGGAGAAAGAGTGTATCACAAGTTACTGGAGCCGGTGGAGGGGAGCGTTCAGAAAGGCAGCAGTTAACCATTGGAATTGTCCCAGAAAGGTCAAGAAGGGCAATGACTGAAAATAGGCCACTGGATTTGGCAAAGAGGTCAATGGGGCCTTGTCCAGAATGGTGCTCTGGTGGCAACTGGATGACCCTGGCTTAAAGAGTCATTTTCAGGGAAGCAAAGCAGAGGCCCTAATTGTTCAGAATATAGTAGCTTTCTTGTGGTTGTTCTCCAGTCCAGTGAATGTGGTTTGCTTTGTAAGGAAGAAAACCCAAGGAGTGCAGGAGTCCTGGTGGCTCACTCATACCATCAGTTAATATAATGGCCCATGACAGCTGGACTGTGATGTGGGTTGTGTTGCCGCATGGTTTGTCCTTTAACCATGAGGACACAAGCGGCCTCTGGGGCAGCCTTTATTTAGCTCAGGGTCTTTTTCTCCAACTTGGGCTGCCAGCTTTCCTGAGTTTGTTGAGATTATCCTGATTTTTGAGTTTTCAGGATGCAATTTAAAAATAGGAAGCGTTATCGTCATTCCTATGTCCCCAGTTACATTTGTCATCTTCTGAAGATGAGCCTGGGAACACCCTGAGTTTTTTTTTAATTATTTGTTTATTTATTTATTAATTTTTTGAGACAGAGTTTTGCTCTTGCTGCCCAGGCTGGAGTGCAGTGGTGTGATCTCAGCTCACTGCAACATCCACCTCCCAGGTTCAAGCGATTCTCCTGCCTCAGCCCCACAAGCAGCTGGGCCCACCACCAGGCCCATTAATTTTTGTGTTTTTAGTAGAGATGGGGTTTCACCATGTTAGCCAGGCTGGTCTTGAACTCCTGACCTCAGGTGATTCATCCCCCTTGGCCTCCTGAAGTTCTGGGATTACAGGTGTGAGCCACCACACCCGGCCTCCTCCTTGAGTTTGGATGGGGCAGGGAGGAGCTCTGAGCGCTGTGACAAATCGCTGATAACCCATTGGAAAGTCTATAAAGGTGGAGTCACACCCCAGGGACCCTATCCAGTGGTTGCCAGTTCTGTTTCTCCACCCAGTGATAGAGCCAGACTGTTTTTATGACACTGCAATCCAGCCAACTCTTTGCTATAATCAATGTTTCCATTCTTTTCCAAAATAAACATGTGGACGGTCATTTGCAAACAGGGAAATGAAAGTTTTCCATCCCTAGGTGCAGTGCATATATTTTCGCAAACAAAGAATTTAGAAAAGGAATGTAATCTAATCTCTGGTGACTTTGAAATATGTCTGGGGCATTATATCTTGGAAGGTAATTTGTTTCTTTCATTTAGATTCAGGTAAATTCCCCCACCCCACCCCACCCCAACCCCCAACCTCCTTTCTGGCTTTGTACAGAATTGTCAAGCAGAATGGCTTAAAGACAATAGGACCTTATTGTATCACGTTTCAGGAATGAGCAATGAGGAAACAGGAGCCAAGCCTGGAAATGAACATGTCCTTGTAAATGACCAAGAGAAGATAGGAGTTAAAATATGCAACTGTTATGGTGCCAGAAAATTGCCTGCCCTCTTTGAACGGACCGGTGAGTGCTATTTTGCATTTATATCAGGTTTTAAAAATAATAAATGCAATTCTTCCTGCTAAAATGACATGTAATTTCATAACTACTTTGAAGACAGCCCTACCTTTTTGTATTCAAAGAAATGAACAGCTTAATGCCCTAAAAATCCCAGATATCAAACCTGTTTAATGTAAACAGATTTTGTTTAGTCTGAGTGATTGTTGATTTTATTTCAGAAAGAAATGACTGATTAAGAGTTGTGCAGGTGTCATGATCATAGCTTACTTCTTGTTCACTGGGGATGTCAGAGGCAGCCATGCTGTTTATGTATCCACTGAGCTAAATTAGTACCGTTATCACTTCAGTAAAGCTCAGATATTACTGTGTTCTCTGCTAAAGAAACCAATTACAGTATCTGCTGGATGGTATATTAAATGACACCATTTAATTAAAGCCTAATCTCTCTCCGAATGAACAATATTTAAAATTATTGTACGTTATTTCATTCAATTACTGCAAACCTCTGTCCATTTTTAAGCACAGAAAAAACTCATTTGGCACCCTGACAGCCAAGAAGAAGAATTGCTGTTTTGTGTTGTGTTTGGTGCTGAGAGCCCAGTAACAGTCAATCCAGGACACGCATCAGTTCATGAGCTCTTTTAGTTTTAAAATATTTCAGATTTGTTTCTCAGGCCTCTTGGCAGCCAAAGGCCCTATTCTACAATTGCCAGGTCTCCCTCCAAGGACTGGGGTATAATGGAGATCTCTAAAAAGAATATGTTTAGATGAATAAAGCCATTAAAGAAATACAATTCCCATGCCAGGAGCCAAGCTATGTAACTGACAGGATAGCAATTCATTTAGAATGAATATCTCATAAGGGAATGCAAGAATTAAAATGGACATAACAGTGAACTCAAGAGATTACCTGCAATAGAAAGGAAAATTCACTTGTTTGAGGGAGAAATGAGTTAAAAAGATGTAACTACTAAGAAAAAGAGATGGGGGGAGCCAAACGTGAATGGACTCTCATTCCCACTAGTCATTTAATTTAGCCATGGAGAAATGTTGGCGCACATTTAGGTGGCAGAGCACAGCAGCCTCTAGCCAAGTAACAGTATGTTGCTTCTTTAGCTTTATCATATCAAAGAATATGGTGCATGGATTGAGTGTGTTTATCAGTCTATTGGCTCATTAATAAGATCCCAAGAAAGATAAATATTAATAGCAATGATGCATCCCACATAGTGGAAATGGACTCCAGAACCCAGACTGTGGGTGAGAAGGTTGGAACTCAACCCTAGGCTCTAGCACCATGACTTGCTCACAGGAAGTCCTCTGCCAATGTCTTCCGGTTCCCTGAAGACATAATCTTGATGTGTGAATTTAATGGCCCAAGGCGAAACCGATCTATTTCTTTTGGCCAGTCCTTGATAGGTGCGGCCTGTTGGAGTCCACGTTCAGACCTAGGGAACGGTGGTGGTCAGTGATGGCTATAAAGATGACCAGTGTATAGGGTAGGGAACCTCCACTCATAGGTCCCCTTACTTGTGCAGCTTCCTGGATTTTTTTCCCTTAGTGTTACATTTTGAAGACAACTGTTAATTTTATGTAATTTTAATCACCTACAGTTAGGGAACATATGCAATGTCCAAGGCTTATTATCATGGCTATAAATTAGTCCTGTATAACATAGAGATTAAAAATATAGGTTTTAGAGTCCCTTACTCATTCACTCATTTAGCAAATGTTTACAGATTCCTAAAGAGACCCTACCCAGAAAAAAAACTCAAATTCCAATTCCCAGCCCACCCTTGCTAACAAAATAGTGTTGAACATATTATTTAACTTTCCTCATCTGTAGTGTGAGGTTAATAATACATATTTCCTGGGCTTACTGTGAAAATTAAGAGAGCCATTTCAGTGTCTCCCATGTAACAAATACTCAGCAAATAGTAAATACACTATGATTATTGCTTTACATAAGTAGATGCCAATTATCTTCCAAAGATTTATAGTTTGGCTGAGAGGCTGTACACAGAAAGTAATAATGATTTATTAAAAGCAATAGGTAAAGAACCAGCAAAAGTGACTGCCAGCTTGTGTGGGACTGTACCTCTTAACATCTATATATATGCATATACATACACAGAGAGTTTTTAAAATGAAATTATGCTTGCTGTCAAGAATTCTTCACACTGGAAATGGTGGTAGGATTGCTCTCTGTACTGGCAGAGTCCCCAGGATCGGGCCTGAAATTATTAGAAGTAATCATCAGGTTGAGTTACTTATACAAAGCCAGTTATTCGCCATCTGCCATTTGGAGATGTGCCCTTGGGCCCTGCTTGGATACCAGCCCATTGCTATGCAGCAGGGGGAAATGTTTCTGTCCAAATAACTTATCTCTCAGTTTTGAATTCTAATGACAGAAAGGACTGCAAATAGATGCTCTGTCTTAATGATAAAGTGAACAATGGGCATTCATTGTGCTGCTCATGGGCAGAAACAATGGATAGGACATGCATTTGGAGGATTCTGAGATAGAACTGAAGAATAAAATATCTAGAGAACTCAAACTTGGTTCAAAAGATAAATTCTGTAGAAATTTGGCTAGGTAGGAGGAGAAAGTCCCATGTGTCTAACCTGAGGCAGGGGTTAAGGCAATGCGGAATATGTGAGGGTTAAAAATTATAAAGCAATGTTAAGATGATGTGTGAAGCACGTTAGGCACAAGTCATATTTACTGTGGTCTGGCTGAAATAAAAATAGGCATCAGTAGGAGAGGCTTGGCCCTACCCTATGGAGAGTCTGAGAAACATGTGGGGCCAGGTAGTTAATGACACAAAATCGTTTCCAAGTAGTGATGGAACCCAGATGATTGATGAGAGAACTGAATCTTGTTATTGGATGTGTAAGAGAGCCCACTGTGCAAACTCTATACTTACAATCAATGTGGCTTTTATGGTTTTTAATGCCAAAAAAGCAATGAGGAGACAAAGCTTACTAAACTGACCTCCACCTTCTCTTCTTTCCCTGTCATGACTCACCCATATATATTGCTGAATAATTCTTCCTAAAGTACTGCTTTGACCATATCACTTCCCTGGTTAAAAGCCTTCAATGGCTCCTCAGTGCACTGAACCAAAGTATAGGCATACCTCATTTTATTGCGGTTTGCTTTATTGTGCTTTGCAGATATTATGTGTTTTTTTTTACATTTGTGGCAACCCTGTGTCAAGTAAGTCTATCAGCATCAGTTTTCCAAACATCAGGTGCCCACTTTGTGTCTTTGTATCACATTTTGGTAATTCTTGGAATATTTCAAACTTTTAAAAATTATTATTTTATCTGTTATGGTGATCTATGATCAGTGTGATTTTCAGTGTTACTACTGCAGTTGTTTTGGGGCACCACAAACTGTGCCATATAAGACGGTGAACTTCATTGATCAATGTTGTGTGTGTTCTGACTGCTCCAACAGTTGTCTGTCTCTCTGCCTCTCTCCTCGGGCCTCCCCATTCCCTGAGACACAACAATACTAAAATAAGGCCAATTAAGAAGCCTGCAATGGCCTCTAAGTGTTCAAATGAAAGGAAGAGTCCCTGTCTGTCACTTTAAATCAAAAGCTAGAAAAGATTAAGCTTAGTGAGGAAGACATGTCAAAACCCAAGACAGGCCAAAAGCTAGGCCTCTTGCATCAATCAGCCAAGTTGTGAAAACAAAGGAAAAGTTCTTGAAGGAAATGTAAAGTGCTACTCCAGTGAACACATGAATAATAAGAAAATGAAACAGCTTCATTGTTGATGAAGGCTGAGAGAGGTGAGGAAGCTGCAGAAGAAAAGCTGGAAGCTAGCAGAGGTTGGTTCATGAGGTTTAAGGAAATAAGCTGTCTCCATAACATAAAAGTTCAAGGTAAAGTAACAAGTGCTAATTTAGAAGCTGCAGCAAGTTATCCAGCTCCAGCTAAGGTAATTGATAAAGGTGGCTACGCTGAGCAATAGGTTCTCGATGTAGAGGAAACAGCCTTCCATTGGAAGAAGATGCCATCTAGGACCTTCCTAGCTAGAGAGGAGAAGTCAATGCCTGACTTCAAAGCTTCAAAGGACAGGCTGACTCTCTGGTTAGAAGCTAGTGGAGCTGGTGACTAGATGTTGTAGCCAATGCTCATTTTCCATTCTGAAACTCCTAGGGCCCTTAAGGATTTTGCTCAAGCTACTTTACCTATACTCTATAAATAGAACCAAGTCTGATGACAGCATATCTATTTATAGCACAGCTTACTGAATACTTTAATCCTAGTGTTGAGACCTACTACTCATTTAATATTCATTTCAAAATATTACTCATCACTGACAATGCATTTAGTCACTCAAGAGCACTGGTGGGGAGGTACAAGGTAATTAGTATTATTTTCATGCCTACTTATATAACATCCATCCTGCAGCCTATGCATCAAGAAGTAATTTCAACTTTCAAGTCTTACTATTTAAGAAATATATTTTTTAAGTCTTTAGCTGCCATAGATAGTGATTCTTCTGATGGATCTGGGCAAAGTCAACTGAGAGCCTTCTGGAAAGGATTCACCATTCTAGATGCCATGAAGTACATTCATAATTAATGGGAGGAGGTAAAAAAATCAATGGATGTCTTTGGGGGCTTCAAGGCTTCATATGGAGAAATTAACTGCAGATGTGGTAGAAATAGCAAGAAAACTAGAGTTAAAAGTAGAGCCTGAAGATGTAACTGAACTGCTACAATCTCTAATAAAACTTTAAAGAATGAAGAGTTGCTTATTATGGATGAGCAGACAGTGGTTTCTTGAGATGGAATCTACGTCTGGTGAAGATGCTGTGAACATTGTTGAAATGACAACAAAGGACTTAGAATGTCCCATAAACTTAGTTGATAAAGCAGTGGCAGGGTTTGAGAGGACTGACCTCCATTTCGAAAAAAGTTCTACTGTGGGTTAAATGCTCTCAAAAAGTATTTCATGCTATAGAGAAAACTTTCATGAAAGGAAGAGTCTATCAATATGGCAAAGTTCATTTCTGTCTTTATTTTAAGAAATTTCCACAGCTATCCCAGGCTTCAGCAACCATTACCCTGATCAGTCAGCAGCTATCAACACTGAAGCAAAACCCTCTGTCAGTAAAAAGATTATGATTCACTGAAGGCTCAGATAACTGTTAGCATCTTTTAGCAACAAAGTAATTTAAAATTAAGTTGTATATGTTGCTTTTTAGACATACGTTTTTGCTCACTTAATAGACGACAATATAGTATAAACATCACTTTTATGTGCACTAGGAAACCAAAAACTTCTTATAAATACAAAACAAAACTCATAACAATTGCCAGTATTTAATTCAGTGCTGTGCTGACGCTGTGCTAAGGGCTTTACATGGATTGCCATATTTTAGTCTCCTCAAAAACCATATAAAGTGGATACTGTTACCACCTTCATCTTGAAGGATTTGAGATCCAGAGAGGTTAAAGTCAGCATATGATAACATATCTGGTAAGGGCCAGAGGTATAATTCTTTTGTAAGGCAACTTTGTCAAGGACTTTCAAAGCATATTTGAGAGGAGAGAGGTGGGAGTAAGAGGAAGGTAGTTGCCTGCCTCATATTCCCTGGCCCACCTGAGACCACCTGCAGCTGCAGGGGAAAACAGTTTTCAACACACCGACAGCTTCCCTCCTCAAGCACCTGCCACTCACTTCTCTGCCTGAGTGGTTCCTCCTGCACTCTCCCCATGCCTCCATGAATTCTTGGGGATAAGTTGGAAGTGCAGGGGAGCTCATGCCCCTGAGGCAACCCTCCACCAATGAGAGATGGCAAAGGTGGATAAGACCCAACTCTGTGTCCTCCAGTGTGGTGATTCTGAGGTGTGCTCTCCAGGGGACTTGAGCCTCAGCTACCCATAGTAGTAACCCTCCCATTAACACACTCATTGTTGGCTTTCTCCCCTGCCTATCTCATGTTCCCACTCCCTCAATTCTATGTCCAGGAATCACCACTCAAATAAACTACTGTCACTCAAGTCTTCATCTGGGGACCTCTTTTGGGAGGTTCCAAAACTAAGACAGTTTAGAGGGGATGTATTTAAATCATCTACGCTCATGAGCATTCCATTTAGAAGAGAGCCCTATGAGGATTCTATCTTGACTTTTACCAGAAGGGAGAGGACAAAAATTTGAAAAAGGATGTTGAGGAAGATGAATTGTTTTACCAATGGTAAGGGCTGCAAATGAAGTTATAAAAGGAGTCTTTAAAATGCCACTTGCAGTATCTTGAGAGCAGCACCTTGCAGAAACTAGGCCTGTTTCCAGAGGGTTGGTGATAGATGGCATCCCCCAAGCCTCTGGGTGATGGAGAGACAGCCTGGGAAAATGCAGGAGAATTCTGTCTTTGTCGTGGGCTGTGAGTCCATCCTTCCCTCATTCTGTGCATTCACCTCAGACAGAGATAAGCTGATGTTTCTTGTTTCACAATATTTCAGAAAGCTTTGACAATGGAAAGTAACATAAGCACCTCTTTGTATTCTGAAGGAGCTGACTTTTTGAAGCCTAATTGCTAGGCATTGGTTCTAATACTTTTCTCCAAGGAACTGGTTTAATCTATTTTTATCCTCACAGGTCAGACACAAGATTTTGGTGATTTCCTACATGCTTTAAAAGCATAATCCCCACCATTTTTGGGACACCCACATCTTATTTAGCTTGATTTTATCTAATGCCTTTTCTAACTGAAAGTGAAGGATAGCATACATTTGTTTCTCAAAAAACAATAAATAAATAAAAGCATTGAGATTAATTTGCTCAGACATTTTCGAAGAAAATGTTCTATGTCTCTTGAGATAATTTTATACATCTCTCTGTGTGTTTCAATTAGGATTGAGGATGGATGCTCCAGAATTCAGAGAAAGACCCCTATCTAGCTCATTTGGAATTCCAGGGCAGGGGTATGCTCAAGGCTAATCAAACTGTGGATGCTTTCCCGGCCAGGTTATATATAAGCAGCATCAGATTCAGAAACAGTCGAGTGGTTTGCCCAGTACATTGCATGTAGATGATTTCCAACAGATATTTACTTAATTTTACTTAAACCAGAAAAGAAAGATACTATATCAGAAAAATGTTTGTAATTAATATTAAGATCAATTCAAATATTATGAGTAAAATAGCACAGGCAGCACTGTACCTCCAACTTGAGTTTGCTTCCTTAGGTCATGTGCATGAGTGTGTGGTAGTCTACATGCATGTTCATGATTCAGGACTGAGCGAATATGTGAATTTCATGTCAATTTACTAGACTCCTACAGGCTTAAAACAATGCAATTACCGAGTTTCTGAAATTAGAAATCTGAAATTTGGTCAACACTAGGCTTTTGAGTTTGTTAGTATTCAGTTTGAATACTTGTTCTGCCTTGGTGGATATGTTACCTATGGCAAGTCTCTTTATTTCCCAGAAACCCAGTTTTTTAAGATGTAAGGTTGAGATGATACTCAGCCTAGACCTCTAGGAAGAAGAGCCAAGGCAAGGATTAAAGCACTGAAGCTTTCTTTTGACAAGTGCAAACCCAGAGCCATGCATGGAAAGGGAAGTAGGGAAGCAAGGCAAGGAAAGATGAGGAAAAATGTGATGCCATGTGCCGCTGGGCTGGCCACCACTTCACAGGAAGTTGTTCAGCAGGGTATTCATCAGAAAGCTTATAGAAACCGTATCTCAGAGCTATTCATGCAGGGGAGAAAGGAGAGGGACTTACTGGTTCAATCCCTTACTATCTCTTGTCTCCCACTGGTACAGATTGACCTCATTGGCAACTACCTTCTCCCCAGCTTCAAGGTTGCATCTTCTAGCCCTTTGGTGACTGCTCAGGAATCCCACCCCAATGGTCTGCAGTGTGGCATTTGATCCCAGTGTGGAAGCAGAAGGGGATTCAGAGATGATGAGGCTCAGCAGGTGTGGTGTGAAAGCTGGGCAGACTCAGGGGTTCACGTGGATGCTGATCAGCCAGGGGTGCTGGGCAGGGGCACAATAAAGGTGCTCACAGTGGTGCAGCCTGAGAGACGCCTTTGGAATGAAGCAGGTGACCAAGAGAATTGAGAAACCACACAAAGTTTATGCCCAATACATGCTGGTACCTACCACGTAGAACTCTAGTCAAAATTGAATCCATGAAAAGTATAGAGCGCAATACCTGGTGTCAGAGTGACCATGTGGACTCTGAACCAGATGACTTGAGTTGACTTTAGCTTTGCCACTTGAAACCATGTAAATGCAGGTAAGTCACTTGCTTTAAACCTTGGGAATCTCACTGTAAAAGGAACAATAATAATTGTATCGATTTCGTAGAGTTTGGGGCAGGAATAAATGAGATAATAAAGTGCCTAGCACAATGTCTCATGTGGGTAAGTGGTCAGTAAATGTTAGCCTTGATGGTGATGATGATGACAAAGATGATGATAATGAACCAACAGTGTTTTTATGTAAAGCAAAAATTTTGTTCCCTAGATTCCTGGGTTCCTGAAGCAATTCTTCTTTAATGTCAATTATGTATAATTATCTGAGGAAATCATTTGTATCTGGCATTTTCTATTTTTTGGTTTGCATTCTTGTTGTAGTTGAATTATATTAAATTTGATTTCAGTTTCTCTCAAAACCTTGGTTGCTGGAAATTTACCCAGTGGCTGAACATGATAGCAGCAACTGCTGTAAGAAAATCACTATGCAGACTATCGGGCAGCAAGATCTCTTAATAAATCTTGAGCCTGGTCTGAAGTTTAATAACTTTGAAGGCAACCATAGTTGGCCAGTCAACCAAAGACACACCAACTTTATTAATATGATGTTATGGAGTTCTTATCAATGTATGTATCAGTGGGCACCCTAGCAACAGAACCCATCTCAGTGCTGTCTACAAACATTTTTGGTTTCTGGTTTCTGCAATACTTTCTGAGTATGGATTGATCTGTGTCCTCAACTAGAGGCAAACTAAATGATTTTCATCATTCAGGGCTGAAATGTTCCTCATGAAAAAAAGAACTCATTATATATACTTAACTTTAGACACTTTTGTGCTTTCTTGAAAGAAGCCAGGAAACAAGTAGTTAAAAAAAATGGAATATGTTGCCTAAATTCACCATAGATGTAGGACAAATCTCAGCAATGCAGATCAGATGTCCATGTGGTCTGTATACCTTTGAAAGCTAAGTCAATTTGGAACAGGGTGTGTGGAGAAGGTGCAGGAGCCAGGGTACTTCCAAGGAGGATTTACACAATGCAATTTCCTTAGCCTGTCACTGTCTCTCCCCTCCTCCACATACACTTCAGCCTGTGAGCCCGTCTCATCTAGCTCATGTGCCCTGATAAATATAAACCCCCGAGAGTTGCCTCAATAAGAAAAAAAAAAAAACCTCAGTTACTGACCTGGACCAAGGGCAGTAGTTCTGTATTGAAGGGAATCATTTTCTCAGCAGGCTTACTCAGCTACATTTTCTCAGCAGGTTTACACAGGTACTAGAGATTGGTTACAACCATGGATTTAGACTCACTCAGATATTAGTTTGAATCCTGTTCTGTCATTTACCATTTATGACTCTAGGCAGGCTACTGAGTCTCTGCTCCTCAGTTTTCCTATTTCTAAAATAGGGTTGATGACGAAAAAAAAGATGATAATGGTAATTACTCTTTAAGAAGCCCCCTAAATGCCCCCTAAACTATACTATGTGCTTCATGTACATTCTTTCACTCATCTTCACAATCACTCTTTGATGCTTGTACCATCACAAAAGGCAGCACTCTTTAAGGAGTAGTTACTATCATGCTCACTACAAATGTCCACCCCTGTTACTCCAGAAAAACTCTTTCATTCCTAACTCCAGATACTGCTGCTAGGGTATGACAAATATTCTCATCTGTTTTCTTGAGGCATCAAAGCCTTTCCCTTTTTGTCCCAGTGCTAGATATATCCAAGATGTACTGATGGAAAGGATATTTTGTTCCATCATTCCTCCAAGAGCTGTGTAGTACAAGTAGTTTTGTCTTATATTATTTAAGGATATTGATCTGTTCTACTCCACGTTTACTTAATGAAGGGTCCAAATGAGGAATTGTTCTACACAATCAGGCTTCCTTATAACTGAACAAAATTTTAAAAGATTAAAGTAAAAGCAATAATAAAAATAATCTTCCCAATAATCCTGTAAAATATCTTTTGGATTTGGGTATTGAATTTTCTTTGGCATTGTTGGGAGATTTTGTAATTCAAACTGTTCTTTATTCGGCAGTTACTTTGTCACATTAGCTCCATTTTATAGATCTGTTCTACTGATGCCAGCGCCTACAGAGCAGCAGCCCTGATCAAGACAGGTAGTCAGCCTCCAGGAAGGTGAAATCTCTACTGCCAGAGAGAATATAAATACTCATTTCTACCTTTGGCCGTGATTTATTAGTAGTGTTTGGATGGTAATTTAACTTAACCCATAATGCATGGCTTATGGGTTATAAGCAGTTTATCATAGGCAGTGCCATGCACTCTAAACTCCTGAACCCATCCTGAGAACCATCACAGACACAGAATTACTTGTGCTTTTCCAAAATGGCATATTTATTTTAGTTAAAAATTGTAACTTCCTGCAACCTAACTATTAGTTGACACATTTTTTAAAAAATCAAGCACAGTTGTCTGTAAGAATGTGCAGAACTATAAGTAATCTAACTGCAGAAGCTCTGCACTGCTTGTGGAATACACACTAGACTGCAGTATCCATTGGCTCACTTGAGAGCGTTGGGAAGGGCAGGGGCTCCTACGCTCACTTCCAGGAGGTCTGGGTTTGGGCTTCCCTTGGAAGGTGTCCCCCACTCAGGACTCTGAGCATAAAGCCCACTTGGAGCTCATTTCAGGGACACCCTGGAGTCCTCTTCTGTGTGCAGTGAGACTAAGCAGAACCCAAGGAGCAGGTTTATGTCTGGGGTTGCCCAGAGGCAGAGGATTGGCTGGTGTGACTTTACAAGGTTTCTTCTAGTTTAATGAAATCTCTTCTGAGAGACTGTGACGCTGCCACTCTTCTTTAAAAGCCAGGGTTGATGAAGACAGATCTGAAGGAAGAAGCATGGCTATGGTATTTTAAGCAGCTCAGCAAAATGGTAATGAGGTGATTCCCGAACAGGACCAACTGAATGACCTGTAGGGCCTGTTGAACACGCAGGTCAGGGACTAGTCTACAGAGCTTTTGATTCAACTTTTTGTTGTTGTTGTTTTTTGTTTTTTGTTTTTTTTATTATACTTTAAGTTTTAGGGTACATGTGCACATTGTGCAGGTTAGTTACATATGTATACCTGTGCCATGCTGGTGCGCTGCACCCACTAACTCGTCATCTAGCATTAGGTATATCTCCCAATGCTATCCCTCTCCCTTCCCCCCACCCCACCAGAGTCCCCAGAGTGTGATATTCCCCTTCCTGTGTTCATGTGATCTCATTGTTCAATTCCCACCTATGAGTGAGAATATGCCGTGTTTGGTTTTTTGTTCTTGTGATAGTTTACTGAGAATGATGATTTCCAATTTCATCCATGTCCCTACAAAGGACACGAACTCATCATTTTTTATGGCTGCATAGTATTCCATGGTGTATATGTGCCACATTTTCTTAATCCAGTCTATCATTGTTGGACATTTGGGTTGGTTCCAAGTCTTTGCTATTGTGAATAATGCCGCAATAAACATACGTGTGCATGTGTCTTTATAGCAGCATGATTTATAGTCCTTTGGGTATATACCCAGTAATGGGATGGCTGGGTCAAATGGTATTTCTAGTTCTAGATCCCTGAGGAATCGCCACACTGACTTCCACAATGGTTGAACTAGTTTACAGTTCCACCAACAGTGTAAAAGTGTTCCTATTTCTCCACATCCTCTCCAGCACCTGTTGTTTCCTGACTTTTTAATGATTGCCATTCTAACTGGTGTGAGATGGTATCTCATTGTGGTTTTGATTTGCATTTCTTTGATGGCCAGTGATGATGAGCATTTTTTCATGTGTTTCTTGGCTGCATAAATGTCTTCTTTTGAGAAGTGTCTGTTCATGTCCTTCGCCCACTTTTTGATGGGGTTGTTTGTTTTTTTCTTGTAAATTTGTTTGAGTTCATTGTAGATTCTGGATATTAGCCCTTTGTCAGATGAGTAGGTTGCGAAAATTTTCTCCCATTTTGTAGGTTGCCTGTTCACTCTGATAGTAGTTTCTTTTGCTGTGCAGAAGCTCTTTAGTTTAATGAGATCCCATTTGTCAATTTTGGCTTTTGTTGCCATTGCTTTTGGTGTTTTGGACATGAAGTCCTTGCCCATGCCTATGTCCTGAATGGTAATGCCTAGGTTTTCTTCTAGGGTTTTTATGGTTTTAGGTCTAACGTTTAAATCTTTAATCCATCTTGAATTGATTTTTGTATAAGGTGTAAGGAAGGGATCCAGTTTCAGCTTTCTACATATGGCTAGCCAGTTTTCCCAGCACCATTTATTAAATAGGGAATCCTTTCCCCATTGCTTGTTTTTCTCAGGTTTGTCAAAGATCAGATAGTTGTAGATATGCGGCGTTATTTCTGAGGGCTCTGTTCTGTTCCATTGATCTATATCTCTGTTTTGGTACCAGTACCATGCTGTTTTGGTTACTGTAGCCTTGTAGTATAGTTTGAAGTCAGGTAGTGTGATGCCTCCAGCTTTGTTCTTTTGGCTTAGGATTGACTTGGCGATGCGGGCTCTTTTTTGCTTCCATATGAACTTTAAAGTAGTTTTTTCCAATTCTGTGAGGAAAGTCATTGGTAGCTTGATGGGGATGGCATTGAATCTGTAAATTACCTTGGGCAGTATGGCCATTTTCACGCAATTGATTCTTCCTACCCATGAGCATGGAATGTTCTTCCATTTGTTTGTATCCTCTTTTATTTCCTTGAGCAGTGGTTTGTAGTTCTCCTTGAAGAGGTCCTTCACATCCCTTGTAAGTTGGAGTCCTAGGTATTTTATTCTCTTTGAAGCAATTGTGAATGGGAGTTCACTCACGATTTGGCTCTCTGTTTGTCTGTTGTTGGTGTATAAGAATGCTTGTGATTTTTGTACATTGATTTTGTATCCTGAGACTTTGCTGAAGTTGCTTATCAGCTTAAGGAGATTTTGGGCTGAGACAATGGGGTTTTCTAGATATACAATCATGTTGTCTGCAAACAGGGACAATTTGACTTCCTCTTTTCCTAATTGAATACCCTTTATTTCCTTCTCCTGCCTAATTGCCCTGGCCAGAACTTCCAACACTATGTTGAATAGGAGTGGTGAGAGAGGGCATCCCTGTCTTGTGCCAGTTTTCAAAGGGAGTGCTTCCAGTTTTTGCCCATTCAGTATGATATTGGCTGTGGGTTTGTCATAGATAGCTCTTATTATTTTGAAATACGTCCCATCAATACCTAATTTATTGAGAGTTTTTAGCATGAAGGGTTGTTGAATTTTGTCAAAGGCTTTTTCTTCATCTATTGAGATAATCATGTGGTTTTTGTCTTTGGTTCTGTTTATATGCTGGATTACATTTATTGATTTGCGTATATTGAACCAGCCTTGCATCCCAGGGATGAAGCCCACTTGATCATGGTGGATAAGCTTTTTGATGTGCTGCTGGATTCGTTTTGCCAGTATTTTATTGAGGATTTTTGCATCAATGTTCATCAAGGATATTGGTCTAAAATTCTCTTTTTTGGTTGTGTCTCTGCCCGGCTTTGGTATCAGAAAGATGCTGGCCTGATAAAATGAGTTAGGGAGGATTCCCTCTTTTTCTATTGATTGGAATAGTTTCAGAAGGAATGGTACCAGTTCCTCCTTGTACCTCTGGTAGAATTCCGCTGTGAATCCATCTGGTCCTGGACTCTTTTTGGTTGGTAAACTGTCGATTATTTCCACAATTTCAGCTCCTGTTATTGGTCTATTCAGAGATTCAACTTCTTCCTGGTTTAGTCTTGGGAGAGTGTATGTGTTGAGGAATTTATCCATTTCTTCTAGATTTTCTAGTTTATTTGCGTAGAGGTGTTTGTAGTATTCTCTGATGGTAGTTTGTATTTCTGTGGGATCAGTGGTGATATCCCCTTTATCATTTTTTATTGTGTCTATTTGATTCTTCTCTCTTTTTTTCTTTATTAGTCTTGCTAGTGGTCTATCAATTTTGTTGATCCTTTCAAAAAACCAGCTCCTGGATTCATTGATTTTTTGAAGGGTTTTTTGTGTCTCTATTTCCTTCAGTTCTGCTCTGATTTTAGTTATTTCTTGCCTTCTGCTAGCTTTTGAATGTGTTTGCTCTTGCTTTTCTAGTTCTTTTAATTGTGATGTTAGGGTGTCAATTTTGGATCTTTCCTGCTTTCTCTTGTGGGCATTTAGTGCTATAAATTTCCCTCCACACACTGCTTTGAATGCGTCCCAGAGATTCTGGTATGTTGTGTCTTTGTTCTCGTTGGTTTCAAAGAACATCTTTATTTCTGCCTTCATTTCATTATGTACCCAGTAGTCATTCAGGAGCAGGTTGTTCAGTTTCCATGTAGTTGAGCGGCTTTGAGTGAGATTCTTAATCCTGAGTTCTAGTTTGATTGCACTGTGGTCTGAGAGATAGTTTGTTACAATTTCTGTTCTTTTACATTTGCTGAGGAGAGCTTTACTTCCAACTATGTGGTCAATTTTGGAATAGGTGTGGTGTGGTGCTGAAAAAAATGTATATTCTGTTGATTTGGGGTGGAGAGTTCTGTAGATGTCTATTAGGTCCACTTGGTGCAGAGCTGAGTTGAATTCCTGGGTATCCTTGTTGACTTTCTGTCTCGTCGATCTGTCTAATGTTGACAGTGGGGTGTTAAAGTCTCCCATTATTAATGTGTGGGAGTCTAAGTCTCTTTGTAGGTCACTCAGGACTTGCTTTATGAATCTGGGTGCTCCTGTATTGGGTGCATATATATTTAGGATAGTTAGCTCTTCTTGTTGAATTGATCCCTTTACCATTATGTAATGGCCTTCTTTGTCTCTTTTGATCTTTGTTGGTTTAAAGTCTGTTTTATCAGAGACTAGGATTGCAACCCCTGCCTTTTTTTGTTTTCCATTTGCTTGGTAGATCTTCCTCCATCCCTTTATTTTGAGCCTATGTGTGTCTCTGCACGTGAGATGGGTTTCCTGAATACAGCACACTGATGGGTCTTGACTCTTTATCTAATTTGCCAGTCTGTGTCTTTTAATTGGAGCATTTAGTCCATTTACATTTAAAGTTAATATTGTTATGTGTGAATTTGATCCTGTCATTATGATGTTAGCTGGTGATTTTGCTCGTCAGTTGATGCAGTTTCTTCCTAGTCTCGATGGTCTTTACATTTTGGCATGATTTTGCAGCAGCTGGTACCGGTTGTTCCTTTCCATGTTTAGCGCTTCCTTCAGGAGCTCTTTTAGGGCAGGCCTAGTGGTGACAAAATCTCTCAGCATTTGCTTGTCTGTGAAGTATTTTATTTCTCCTTCACTTATGAAGCTTAGTTTGGCTGGATATGAAATTCTGGGTTGAAAATTCTTTTCTTTAAGAATGTTGAATATTGGCCCCCACTCTCTTCTGGCTTGTAGGGTTTCTGCCGAGAGATCCGCTGTTAGTCTGATGGGCTTCCCTTTGAGGGTAACCCGACCTTTCTCTCTGGCTGCCCTTAACATTTTTTCCTTCATTTCAACTTTGGTGAATCTGACAATTACGTGTCTTGGAGTTGCTCTTCTCGAGGAGTATCTTTGTGGCGTTCTCTGTATTTCCTGAATCTGAACGTTGGCCTGCCTTGCTAGATTGGGGAAGTTCTCCTGGATAATATCCTGCAGAGTGTTTTCCAACTTGGTTCCATTCTCCCTATCACTTTCAGGTACACCAATCAGACGTAGATTTGGTCTTTTCACATAGTCCCATATTTCTTGGAGGCTTTGCTCATTTCTTTTTATTCTTTTTTCTCTAACCTTCCCTTCTCACTTCATTTCATTCATTTCATCTTCCATTGCTGATACCCTTTCTTCCAGTTGATCGCATCGGCTCCTGAGGCTTCTGCATTCTTCACGTAGTTCTTGAGCCTTGGTTTTCAGCTCCATCAGCTCCTTTAAGCACTTCTCTGTATTGGTTATTCTAGTTATACATTCTTCTAAATTTTTTTCAAAGTTTTCAACTTCTTTGCCTTTGGTTTGAATGTCCTCCCGTAGCTCAGAGTAATTTGATCGTCTGAAGCCTTCTTCTCTCAGCTCGTCAAAGTCATTCTCCATCCAGCTTTGTTCCGTTGCTGGTGAGGAACTGCGTTCCTCAGATGGAAATGCAGAAATCACCCGTCTTCTGCGTCGCTCACGCTGGGAGCTGTAGACCGGAGCTGTTCCTATTCGGCCATCTTGGCTCCTCCCCTCTTGATTCAACTTTTTTGTGGGGCCTGGATCATTTATTTTTTGTCAACTTTATTGAGATATAATTTGCATAACCTTTTGTTAGGGCCATATCCATATGGACTCATTTTAAGTACAAAGTTTGATCAGTTTCGATGGTAGTATATGCCCCTTTAACCATCACCACAATCAAGATACAGAACATTTCCATCACCCAAGAAAGTTTCCTGTTTTTTGCACTCAATCCCTCCATACCCCTGGATCCAGCCATCCAATGATCTGCTATCTGTCCCTATAATTGGTGCCTTTTCTAGAATTTTATAAATATGGTGTTGTATGCCATATTTTTTGTATGTCTAGCTTATTTCTCTCAGCATGATGTTTTGAGATTCATTCTTTTTTTTACATTTCTGATTGATTCATTCCTTTTAATTGGTAAGTAGTAGTCCATTGTTGGGCTATATTGCAGTTTGTTTATCTGTTCACTTTTTGATGGACATTTGGGTTGTTCCAGATTTTTGCTATGAGCAACCATGTAAAAGGTCTCTGTGGAATTGCTGGGTCATAAGTGTATGTTTTCCGTTATGAGAAACTGCCAGATTGTTTTCCAAAATGATTGAATTAATTTTGGATTCTAATCAGCATTGTTCAAAAATTTGTTACTCCATATCCTCACCAACACTTGGTATCATCAGTCTTTTTAATTTTAGTCATTCTAGTTGGATACATATATATGATTACTATACTTTAAGTTCTGGGAAACATGTGCAGAACGTGCAGGTTTGTTACATAGGTATACATGTGCCATGGTGGTTTGCTGCACCCATCAACCCGTCATCTACGTTAGCTATTTCTCCTAATGCTATCCCTCCCCTAGCCCACCAGCCCCTGACTGGCCTCAGTGTGTGATGTTCCCCTCCCTGTGTCCATGTGTTCTCATTGTTCAACTCCCACATATGAGTGAGAACATGTGGTGTTTGGTTTTCTGTTCCTGTGTTAGTTTGCTGAAAATGATGGTTTCCAGCTTCATTCATGTCCCTCCAAAGGACATGAACTCATCCTTTTTTAAGGCTGCATGGTATTCCATGGTGTATATGTGCCACATTTTCTTTATCCAGTCTATTATTGATGGGCATTTGGGTTGGTTCCAAGTCTTCCCTATTGTGAATAGTGCTGCAATAAACATACAGGTCCATGTGTCTTTATAGTAGAATGATTTATAATCCTTTGGGTATATACCTGGTAATTGGATTGCTGGGTCAAATGGTATTTCAAGTTCTAGATCCTTGAGGAATCACCACACTGCCTTCCACAATGGTTTAACTAATTTACACTCCCACCAACAGTTTAAAAGCGTTCTATTTCTCCACATCCTCTCCAGCATCTGTTGTTTCCTAACTTTTTAATGATGGCCATTCTAACTGGCTTGAGATGGTATCTCATTGTGGTTTTCATTTGCATTTCTCTAATGACCGGTGATGATGAGCTTTTTTTCATGTTTGTTGGCCACATAAATGTCTTCTTTTGAGAAGTGTCTGTTTATCTCCTTCACCCACTTTTTGATGGGGTTGTTTGTTTGTTTTTTTCCTTGTAAATTTGTTTAAGTTCCTTGTAGATTCTGGATATTAGCTCTTTGTCAGATGGATCGATTGCAAAAATTTTCTCTCATTCTGTAGGTTGCCTGTTCATTCTAATGATAGTTTATTTTGCTATGCAGAAGCTCTTTAGTTTAATTAGATCCTATTTGTCAATTTTGGCTTTTGTTGCCATTGCTTTTGGTGTTTTAGTCATGAAGTTTTTGCCCATGCCTATGTCCTGAATGGTATTGCCTAGGTTTATCTTCTAGGTTTTTTATGGTTTTAGGTCTTACATTTAAGTCTTTAATCCATCTTGAGTTAATTTTTGTATAAGGTGTAAGGAAGGGGTCCAGTTTCAGTTTTCTGCATATGGCTAGCTAGTTTTCCCAGCACCATTTTTTAAAAAGGGAATCCTTTCCCCATTGCTTTTTTTTGTCAGATTTGTCAAAGATCAGATGGTTGTAGATGTATGGTGTTATTTCTGAGGCCTCTGTTCTGTTCCATTGGTCTATATCTCTGTTTTGGTACTAGTACCATGCTGTTTTGGTCACTGTAGCCTTGTAGTATAGTTTGAAGTCAGGTAGCATGATGCCTCCAGTTTTGTTCCTTTTGCTTAGGATTGTCTTGGCTATACGGGCTCTTTTTTGATTCCATATGAAATTTAAGGTAGTTTTTTCTAATTCTGTGGAGAAAGTCAATGGTAGCTTGATGGGGCTAGCATTGAATCTATAAATTACTTTGGGCAGTGTAGCCATTTTCACTATATTGATTCTTCCTATCCATGAGCATGGAATGTTCTTCCATTTATTTGTGTCCTCTCTTATTTCCTTGAGCAGTGGTTTGTAGTTCTCCTTGAAGAGGTCCTTCACATCCCTTGTAAGTTGGATTTCTAGGTATTTTATTCTCTTAGTAGCAATTGTGAATGGGAGTTCACTCATGATTTGGCTCTCTGTTTGTCTATTATTGGTGTATAGGAATGCTTGTGATTTTTGCACATTGATTTTGTATCCTGAGACTTTGCTGAAGTTGCTTATCAGCTTAAGGAGATTTTGGGCTGAGACAATGGGGTTTTCTAAATATACAATCATGTCATCTGCAAACAGAGACAATTTGACTTCCTGTCTTCCTATTTAAATACGCTTTAGTTCTTTCTCTTGCCTGATTTCCCTGGCCAGAAGTTCCAATACTGTATTGAATAGGAGTGGTGAGAGAGGGCATCCTTGTCTTGTGCCAGTTTTCAAAGGGAATGCTTCCAGCTTTTGCCCATTTAGTATTATATTGGCTGTGGGTTTGTCATAAATAGCTCTTATTATTTTGAGATACAGTCCATCAATATCTAGTTTATTGAGAGTTTTTAGCATGAAGTGGTGTTGAATTTTGTCAAAGGCCTTTTCTACATCTATTGAGATAATCATGTGGTTTTTGACATTGCTTCTGTTTATGTGATGGATTACGTTTGTTGATTTGCATATGTTGAACCAGCCTTGTATCCCAGGGATGAAGCCCACTTGATCATGGTGGATAAGCTTTTTGATATGCTGCTGGAGTCTTTTTGCCAGTATTTTATTGAGGATTTTCACATCGATGTTCGTCAGGGATATTTGCCTGAAATTTTCTTTTTTTGTTGTGTGTCTGCCAGGTTTTGGTATCAGGATGATGCTGGTCTTATAAAATGAGTTAGGGAGGAGTCCCTCTTTTTCTATTGTTTAGAACATTTTCAGAAGGAATGGTACCATCTCCTCTTCATACCTCTGGTAGAATTTGGCTGTGAATCCATCTGGTCCTGGGCTTTTTTTGGCAGGTAGGCTATTAATTACTGCCTCAATTTCAGAACTTGTTATTAGTCTATTCAGGGATTCAACTTCTTCCTGGTTTAGTCTTGGGAGGGTGTCTGTGTCCAGGAATTTATCAATTTCTTCTAGATTTTCTAGTTTATTTGCATAGAGGTGTTTACAGTATTCTCTGATGGTAGTTTATATTTCTGTGGGATCAGTGGTGATATCCCCTTTATCATTTTTTATTGTGTCCATTTGATTCTTCTCTCTTTTCTTCTTTATTAATCTGGCCAGTGGTCTATCTATTTTGTTAATCTTTTCAAAAAACCGGGTCCTGGATTTATTGATTTTTTTGAAGGGTTTTTCATGTCTCTATCTCGTTCATTTCTGCTGTGATCTTAGTTATTTCTTGTCTTCTGCTACCTTTTGAATTTGTTTGCTCTTGTTTCTCTAGTTTTTTTAATTGTGATGTTAGGGTGTCGATTTTAGATCTTTCCCACTTTCTCCTGTGGGCATTTAGTGCTATAAATTTCCTTCTAAACACTGCTTTAGCTGTGTCCCAGAGATTCTAGTACATTGTGTCTTTGTTCTTATTGGTTTCAAAGAACTTATTTCTTTCTGCCTTAATTTTGTTATTTACCCAGTGGCCATTCAGGAGCAGGTTGCTCAGTTTCCATATATTTGCGTGGTTTTGAGTGAATTTCTTAGTCGTCAGTTCTAATATGATTGCACTGTGGTCTGAGGGACTGTTTGTTATTATTTCCATTCTTTTGTATTTGCTGAGGAGTGTTTTACTTCCAATTATGTGGTCAATTTTAGAATAAGCGTGATGTGGTGCTGAGAAGAATGTATATTCTGATGATTTGGGGTTGAGAGTTCTTTAGATGTCTATTAGGTCCGCTTGGTCCAGAGCTGAGTTCAAGTCTTGAATATCCTTGTTAATTTTCTGTCTCGTTGATCCGTCTGATATTGACAGTCAGGTGTTAATGTCTCCCACTATTATTGTGTGGAAGTCTAAGTCTCTTTGTAGGTCTCTAAGTAGGTCTCTAAGAACTTGCTTTATGAATCTGGGTACTTTAGGATAGTTAGGGTAGTTAGCTCTTCTTGTTGCATCAATCCCTTTACCATTATATAATGGCCTTCTTTGTCTCTTTTGATCTTTGTTGGTTTAAAGTCTGTTTTATCGAAGACTAGGATTGCAACCCCTGCTTATTATTATTATTATTTTTTGCTTTCCATTTGCTTGGTAAAAATTCCTCCATCCCTTTATTTTGAGCCTATCATGTGTCTTTGCACGTGAGATGGGTCTCCCGAATATAGCACACCAATGGGTCTTGACTCTTTATCCAATTTGCCAGTGTGTGTCTTTTAAATGGGGCATTTAGTCCATTTACATTTAAGGTTAATATTGTTATGTATGAATTTGATCCTATCACTATGATGCTAGCTGATTATTTTGCCCGTTAGTTGATGTAGTTTCTTCGTAGTGTCGATGGTCTTTACAATTTGGTATGTTTTTGCAGTGGCTGGTACCAGTTGTTCCTTTCCATGTTTAGTGCTTCCTTCAGGAGCTCTTTTTAGGGCAGGCCTGGTGGTGACAAAATCTCTCAGCATTTGCTTGTCTGTAAAGGATTTTATTTCTCCTTTGCTTATGAAGCTTAGTTTGGCTGGATATGAAATTTTGGGTTGAAAATTCTTTTCTTTAAGAATGTTGAATATTCGCCCCCACTCTCTTCTGGCTTGTTGGGTTTCTGCAGAGAGACCTGCTGTTAGTCTGACGGGCTTCCCTTTGTGGGTAATCTGACCTTTCTCTCTAGCTGCCCTTAACATTTTTTCCATTTCAACCTTGGTGAATCTGATGATTATGTGTCTTGGGGTTGCTCTTCTCGAGGAGTATCTTTGTGGTGTTCCTTGTATTTCCTGAATTTGAATGTTGGCCTTCTTGCTAGGTTGGGGAAGTTCTCCTGGATAATATCCTGAAGAGTGTTTTCCAACTTGGTTCCATTCTCCCCATCACTTTCAGGTACACCAATCAAATGTAGGTTTGGTCTTTTCAGATAGTCCCATATTTCTTGGAGGCTTTGTTCATTCCTTTTCATTCTTTTTTCTCTAATCTTGTCTTCATGCCTTATTTCATTAAGTTCCTCTTCAATCTCTGATATCTTTTCTTCTGCTTGATCGATTTGGCTATTAATACTTGTGTATGCTTCACGAAGCTCTCGTGCTGTTTTTCAGCTCCATCACATCTTTGTGTTTTACTCTAAACTGGTTATTCTAGTTAGCAATTCCTCTAACCTTTTTTCAAGGTTCTTAGCTTCCTTGCATTGCATTAGAACATACTCCTTTAGCTCTGAGGAGTTTGTTATTACCCACCTTCTGAAGCCTACTTCTGTCAATTCGTCAAACTCATTCTCCATCCAGTTTTGTTCCCTTGCTGGTGAGGAGTTGTGATCCTTTGGAGGAGAAGAGATGTTCTGGTTTTTGGAATTTCCAAACTTTTTGTGCTGGTTTTTCCTCATCTTCGTGGATTTATCTACCTTTGGTCTTTGATGTTGGTGACCTTTGGATGGGGTTTCTGTGTGGACATCCTTTTTGCTGATGTTGATGCTATTCCTTTCTGTTTGTTAGTTTTCCTTCTAACAGGCCCCTCTGCCACAGGTCTGCTGAAGTTTGCTGGAGGTCCACTCCAGGCCCTTTTTGCCTGGGTATCACCAGTGGAGGCTGCAGAACAGCAAAGATTGCTGCCTTTTCATTCCTCTGGAAGCTTCATCCCAAAGGGACACCTGCCAGATGCCAGCCGGAGCTCTCCTGTATGAGGTGTCTGTCGACCCCTCCTGGGAGGTGTCTCCCAGTCAGGAGGCATGGGGGTCAGGGACCCACTTGAGGAGGCAGTCTGTCCCTTAGCAGAGCTTGAGTGCTGTGCTGGGAGATCCGCTGCTCTCTTCAGAGCCAGCAGGCAGAACGTTTAAGTCTGCTGAAGCTGCACCCACAGCATCCTTTTCCCCTAGGTGCTCTGTCCCAGGGAGATGGGAGTTTTATCTATAGGCCCCTGAGTGGGGCTGCTGCCTTTCTTTAAGAGACGCCCTGCCTAGAGAGGATGAATCTAGAGAGGCAGTCTGGCTACAGCAGCTTTGCTAAGCTGTGGTGTAATCCCAGCTACTCAGGAGGCTGAGGCAGGAGAATGGTGTGAAACCGGGAGGCGGAGCTTGCAGTGAGCTGAGATCGTGCCACTGCACTCCAGCCTGGGTGACAGAGCGAGACTCTGTCTCAAAAAAGAAAAGTAATAATAATAATAAATAGCTTCTGATAGCCTGAAAGCAACCCCATCCCCAAGTCCCAACCTCAGCTCTGAGGCTGCCCCTGCTATTTTACCCCGAGGCTCACCCCTAATAAACAGGGCCTTGGGGACTCAATCTTTTTGAGCATCCAGGCTTGCCTTCTCTCTGCCACTCTTGCCCACTAATTCTGTAAAGACCATCTCCATGTGCTGTCCTCACACCTGCCAACTCCATTACTAGTCCCTTGGAGCTGAATTATATTGGATGAGTAGGTGCTGGAAGTGTAGGAGGTCACCTTCCTGACAGACGGACAAGCAAGAACAAAGGCTCATAGTCATAAAATAGCCTGACCCCTTTGGGAAACCAAAAGTAACTAAATGTCCCTGGAGCATGGGTCAGAAAGGAGAACCAGCCTACAGAGGGCCTGTCTGCCATGGTCCAGGGTTTGAACTTTCTCCTTGGGAAGGCTGCAATGTGTGTTTCAGAAACTCTTCTGTGTTTCTGAAAAATTACCCCAGTATCTGGGAGGAAAATTAATTGGAGGGGAGGAACAAGGGAATAGAAAATTAGAAGTGTCTTGTTGTATTCCAGATGTATCCCCAGGACTTAGCCCAGTTCTGACTTCTTGTAGGTACCTCGTAATTATTTTTAAATTAAAGAGTGAAAAAAGGTGAATGAATCTTTTTGTGTTACTCATTTGGGTTTTTCTGTGTCTACCCCCACTCTCCACCCCACAAAAGGTAGTAGAACATATTGGGTGCAGAGCGGGAGGCACTGGGCCCTTCTCAGGTCTAAAGATCATCCCGCCAAGGTAAAGTACCTTGCCGGTCTCTGGGGCTGTCTTGTCATCGTCATAGTTTTGGGACCTTTTCCACCTGGTCCTCACTCATTCCTTCATTCAGCAGTCTTTGAATATTTATTAGAAGCCAGGCGTAAGCTGGGCATATGGAGATGAGAAAACATTATCTCTCCTCTCAAGAAATTTGTATTCTTTCCTCTCATCTGTAAGTCTTAAGCCAGGGCCTGTGAACTTTTTCTATCAAGGGCCAGGTAGTATTTTTGGCTTTGCAGGTCACGTGATCCATTGCAACTAACTCGGCCTTGGTAGTGCTAAGGCAGCCACAGACAATCATAAACTCAGAGGCCTGGCTGGGCTCCAGTTAAACTTTATGGGCACAGAAACTTGAATTTCATGTTATTCTCATGTACCATGAATCTTAATCTTCTTTTGGGGTTTTTTTTAAAACCATTTAAAAATGATCAGGGGTTGTTCAAAACCAGGTAGGGGCAGGGCAGAATTTGGCCCATGGGCCTCAGTGTGCTTACCCCCTGCCTTAGGTGCTCTTCTCATAATGTATGGACAGAAATCTCTTTATTTTAACCTCAATATGGTCACCACTACCAGGAAACTCTCTCATGCTTGCCTCTTTGTTTCACCCTCCCACCCCCAATCCCTCCCACTCGAATCCAAAATCTGTGCTATCAGAATAATCTTCCTTCAACATAAACATGATCCATTATTCAACACCCACCCTCCAGGTGCCCCCAGAGCTGTGCTGTGGGTGAATCCCAGCCCCCCAGGCCCTTCTGTGTCTGTTCCTCATGGCTCCTCTCTGTTCTCCTCTCCAGCTTCTTTCTTGCCCCTTCCCATCCCAACACCCCGTTACCCCAGCTGTTCTAAGCCTTTTGCAGCAGCTCTCTCCAGCCTGTGTTCCTGGGCCCATTGTGTTTTCTCTGCCTTGGATCCTTAACCTTTCTATGTGGTGAACTCCTACTTGCTTTGAAGGCTCAGCTCACTTTTCACCTTTAGGTAGTTTTCCTTGACCTCTCACCCCAGGCAGAATTAGACATGCCTCCTCTGGGTTCCCAGTACTCCATGACGCCTACTAAACTTGTAGCACCTTGAAGGTTGTGTCTTGTCCTTTCCTGAGTCCCCAGTTCAGTGTGGACCATATAGAAGATGCTCTGTAGATATTTTCATGAATTCTCAAACATCAAGACCTATTTTTATATAATATATAAAAAACAAGTATTGTACATACACTCCTTTATTATTTTTCTCTTCCTAGTTTGATATGTTACTGCCACTATTAAAATTTAAGCTTTTAAGTGTAGACATAGAGTCCATTTTTCAGTATAGACCTTCCCCTTCCTTTGGAATACATAAAATAACACTCTACAGCTCATGGACTCACCAGTGGGGCCTCTGGGTGATCACGGTGGCCTTCATTAAAATAACTTTAACCACCTTCCCTATGAGGAAGCACAGAATGTCACTGAGGTCCTGTTGGTCTTTTCCTTTGACAGATGAGGAAACTGCAGCCCCAGAACAGTGAAGCAGCTTTCTCAAGGATACTCAGCTGGTAAATGACAAAAACAAAACAGGGGCTGGGAGCTAGGCCTTGGCATTACTAGCATTCTGATTTTTGAGGCAGCTTGCCAGTGAAAGCATTGTGCTGTGAATGTAGATTTGCAATTTATGAGCATGGAGGTGTGGGGTGGGCGGGGGGCGTGGGGTTGTGCCCAGGAGGCTGGGCCGTGGTAACCTTTCGTTCTTCACATTCTTTGAATAGGATGCCTTGTTTGCTTTTCTTGCTGCTTTCGTGTATCAGTCATTCCCTTAAAACAGCCACACTCATTATAGCTGGCAAACAAACGGTCGGGAACTAGGCAACTCCAATTATTTAACTCAGCATGTGAAACCATTTAATCAGAGCTCACAGGACTGAGGGGCAGTATTAAAAAGAAATAGGCACCCTGTCTGGCCCCCAGAATGAACTCTTTTCAGGAGAGAAGAGAGCTTATATTATTTATTGTGGCAGGACTAAGATATACTGTAGTATGTAAATGAGAAAAGGACTAGATGATAAGAGTGTGGAAACGAGGGTTCCGTCTGAACTCCCTTGCTGAGTTCTAGTTCTTTCTTCTTCCTTGTTTTCAGTTAAAATTTTGGGAAAATTATTTAATTATGGTGTAACTTCATTTCCTCACCATAAAATAGAATCACTGTTATTTTGTATCTTGGAAGCTGTCTTATGATACTGCTATGAAACCTGCCATGCTGCTGCCTTCATCATCTTGCACTCATTCAAGTGGTTATAGTTACTGAAGTACCAAAAAGACCACATTAAACAGTGGTTTCAGCCGCAAGAGGTAGAATTTGGTGGCAGTTCCGCCATGCACACAGACACATTTTTAAATGTTTAGAAATCATAAGCACACATTTAATTTTTCATTTAATTTTGTGTTCACCATCTTTTGCCTTTTTTTAAAAAAAAAATGGTATAGGCAGCCTTTTGTTAAATATAAGATTGTAGGGGATGGGGCATTGTCTGGGAAATGTAATAATTGAAAACCACATTGAAGACTGATTCAGACGGAGATGCCGCAGATGGCAAGAGTCCTTCCTCTGTATCACGTCTGGTTTCAGAAAAGAGCCTCGCAGGGCTAAGCGTGCAGGGGAGCAGGAGGCTCCGAGGGACAGGAGACTTCCTCACCAACCAGCCATCACTCAGAGCAGCACGCAGGGCTCTGCACGCCCCCTTTCTGTCTCTCCTGAGGTGTTGTTAATTTGTAGAATATTATTTGAAAAATACTTGCTCTGTTTGTCCTCAAGGATATCATGCGTCTTTTCTCAGAAAAACAAATTAATGCTCTCCTCTTGATGAAGTTTAAATAAATAAATGTACAGTCATGAGAAATATGATAGGATGCAACTTCTTTTTTATTTTCTTTTTTTAAAGTTGGGGGTCTCACTCTGTTGCCCAGGCTGGAGTGCAGTGGCAGGATCATAGCTCTCTGCAGCCTCCAACTCCTGGGCTCAGCCTCCTAAGTAGCTGACTACAGCCATGCACCCTCATACCTGGTTAATTTTTAAAACACTTTTTGTGGAGATGGGGGTTTCACTGTGTTTCTCAGGCTGGTCTTAAAATCCTGGCTTCAAGTGATTCTCCTGCATCCTTTGCCTCCCAAAGCACTGGGATTCCAGGCATGATCCACAACACCCGGCCTAGGATGCAACTTCTAAATAACTACATAGAAATATGCTTTTCTCAAAACACACAACAGCATGGGCTAAACTCTAATACCTCCATTCAGTAAAATTAATTTTGCTTAAATGCTACCCAGAAAGCCCCTTTTGTTTTGAGGGGTGTGTGTGTGTGTGTGTTTTCTGTTTTGGAATTTTTCTCTTTCAGTTCTCATTGTCCCTCAGAGCAGTTCTCTCTCATATGGCTTTGGGAGGCTACTGCTAGCCAAATGCTGCACAGATAGTCAAAGTCGGTAGTGTGCAGTGTGGGCAGTGCAGGAATTACTGGGGATTCAACCCATGTATAAGGTTCATGCAGCCTTCGTGAAGTCTGGACCCTGTAATAGGTCTTCTAAGTGGGCCTGACGAGGATTTTAATTATGTCCTGTCTCTCCCATTTCATTTGAATTGAGCTCTGGGGTCCAATGTCAGTGGAGGAAACTGGAGACATGTGCCCCTAGCAAAATGTCATATTCTTTCACTGCACAGAGAGCAAGACCTGGAGGAAAAGAGGACTAGCAGGAGAAATAGGGTAAGTGGTGGGCAGGCCCACGTTAACTATTGTAATTTGATTGGTCAAACAGAATCTTGGAACCATTAGATCACTCTTTGGATTGTTTTGCATTTCTGCCTGTCTCTTTTGTTTTAAAATCTCTATGTTTTAAAATTCATCCCCCCCCCAAAAAAAAAACCCCAAATATATATATATACGTGTGTGTGTGTATGTGTATGTGTGTGTGTGTGTGTGTGTGTATATATGACAGATTTTAACTCTGGCCAAGAAAAGCCATTCCCAGTAGAAATCATCCCGAACCACAACTCAACTGTGGGCCTGAGGCAGCCAAGAAATAATCTTTTTAAATATTCTGATCAGGGACTTGGAAAACAGAAAATTTAAAACTTCAGCTCAGAAGTGTATGATTAACTCTGAGCGGATGTGGTGGTTCTAGCCACGTAATTTTAGGCGTTCTAATTGGCAGTTTAAAAATAGCAGAGTCGCAGGCTGCTCCTCGGTGCTGCTTCTCGCTTTGTTTCGCCCATGAGTATGCACTGTACTTAAGGAGTCTTAAGGCTGCTGGCGACGGGCTGGGAACCAGGACTCTTATCTCCCGTCTCCCAGGTCTGCCGGACTCTGTCCTGACACACCACAGCGTCATAAAAACTTGTGTTTTCTTAGGATTCCTCCTAGCCGCCGGCTCACAGACATATTCCTCTTCCTTCTCTAATAACTAGGTGCTTAAAGGTAGTGCTTCGATGATAATATTCAAGTAAATCAATTTCTGGGTACCTGAAACTTCCAGCTGAGCTGCGTCATTTGCTTGCCAGGTAACAAGTACTTCAGGATGTCATCAAGAAAAGGAAAACACTGATTTCAAATAACCAATTATTTACAAAATTCTTTCCCATATCTGTGTGAGGCAAGGTCCGCAAGATAAAACAAATGTTTGTTTCTCTTTACTGCTGTTTCCATGGGCAGCAAGATGACACATCAGCGTAGACACCCACGAGGGAGCTGCATTTTTCCCTTTTGCATTTCCAAGGAACCCCAGGAGTCCCATCTGGTCTAACATAAAGTCATGTATCTTTACCTAATTTTGGCCTCTGAGTTTTCCTTCTGGGAGACACTTGCTGCTTCACTGTGGAGGGGTCTAGGGGTAGAAAGCCAGCTGGAGCTGTGGAGCTGTTTATAACACCCCAAGGACTGTTGTTCTGCCCCAAGCAGGGGGTTTGTTGGGGCCCATGCAGGGGGAGTCTCAACGGGCAATCCCCCGTTCCTCGTGGGATGTGGTTTATCATTCCTGCTTTGAGTTTCATTAACATGGAATCTTGCACTTTCCCAACCAATGACGCCACAAAAGAATAAACTATATTAAGTCCATAAATCTCAGACTGCCAAGTCCCTGGAATATCAACTGATGAAACTCTCCGCTTTCTAACCTGAGGTGAGTAATAAGTTTCCCTCTTCATTTGCATCACGGGCCTCAGGGTGGAGAGAGCACTGCTATTATCAGGGCACCCTTTTCTCTCTGCTCTCTTCCCTACAGGGTCTTGTAACCACTGCTCTCATACATCTTAAACCCTCTTGTAGGCCAGCATCGCAGTTCAGGCCTGTAATCCCAGCACCTTGCGAGGCCACAGTGAGAGGATCGCTTGAGGCTAGGAGTTAGAGGCTGCCATGAGCTGTGATTGTACCACTGCACTCCAGCCTGGGTGACAGAGCCAGACCCTATCCCTAAAAAGAAAAACCAAACAACAACAACAACAACAACAGCAACAAAAACCCTCTGATAACGCACTGTTTTTGAAAACAGGAAACGAACAAAGTTGTTTTTGCCTAGCTGTCTGGGAACAGAAGGTGAAGCCTGCTGATAGGATTCTTGTCTTTCCTCCCAAGCTCTTGGATACACTTTAGGAATATTAACCAAGGCATGTGTTCCTCTCCTCACTCCTCAGTGTCTCCTTCAAGCCTCTTCCACAGGAGCCAGAAAGAAGGGGATTCACAGGAAAAGAGAGGCCATTCCCTCTCTTACTTCCCAAAGAGTCATGGTGAGAAAGAAGGCCTGAGGGTGGAGAGAGCCTTCCCTCTCCTTTCTTTTTTTTTTTGCAAGGTCACGGGTGTGATTTTTCCTCTACTATCTTTATTTTTTTATTTTTTATTATTATTATACTTTAAGTTTTAGGGTACATGTGCATATTGTGCAGGTTAGTTACATATGTATACATGTGCCATGCTGGTGTGCTGCACCCACTAACTCGTCATCTAGCATTAGGTATATCTCCCAATGCTATCCCTCCCCCTCCCCCCACCCCACAACAGTCCCCAGAGTGTGATGTTCCCCTTCCTGTGTCCATGTGTTCTCATTGTTCAATTCCCACCTATGAGTGAGAATATGTGGTGTTTGGTTTTTTGTTCTTGCGATAGTTTACTGAGAATGATGATTTCCAATTTCATCCATGTCCCTACAAAGGACATGAACTCATCATTTTTTATGGCTGCATAGTATTCCATGGTGTATATGTGCCACATTTTCTTAATCCAGTCTATCATTGTTAGACATTTGGCTTGGTTCCAAGTCTTTACTATTGTGAATAATGCCGCAATAAACATACGTGTGCATGTGTCTTTATAGCAGCACGATTTATAGTCCTTTGGGTATATACCCAGTAATGGGATGGCTGGGTCAAATGGTATTTCTAGTTCTAGATCCCTGAGGAATCGCCACACTGACTTCCACAATGGTTGAACTAGTTTACAGTCCCACCAACAGTGTAAAAGTGTTCCTATTAAAAACCCTAGAAGAAAACCTAGGCATTACCATTCAGGACATAGGCATGGGCAAGGACTTCATGTCTAAAACACCAAAAGCAATGGCAACAAAAGCCAAAGTTGACAAATGGGATCTAATTAAACTAAAGAGCTTCTGCACAGCAAAAGAAACTACCATCAGAGTGAACAGGCAACCTACAAAATGGAAGAAAATTTTCGCAACCTACTCATCTGACAAAGGGCTAATATCCAGAATCTACAATGAACTCAAACAAATTTACAAGAAAAAAACAAACAACCCCATCAAAAAGTGGGCGAAGGACATGAACAGACACTTCTCAAAAGAAGACATTTATGCAGCCAAAAAACACATGAAAAATGCCTTCCCTCTCCTTTCACAGGCCCCCCCTTCAGCATTGACGTCATTCAGTCATCAAAGGGACCTGTAAGACGATCTGCCTGTTCTCCTGTGAACAATGGTTAAGAACGCATTCAAGGGGTTTCCAGGGGGATGAGGCTGGGTGTGGCAGAGAGGGCTTGGGATCATTATTTAAATCGCTTGGCAGGAACACTGGTCCATTTTCCTTTTGTGATATGCCAAGGGAAAGGGTCTGGGACACCAGAGGTCCCTCATTCCTGATGATCAAGTGTGGCCATGCCTTCTTTTCTGTGGAAGCATGGAATTGAGCCATAGTTCCCTGATTCTTCATTTCATTACATAGTGTGGGCTTCCTTTTGTGCTTTGAAAAGTATCTTCATTACCATTCTCATCTGATCTCTTTTTTACATCTTGCTAACAAGGCCTTCTGTATATTTGCAGGTGTTGAATTGTGAGTCTTTTTTTCTTTACTTTTCTTTGTATTTGCATTACTTTTTAAAAATTAATAGATTATATTTTTTGGAGCAGTCTTAGGTTGACAGAAAAGTGAGCAGAAACTGCAGTGCTCCCATATGGCTCCTTACTGCCCTCAGTTTCCCTTATTATTAACACCTTTTGCTTTTTATTAACATTATGAACAGCAGGGTCAGGCGAGAACTTTTGTGATGACAAAGGACTTTCACTTCCATTATTTCATTTAATAGCAGACTGCACAGGAAACAAGAGTGTTACATGATGGTAAACATCATCATAGTTACAGATGGGGTGGGGACAGCTAGGAAGCCCACAGAGTCTCACCCCACTCCAGTTCTCAGGGACCTAACCATGGTGAAGATGGATTCATAAAAGAAGTAGGGCTTCAGGTGGGTTCCCCAGTGCCCAGAAGGGAAAAATGGGACTATTTCCTATTGTTGCTATAACAAATTACATTAATGCATTAGCTATTTATTCTGATGCTAAATAAATAAATAGCTAAATGCATTAGCTAAATAGCTAAATGCATTTAGCTATTTATCCTAATGCTCTCTCTTCTCCCACCCTTCCAACAGGCCCCAGTGTGTGATGTTTCCCTCCCTGTGTCCATGTGTTCTCGTTGTTCCGCTCCCACTTATAAGTGAGAATATGCAGTGTTTGGTTTTCCGTTACTGCATTAGTTTGCTGAGGAGAATGGCTTCCAGCTCCATCCATGTCCCTTCAAAGGACATGATCTTGTTCCTTTTCATGGCTGCATAGTATTCCATGGCATATATGTACCACATTTTCTTTATCTAGTCTATCATTGATGGGCATTTGGGTTGATTCCATGTCTTTGCTATTGTGAATAGTGCTGCAATGAACATATGCATGCATGTATCTTTATAATAGAATGATTTATCTTCCTTTGGATATATACCCAGTAATGGGTTGCTTGGTCAAATGGTATTTCTGGTTCTAGGTCTTTGAGGAATTGCTACACTGTATTCCACAATGGTTGAACTAATTTACATTCCCACCAACAATGTAAAAGTGTTCCTATTTTGCCACAGCCTTGCCAGCAACTGTTGTTTCTTGACTTTTTAATAGTTGCCATTCTGGTTGGAGTGAGATGGTATCTCATTGTGGTTTTGATTTGCATTTCTCTAATGATCAGTGATGTTGAGCTTTTTTCATATGTTTATTGGCCACATGACTATCTTCTTTTGAGAAGTGTCTGTTCACTTCCTTTGTCCACTTTTTATTGGGATTGCTTTTTGAAGGATCTGTTTCCTTGCCTTTTCCAACTTCTAGAGGCTGTTTTCATTCCTTGGCTAATAGCCCTTTCCTCCACCTTCAAAGCCAGCAATGGCAAGTTCAGTCTTTCTCATATCACATCTCTCTGACATTGACCATTCTTCTGCCTCCCCCTACCACATGTAAGGACTTTTGTAATTAAGTAATTAAGTTATACGCATGTGCGTAAAACAGGAGAATCTCCCCATCTCGAGGTCAGCTGATTAGAGCTTCATTCCATCTATAATCTTAACTCCTCCTTGCCAGGTGAGTTAACATATTCACAGGTTCTGGGAAATAGGACATAGACATCTTTGAGGACCATTTTTCTGCCAACTATATGAAGCATTGTCTTGGAGAAGTGGAGCCTGGAGTCAAAGTCACCAGTGAATTGCAATCTCATCCTCCTCAGGGGTAAATGAAAACTGAATGACTTCTTCATTCAGTTCATGTGTCATTCCCTCCGGGAAGCCTTCTGTATTGTCTGGCCTGGCCAATACAGAAGACAATAGACATATGTGGCTATTGAGTACTTGAAATGTAACTAGTCTAAGTGTAAAATACACATTAGATTTCAAATACTTAGCACAAAAAAGAATAAAATACCTTACTAATGGTTTTGTTTGTTTTGTTTTTTCAAAGACAGGGTCTCATCCTGTCGCTAGGCTGGAGTGCAATGGTGTGATCATGGCTCATTGCAGCCTTGACCTCTCAGGCTCAGGCAATCCTCCCACCTCAGCCTCCTGAGATGCTGGGACTATAGGCACATGCCACCACACCTGGCTAATTTTTATATTTTTTTGTAGAGGTGAGGTCTCACCCTGTTGCTCAGGCTGGTCTTGAACTCCTGGGCTCAAGCAATCCACCCACCTCAGCCCTGCAATGTGTTGGGATTACAGATATAAGCCACCATGCCCAGACTTACTAATGATTTTTAAAATATTGAATATATGCTGAAATTTTAACATTTTGATATATTGGGTTAAATAAAATTGTGAAATTACCAACTTAATTTCGCTTACTTTGTTTTGTTTTTTGCTTTTTTAATGTGGCTACTAGAAACTTTCAAGTTGCATATTTGGCTTGTTCTACATAAGGGGTCTTCAAAATTTCGTGGAAAATGCATATTATGAAACTATGCGTGGATTTCAGTTTGTTTTGCACCAAAATAAACTTTTAATAACTTGTTACAACATGTCTGAATAGGATCTAGTTTGAGGCGCTAAGAAGGTTAAGCCATCAGTTTGAAAAGAGCTTCCATCAAAGCAACATGAATTCTGCTAAAACTGAAGCAAAAACCAACATCAAATTTATGATAAAGCTTGGGTGGAAGAATGATGAGATCATTGATGCTTTATGAAAAGCTTATGAAGACAATGCCCCAAATAAGTAAGCAGTTTACAAATGTAGAACTCATTTTAAGAGGGGACTAGACAATGTTGAAGATGAAGCCTGCAACAGCAGACCATTCACATTAATTTTCGAGGAAAAAGTCATCTTGTTTTTGAAGAGGACAATTAACAGAAAAAATAGCTGACACCACAGACATCTCAATTGGTGCAGCTTATGAAATGCTGACTAAAATTTTAAAAGTTGAGCAGATTTTCCACTTGATGGATGCCAAAGCCTTTGCACCCAGATCAGTTGCAGACAAAAGCAGAACTTTCAATGGAAATTTCAAACAAGTGTCATCAAAATTCTAAAGCGTTTTTTCAAAGAATTGTAATAGGAGATGAAACATGGCTTCACCAGTGTGATCCTGAAGACAAAGCACAACCAAAGCAATGGCTACCAAGAGGTGGAAGTGGTCCAGTCAAAGCAAAAGAGGACCAGTCAAGAGCAAAGCTCAGGGCAAAAGTTTTTTAGGATGAACAAAGCATTTTGCTTGCTGACCTTCTGGAGTGCCAAAGAATGATAACACCTGTTCATTATGAGAGTGTTTTGAGAAAGTTAGCAAAGCTTTAGCAGAGAAACACTCAGGAAAGTCCCGGAGTGAAGGACTGGAGAGTCCTTCACTACAACAATACTCCTGCTCATTCCTCACTTGCAGAAGGACAATTTTGTGAGAGTTTCCATGGGAAATCACTGGCCATCCACCTTATAGTCCTGATTTGTCTCCTTGTGACTTCTTTGTTGTTTCCTAATCTTAAAATATCTGCAAAGGGCACCCATTCTGTATAATGTATAAAAACTGCATTGACATGGTTAAATGCCCAGGAGCCTCAGGTCTTTAGGGATGGACTAAATGGCTGGTATGACCACTTACAAAAGTGTCTTGAACTTGATGGAGTTTACGTTGAGAAACAAAGTTTATATTTTTTATTTTTATCTTTTCATTCCACTTTCTACAAACCTTTTGAAGTTCCTTTGTATTTTTATTGGCCAGGTCTGCTCTGGGCTGAGCCAAGTGCTTCTTCCATGTGCTCCTGCTGTCCTTTTTTTCTACTCTAACACTTACCTTCCAGCATAATTACCAACTTGCATGTCTACTTTCCCCACCACATGGTGAGTTCTTAAAGGGCAGGGGCTGTGTCTTGTTAATCATTGTATCCCTTGTTCTAGTATAATGCCCAGAATGTTATAATACTAATCATTGTCATAATCATAATTAACATTTATATCGTGCTTACTGTGTGCCAGGCTCTGTTCCAAGCACTTTCCCTAATAACTCATTTAATCCTTACAACACTCTCTAGCTATGCGAGTTTAGGAAGTTATTTTAACATTTTGTGTCTCAGTTTCCTTAACCATAATATGAAGATACTAGTACCTACCTCATAGCTACTCATAATATGAGGGTGGGTTAACTAGTTATTTTATATATACATACATATTCACATACACATGTACAGATACACATACATCCATATACATACAGTAGTACTCTGGTCTGCAGCTTCACTTTCCATGATTTCAGTGACCTGCAGTACAACACATATGGAGACAGAGAGAGACAGAGAGAGAGAGAGACCTCATTCATATAACTTTTATTACAGTATATTGTTATAATTGTTCTCTTTTATTAGTTGTTGTTAACCTCTTAGTGTGTCTAATTTATAAATTAAACTTTTTCATAGATCATATAACAGGTATCATAGGTATTTCAAGGTATACATTTTGCCTATATGTATAATATAGGAAAAATATAATGTATATACAGGATCCTGCACTGTCTGTGGTTTCAGGCATCCCCTGGGGGTCTTGGAAAGTATCTCCACAGATAAGGGGAGACTACGGTACATACCTTCGTATACATAACGTTATATACATAGTCTATACATATAATATGTATGTATGAATGTATATAATATTTATAAAAAGTTTAGAAGAGGTCCTGCACGTCCTCAATGTGATGAAAATGTTTTTTAAATAAGCAACTCTTTGAGAAAGGCGCTACTCTTATCTCCATTTTAAAGATGCCAAAACTGGCACAGAGAGGTTAAGCAACTTGCCCAAGTTTGCAAAGCTTGTTAGTTTTAGAGACAGGATTGTAACCCAGGCCGTCTACACCTTTTAAATACTATGTTGTACTGCTGCTTAATATTTGAATGCATGAATGAAAATGTAAGTGAATTAAAGAAAGCTCTACAATACAGTGATTTACTCAACACTGCACTGCTTTTTGGAAGAAAAGTTGGGGCTAAAAGTCAAACTCGTAAAATTGAAGATGATTTAAGAGGATGACAGTGGGTGGTGAGGAGCCTATACATTATTCACACCTTAATGAGAATCAATTTAATAAGACTGTTATCTCTCTGCCATTTCCTGAGGTTAGTTGTACTGAGGGAGAGAATGGGAATAGCAATGGAGAAGAGCAGAGAAGAATCTGGGGTTGTGAGTGTGACGTTAAGAAAGACCAAGACTGGGTAACATAGACAGTGAATGTTTTGCCAGCAGGGAGACCTGGGGACAGGTTTGACTTTAGAAAAAACTTCAAAGTTGTAGAAGTTTTCTTTTGCTATAGTCAGGCCTGCTCAAAGAGTAGAATAGAATTGGCCATGACTTGGAGATTACAAGCCTTGCCCGTAAAGAGTACAGGGTGCAGAAGAAGGGATTGCTGCTCCCATTTCCAGGCCACACACATTCCATTTGCTTAGGTAGAAGCATTCTACCCTGACTTTGTCTCTCTCATCTGACAAACTGACCCTAGAGAAGAAGCAGGGATAGATGGGAGACTCACATACTTGTCTAGAGTCTTCTGCTGTGACCCACTGTTGTGTGGTTTGAATGTGGCCCCCAAAGTTCATATGATAAAAACTTAATCTTCAATGCAACAGTGTTGGAAGATGGAACCTAATGGGAGGGGTTTAGGTTATGAGGGCTCCACTCTCAAGAATGGATTGATGCCAATTATAAAAGTGCTTGTTCCTGTGAGTTTGATCTCTTGCTCTCTCTGGCACATATGATCTCCTGCCCTTCTGCCTTCTACCATGAGATGACACAGCAAGAAGGTTCTCATCAGATACAGACTCTTGACCTTGGACTTCCCAGCCTCCATAACTGTAAGAAATAAATCTCTATTCTTTATAAAGTACCCAGTCTCAAATATTCTGTTATAGCAACACAAAACCAACTAACACACCCACCAAGTATGGGAACTTACCGGTGAGATGGATTTTTTTTTTTCATTTGCTTGCTTTTTTTTTTTTTATTATTATACTTTAAGTTTTAGGGTACATGTGCATATTGTGCAGGTTAGTTACATATGTATACATGTGCCATGCTGGTGCGCTGCACCCACTAACTCGTCATCTAGCATTAGGTATATCTCCCAATGCTATCCCTCCCCCCTCCCCCCACCCCACAACAGTCCCCAGAGTGTGATGTTCCCCTTCCTGTGTCCATGTGTTCTCATTGTTCAATTCCCACCTATGAGTGAGAATATGTGGTGTTTGGTTTTTTGTTCTTGCGATAGTTTACTGAGAATGATGATTTCCAATTTCATCCATGTCCCTACAAAGGACATGAACTCATCATTTTTTATGGCTGCATAGTATTCCATGGTGTATATGTGCCACATTTTCTTAATCCAGTCTATCATTGTTGGACATTTGGGTTGGTTCCAAGTCTTTGCTATTGTGAATAATGCCACAATAAACATACGTGTGCATGTGTCTTTATAGCAGCATGATTTATAGTCCTTTGGGTATATACCCTGTAATGGTATGGCTGGGTCAAATGGCATTTCTAGTTCTAGATCCCTGAGGAATCACCACACTGACTTCCACAATGATTGAACTAGTTTACAGTTCCACCAACAGTGTAAAAGTGTTCCTATTTCTCCACATCCTCTCCAGCACCTGTTGTTTCCTGACTTTTTAATGATTGCCATTCTAACTGGTGTGAGATGGTATCTCATTGTGGTTTTGATTTGCATTTCTCTGATGGCCAGTGATGATGAGCATTTTTTCATGTGTTTTTTGGCTGCATAAATGTCTTCTTTTGAGAAGTGTCTGTTCATGTCCTTCGCCCACTTTTTGATGGGATTGTTTGTTTTTTTCTTGTAAATTTGTTTGAGCTCATTATAGATTCTGGATATTAGCCCTTTGTCAGATGAGTAGGTTGCAAAAATTTTCTCCTATTTTGTAGGTTGCCTGTTCACTCTGATAGTAGTTTCTTTTGCTGTGCAGAAGCTCTTTAGTTTAATGAGATCCCATTTGTCAATTTTGGCTTTTGTTGCCATTGCTTTTGGTGTTTTAGACATGAAGTCCTTGCCCATGCCTATGTCCTGAATGGTAAAGCCTAGGTTTTCTTCTAGGGTTTTTATGGTTTTAGGTCCAATGTTTAAGTCTTTAATCCATCTTGAATTGATTTTTGTATAAGGTGTAAGGAAGGGATCCAGTTTCAGCTTTCTACATATGGCTAGCCAGTTTTCCCAGCACCATTTATTAAATAGGGAATCTTTTCCCCATTTCTTGTTTTTCTCAGGTTTGTCAAAGATCAGATAGTTGTAGATATGCGGCGTTATTTCTGAGGGCTCTGTTCTGTTCCATTGATCTATATCTCTGTTTTGGTACCAGTACCATGCTGTTTTGGTTACTGTAGCCTTGTAGTATAGTTTGAAGTCAGGTAGTGTGATGCCTCCAGCTTTGTTCTTTTGGCTTAAGATTGACTTTGCGATGCGGGCTCTTTTCTGGTTCCATACGAACTTTAAAGTAGTTTTTTCCAATTCTGTGAAGAAAGTCATTGGTAGCTTGATGGGGATGGCATTGAATCTGTAAGTTACCTTGGGCAGTATAGCCATTTTCACGATATTGATTCTTCCTACCCATGAGCATGGAATGTTCTTCCATTTGTTTGTATCCTCTATTACTTCCTTGAGCAGTGGTTTGTAATTCTCCTTGTAGAGGTCCTTCACATCCCTTGTAAGTTGGATTCCTAGGTATTTTATTCTCTTTGAAGCAATTGTGAATGGGAGTTCACTCATGATTTGGCTCTCTGTTTGTCTGTTGTTGGTGTATAAGAATGCTTGTGATTTTTGTACATTGATTTTGTATCCTGAGACTTTGCTGAAGTTGCTTATCAGCTTAAGGAGATTTTGGGCTGAGACGATGGGGTTTTCTAGATATACAATCATGTCATCTGCAAACAGGGACAATTTGACTTCCTCTTTTCCTAATCGAATACCCTTTATTTCCTTCTCCTGCCTGATTGCCCTGGCCAGAACTTCCAACACTATGTTGAATAGGAGTGGTGAGAGAGGGCATCCCTGTCTTGTGCCAGTTTTCAAAGGGAGTGCTTCCAGTTTTTGCCCATTCAGTATGATATTGGCTGTGGGTTTGTCATAGATAGCTCTTATTATTTTGAAATACATCCCATCAATACCTAATTTATTGAGAGTTTTTAGCATGAAGGGTTGTTGAATTTTTTCAAAGGTCTTTTCTGCATCTATTGAGATAATCATGTGGTTTTTGTCTTTGGTTCTGTTTATATGCTGGATTACATTTATTGATTTGCATATGTTGAACCAGCCTTGCATCCCAGGGATGAAGCCCACTTGATCATGGTGGATAAGCTTTTTGATGTGCTGCTGGATTCGGTTTGCCAGTATTTTATTGAGGATTTTTGCATCAAAGTTCATCAAGGATATTGGTCTAAAATTCTCTTTTTTGGTTGGGTCTCTGCCCGGCTTTGGTATCAGGATGATGGTGGCCTCATAAAATGGGTTAGAGAGGATTCCCTCTTTTTCTATTGATTGGAATAGTTTCAGAAGGAATGGTACCAGTTCCTCCTTGTACCTCTGGTAGAATTTGGTTGTGAATCCATCTGGTCCTCGACTCTTTTTGGTTGGTAAGCTATTGATTATTGCCACAATTTCAGCTCCTGTTATTGGTCTATTCAGAGATTCAACTTCTTCCTGGTTTAGTCTTGGGAGAGTGTATGTGTGGAGGAATTTATCCATTTCTTCTAGATTTTCTAGTTTATTTGCGTAGAGGTGTTTGTAGTATTCTCTGATGGTAGATTGTATTTCTGTGGGATCAGTGGTGATATCCCCTTTATCATTTTTTATTGCATCTATTTGATTCTTCTCTCTTTTTTTCTTTATTAGTCTTGCTAGCAGTTTATCAATTTTGTAGATCCTTTCAAAAAACCAGCTCCTGGATTCACTAATTTTTTGAAGGGTTTTTTGTGTCTCTATTTCCTTCAGTTCTGCTCTGATTTTAGTTATTTCTTGCCTTCTGCTAGCTTTTGAATGTGTTTGCTCTTGCTTTTCTAGTTCTTTTAATTGTGATGTTAGGGTGTCAATTTTGGATCTTTCCTGCTTTCTCTTGTGGGCATTTAGTGCTATAAATTTCCCTCCACACACTGCTTTGAATGCGTCCCAGAGATTCTGGTATGTTGTGTCTTTGTTCTCGTTGGTTTCAAAGAACATCTTTATTTCTGCCTTCATTTCGTTATGTACCCAGTAGTCATTCAGGAGCAGGTTGTTCAGTTTCCATGTAGTTGAGCGGTTTTGAGTGAGATTCTTAATCCTGAGTTCTAGTCTGATTGCACTGTGGTCTGAGAGATAGTTTGTTATAATTTCTGTTCTTTTACATTTGCTGAGGAGAGCTTTACTTCCAACTATGTGGTCAATTTTGGAATAGGTGTGGTGTGGTGCTGAAAAAAATGTATATTCTGTTGATTTGGGGTGGAGAGTTCTATAGATGTCTATTAGGTCCGCTTGGTGCAGAGCTGAGTTCAATTCCTGGGTATCCTTGTTGACTTTCTGTCTCGTTGATCTGTCTAATGTTGACAGTGGGGTGTTAAAGTCTCCCATTATTAATGTGTGGGAGTCTAAGTCTCTTTGTAGGTCACTCAGGACTTGCTTTATGAATCTGGATGCTCCTGTATTGGGTGCATATATATTTAGGATAGTTAGCTCTTCTTGTTGAATTGATCCCTTTACCATTATGTAATGGCCTTCTTTGTCTCTTTTGATCTTTGTTGGTTTAAAGTCTGTTTTATCAGAGACTAGGATTGCAACCCCTGCCTTTTTTTGTTTTCCATTTGCTTGGTAGATCTTCCTCCATCCCTTTATTTTGAGCCTATGTGTGTCTCTGCACGTGAGATGGGTTTCCTGAATACAGCACACTGATGGGTCTTGACTCTTTATCCAATTTGCCAGTCTGTGTCTTTTAATTGGAGCATTTAGTCCATTTACATTTAAAGTTAATATTGTTATGTGTGAATTTCATCCTGTCATTATGTTGTTAGCTGGTTATTTTGCTCGTCAGTTGATGCAGTTTCTTCCTAGTCTCGATGGTCTTTACATTTTGGCATGATTTTGCAGCGGCTGGTACCAGTTGTTCCTTTCCATGTTTAGTGCTTCCTTCAGGAGCTCTTTTTAGGGCAGGCCTGGTGGTGACAAAATCTCTCAGCATTTGCTTGTCTGTGAAGTATTTTATTTCTCCTTCACTTATGAAGCTTAGTTTGGCTGGATATGAAATTCTGGGTTGAAAATTCTTTTCTTTAAGAATGTTGAATATTGGCCCCCACTCTCTTCTGGCTTGTAGAGTTTCTGCCGAGAGATCAGCTGTTAGTCTGATGGGCTTCCCTTTGAGGGTAACCCGACCTTTCTCTCTGGCTGCCCTTAACATTTTTTCCTTCATTTCAACTTTGGTGAATCTGACAATTATGTGTCTTGGGGTTGCTCTTCTCGAGGAGTATCTTTGTGGTGTTCCTTGTATTTCCTGAATTTGAATGTTGGCCTGCCTTGCTAGATTGGGGAAGTTCTCCTGGATAATATCCTGCAGAGTGTTTTCCAACTTGGTTCCATTCTCCCCATCATTTTCAGGTACACCAATCAGTCGTAGATTTGGTCTTTTCACATAGTCCCATATTTCTTGGAGGCTTTGCTCATTTCTTTTTATTCTTTTTTCTCTAAACTTCCCTTCTCGGTTCATTTCATTCATTTCATCTTCCATCGCTGATACCCTTTCTTCCAGTTGATCGCATCAGCTCCTGAGGCTTCTGCATTCTTCATGTAGTTCTTGAGCCTTGGTTTTCAGCTCCACCAGCTCCTTTAAGCACTTCTCTGTATTGGTTATTCTAGTTATACATCCGTCTAAATTTTTTTCAAAGTTTTCAACTTCTTTGCCTTTGGTTTGAATGTCCTCCCATAGCTCAGAGTAATTTGATCATCTGAAGCCTTCTTCTCTCAACTCATCAAAGTCATTCTCCATCCAGCTTTGTTCCGTTGCTGGTGAGGAACTGCCTTCCTTTGGAGGAGGAGAGGCGCTCTGCTTTTTAGAGTTTCCAGATTTTCTGCTCTGTTTTTTCCCCATCTTTGTGGTTTTATCTACTTTTGGTCTTTGATGATGGTGATGTACAGATGGGTTTTTGGTGTGGATGTCCTTTCTGTTTGTTAGTTTTCCTTCTAACAGAGAGGACCCTCAGCTGCAGGTCTGTTGGAGTACCCGGCCGTGTGAGGTGTCAGTCTGCCCCTGCTGGGAGGTGCCTCCCAGTTAGGCTGCTCCGGGGTCAGGGGTCAGGGACCCACTTGAGGAGGCAGTCTGCCTGTTCTCAGATCTCCAGCTGCGTGCTGGGAGAACCACTGCTCTCTTCAAAGCTGTCAGACAGGGACATTTAAGTGTGCAGAGGTTACTGCTGTCTTTTTGTTTGTCTGTGCCCTGCCCCCAGAGGTGGAGCCTACAGAGGCAGGCAGGCCTCCTTGAGCTGTGGTGGGCTCCACCCAGTTCCAGCTTCCTGGCTGCTTTGTTTACCTAAGCAAGCCTGGGCAATGGCGGGCACCCCTCCCCCAGCCTCGCTGCCGCCTTGCAGTTTGATCTCAGACTACTGTGCTAGCAATCAGCGAGACTCCGTGGGCATAGGACCCTCCGAGCCAGGTGTGGGATATAATCTCCTGGTGTGCTGTTTTTTAAGCCCGTCGGAAAAGCGCAGTATTTGGTTGGGAGTGACCCGATTTTCCAGGTGCCTTCTGTCACCCCTTTCTTTGACTAGGAAAGGGAACTCACTGACCCCTCGCACTTCCCGAGTGAGGCAATGCCTCGCCCTGCTTCGGCTCGCGCACGGTGCGCGCACCCACTGACCTGCGCCCACTGTCTGGCACTCCCTAGTGAGATGAACCCGGTACCTCAGATGGAAATGCAGAAATCACCTGTCTTCTGTGTCACTCACGCTGGGAGCTGTAGACCAGAGCTGTTCCTATTCGGCCATCTTGGCTCCTCCCGAGATGGATTTTACTAATCATGTCTTACTAAACATAGTGGTTTTACTCTTCAAAATTATTCAGTCCCTATAGCTCAGACATAGGTAATCAGGCCAAAGTAAGTAACTTAAAAATGATTTAACAAAGAAAAATATATCTTTGTCCATGACTCCAAAGCAAGGAGTCAATATCGTTAACTCAAGGAGTTCATTGGAGCCACCAATAAATTGTTCACTTCTTGATATATGGTGTTAGGGTCTTCTCTAGATGTGGTTTGGGTAAGTCCCAGAGACCTGCCAACCTGGGCACATCTACACTGGCAATCTCTTTGGTTCCATCTCAGGCTATTGGAAAATCGAGGTCATTCTGCAAGGCATGGACTGTAAATTTCCAACTCCGAGTCTAAATGTGCACAGAGTGGTATGTGTATGTCTCCAGCCAGATTTCACTGCCACAGGAGGTGGGGGAATCAAAGGCAGGGGCTGGTCTTTAAAAGGCCTGGAGAAATTTATGACTCAATTTAAAACCACTTGTAGTTTATCGAAGCAAAGGAAATGGAATCGCGAGCTTCAGGGCAGGAGCAGATTTTCTTTAATAGTGAAAGAGGAGCCTGTCCTTTTATCTAGTCTTTCATGACAACAGAACCTTTCCCCAAATCTCACAGATTTGGCAACAAAGCAATGATTAAGTAAAATTTATAAATGTCAAGACTGCCTTTTTCATCCTTGACGAATTGGAGGGTCCAAGAGCCTCCTGGGATGGCTCAATGGCAACAGAACAGTAGAAATACACAGCATAGGGGTACCCAAAGCTTTGGGTTTGGTCTCAAACTTGACCATTTACCTATATAATCTTTGCCAAGCAACTAACTATTCTTTATGTAACAGATTGAGGGGAATGAAATAGAAGATCCCTCATCAAATGTTCATTAGTTATTTGATGGTGTACAGGAGTCCAGTTTGCAAGCCATATGAACAAGTACATTGAAGCACACTGGTAGATTTCTGTATGTATGACCTAGGCTCTGGGAGATAGATGTACCTGACCAGAATGGGTGCAATTAAGCGGTGTTTATAGCTGCTAGGAACAGAGACCTGACCAAAGTGGCTTAAACACACAGGATTTATTTCTTTCACATATTGTGAAGTCTGGAGGTAAATAGAGACTGGCCATGGCTCAACAGCACAAAGATATCACAACTGAGGTGTCTGTGATTTATTTGGACATTCCCTCATTGTTTCAAGATGGCTGCTGGAGCTCCAACAATTGCAATCTGAACTTCAGGCAACAGAAAGGGCAGCAGGGATAAAAAAAGGGCCTTATTGGAAGCCTCAATCAATGACTTTTGCTTCCATCACATCTGCCACCCTTAAATGTAAAGGAGGTCGGAAAATTTAAGGTTTTTCCCTGCGAGGCATGTTTTTGACTCCAGTAATGTAGAGAGAAGGGGAAGGTGGATATTGGGTTGGAAACTAGCAGTTTATTTCTCAATATACAACCAACGATTTAGTAGTGTGGGAAAATATGAATATAGCTGTGAGGGACATGTAAACTGAACTTGTGTGCAATTTGATCAAACTTTTCTATGTCTTTATGCACTCATGACTTACTCCTCTTCTCTCTCCTTAGATTATTTATCTAAAAAGCCCTTTTGTTCTCCTCAAGGTCAGGGGCCTTATTTGCTCACTGATTAGCAATGTACTTTGCCCATAGTAGGTCCTAAAAAAGACGCATTGAATTGTTTGATGCATGGGAACTGAATTGGATGCTTGGCAATAGAAATGTTTATATAAATACTTACTATATGAAACAATTACTGATATTCTCAACTGTTTTAGACTGAGAAAAAGGTTACCAGGGAGATGTGTCGTCTTAACACTTCTTCAAGACATATTATTCTGTGAGACACTGCTTGAATGAGGGAATAAAACTGAAGTTTCTTGCTTATCCTTCCACACCCATCTTAAGTGTCATGCATTCTTAAAACTTTCTTTTTTATGTAAAAAGAGAAGATTACTCTGCCAGCCAAACATGGTACCTACCATGCACCATGCAAGTCAAAGAGAAGAATCTATTGGTGATTTCTGATCCTGACTGCAAATCAGAATCACCAGAAGAACTGTTGTGAAATACAGATTCCCAGGGCTCTGCCCCAGCGATTCAGATCCAGAGTCTGTAATTTCATAAAGCACTCCAGATAATTAGGCTGTTCAGCCACACGTAGACATCTCTGGGGCAGAGTCCTCCCTTCTTTGTACCACGGCCATGGCTTCCCTTTGTAGCATTGATCACATGCTAGGTTAGCTTGCTCTCCTGTCTGCAACTCCACCAGACCCTGAAGGTGGGGCCATCTTCTCTCTTAGCATTCTCATCCACAGCCCAGTGTCTGAAGGCCTGATGCATAGTAGATTCTCTGTAATTATTTAAGATAATTCTGGTATTTAAGCAAATTGAAAGTACAATTATCCACCTCTACAGACTCCCAGGTGATGCTGAGAACACTAGCACAAAGAAGCTTGTCTTACCTACCAAGCAACTTGTCTTAACTTTGACCTCTGGGACAGAATATTCTATGGACGTGACCAAAAAGGAGTTTCTAACACACTGGGTGGTGAGTTACCTTGTGAAGCCTGAGCATCTTCAACAGTACTTAATTGTCACCAAATAATACCTCTACAAATGGTTGTGATGCTGGTTACCTGTGGTGGTTATTAGGTTTATGAAATAATACATGTAAAGTGCTTAGCATGGTACCAGGAGCAAAACGATTACTCAATAAATGTTAGTTGATAATGGTGATAATTACAACTATAATTACAAGAGAAAACTTTGCTTACTAAAAGAAACTTAGGACATATAGAAAAGCATAATGAAGAAACCAAAAATTTACCTTTAATTGTGCCAGGCAAATCAATAGCCTTGTATTAGTATAATTTTTTCCAGGTTTTTTCCAAGCATCTATACTAACACATATTTTAAAAATATACATAGGATATATTAAAAGTTCATATGATTTCTAAATATTTTAATATTTTACTTTAAATGTATTATTTATATTACATATAAGTTATATATTAAATATTTTAAATATAAACAATATGGTATCTTTTACTACGACATAATATAAATAATGTATATAACTAGGAATAAGTATACCCAATTTTGTATCAAGCAGCCGCATCCCTGGAGATGACTCTTTATGCCTTTCCCTGTTTCACTAGCTTCATCATTCTGGGGTCCTTTAGCCACTACCCTCTCTTCCACTGTCTAGAGAACCCTGCCCTTGCTCCACATAGGCCAGGCTGGGGTGGCAAGGCTGGACTGTTCTAATAGTGACAATAATGGGTGTGTGAGCAGGAGGCCTGAACAGCCTGGTCCTGCTTGTGGGGTCTGCTGAGCTCTGGTCACTTTATGTTGCCAATGAGGGGACTCTTTCACCTTCAAGCTGTGCTCATGTTCATTCACGGGCCTCCCTTCTGTGCCAATCAGAAAGATGACATGTGGCTGTCTCTCTTGGTTGCCACACGTTAAGCCTCAGCTCACAATGGGTACTTGGTCTGGAACTATCCTGGGCATTTGAAAGTGACATTGCTATTTCCTACAATCTAACACTTGTGAATAATTTCTAGCTGAAGGTAAAAATTTACATTTCAATGACCAGCAAGTTTTAGCACATTTAAGAAATTGGCCTGAGCCTTCCAGGCCTTATACACAGGTTTTGTTAATGAATTTGGCAGAGAGTAGTTGCATTCCTAGGCTAAGTATTAGAACAAAAAGGACCTGTTTTCCTACGTAATGAATTGCTGAGAAATTATTCAAAATTTGACTTAAAAAGCCTCTTGCCAGTGAGCTCAATTCTCTGAGCCATGAATTAGATAAAGGGCTTTTATAAACCCACAGAGGGAAACCCTCTGAGGATTTATGTGGGTGAGGAGAGAATGTCTGTTCAATGCTACCATCTCCTCCCAAGTGCTTGTGCATGATGCAGAGGCTCAGGGACCTTGCATACAAACGCCAAGGCTGACTGGAGCCACTGCAATGGTGGGCTCAGCAATGTTCATGCTGCACCCTGGCCCCAGACTCCCAGCTGCAGCTTCCACTGAAGTGTAGCAGAGTACTGCCTCTCCCCTGCCCCGGAGTCAGAGGCCACAGGGGAAAGAATGGTCAAGAGGACAGGGAAGGCCTCCTCCCCAGTCCCTAAAGACATTGTCCTTCCTAAAGGACAACATCTTCCTTAAAAAAACTCTTCCTAAATACTTTCCTAAAGATGTTGTCCTGGCCAGGCATGGTAGCTCACACCTGTAATTGCAGCACTCTGGGAGGCCGAGGCGGGAGGATTGCTTGAGCCCGGGAGTTCGAGACCAGCCTGGTCAACATGGTGAAACCCAGTTTCTACTAAAAATAAAACAACAACAAAAAAAGCCAGGTGTGGTGGCGCATGCCTGTAATCCCAGCTACTCAGGAGGCTGAGGTGGGAGGATCACTTGAAGCCAGGAGACAGAGGTTGCAGTCAGCCAAGATCTCACCACTGCAATCCAGCCTAGGTGACAGAGGAAGACCCTATAACCAAAAGAAAAAAAAAAAGACGTTCCTGTCTCCATCCTCAACACTAATTCAGATAAGATCTGAAGATCTGAACTTCTCATGACACCGAGGCTTTTAGCTCCTGAGTGTATATGAAAGAGTGTTTAAAGATGATTCCAGGCCAGGTGTAGTGGCTCATGCCTGTAATCCCAGCACTTTGGGAGGCTAAGGCGGGCAGATCATAAGGTCAGGAGATCGAGACTAGCCTGGCCAACATGGTGAAACCCTGTCTCTACTAAAAATACAAAAATTAGCTGGCCGTGGTGGTGCATGCCTATAGTCCCAGCTACTTGGGAAGCTGAGGCGGGAGAATCTCTTGAACCTGGGAGTCGAAGGTTGCAGTAAGCCAAGATCGCACCACTGCACTCCAGCCTGGGTGACAGAGCGAGACTCTGTCTCAAAAAAAAACAAAAAAACAAAAACAAAAAAACATGATTCCATGTAAATGAAGTCCCACACACTAGGAACAGAATTCCTTTCAGGAATAGAGCTCTAAGAATGAAGGATGTAGTGACCGACCAAGAAGGTATCAGACTGCAATGGGATTTCGTGATGTCCTTTAACCAAGATTTCCCTAAAAACAAGGGCACTCACAGTCACACAGAGCTGTTCAATGCGTTGACATTTTCTCCCTGCCTACATTTTCCCTGATAAGAGATAAAAAGTCTATTTCTTGCCTTGTTTAACTTTGATTACCTATCAGCCTACCTGCCTTCCCTGACCCAGGTGTATCTCCGATTCAACTATGCCTCATGCCCACTGTCCACTCCAACGGTGTATGCCCTTGGACTGCCAGCTTGGAGTTCTGGCCTGGCTCCCACTAACTACTTGGGCATGAGGACAACCTGGATATGACATCTGTCAGCCCAGTGATGGCCAAGATAGTCTGGTGAAACCTACTTTGTTTGATTTCCAAGAGGTTCCAAAAACTATTTAGCAATCCCATGGAAGCAATGAGTGATTTCCTCTCTAACCAGGGTTTACATGCTCTTTAAGAAGGAAATAAGCAAGGGGCAAGAGGGCTTTTTTTAACATCGGAGCCAGAAAGATACAATGGGTGAGCATGTCCAGAAGTATTGCACCAGACTCCCCCAGTATAAAAACTATAAAAGCACAAAATTCCCTTCATGGATAGTCACTGGGCCTGGAGATGTCATCATTCTAGGTGTGAAAAACCCCATGTTTCTACTTCCAAGAGCTGTCTTCTCAAAGTTCAAGAAAGCATAGACCGAGAGCTCACATTGTTTCCTAGGAGCTAGAAAACAGATTGATATTAACAAGCGTTTTGGTGGATCCTGGAAGTGTGGCCTGGAAGCTGGTTGGCTCAGTTGATTAGAACCCTGCAGCAAGTGGATTAAGTTTGCATCAGCAGATGGCCCAGCCAGCATTCTTCCCATTTGTGGATACATTCATTACCCCCCATTTTCTGTATGGTCACATTGGGACAGATGAATGAGTGTTTATGTCATTCTTCCTTTAATCCAGTACATCTGTACTGAGTACAATCGCCAGCACTGGAGTAGGTGCTTCAAAATATAAAAATAAGTGTAAGTTTTTAAAGTAGTTGAAGATTGCTTCAAATTCATCATTTTGTTTTTCCTCTTCATTCTAAGGCTCTTGAAGCTGAAATCTTAAACTGGAAATCTCAGCCCTAAGTTTTCCAGCCATTGTGTGCCAAGTTAGCAAGGTATTAGCAGTTATACACTCTCCAGTTGTTGGAATCTGGGATTTGTCTGGCAACTGCATGCCCTTGATCAAAGCCATGACCAACTGCCCAGTCATCATTGTGCTATTATTGCCTTTGTTTCTTGATTTGTACCTAAAGGTGCCTCCTGGACATGAAGTTTTTCTTTAAATACTAAACTACTTTTATGAGGTTTGGAGAGTTCGCCTAGCTTTTGCCAGTACCTATTCTTGAGGAATGAACACTGATCTCTCTGTAACCAGCACTACTGGGTGGAGTCCTAGACTACACTTGGGCCACCCCTTGACTCACATGCTGTCTTCTGCCTATGCCACTTCCACATCAGGAACACTTGGCTATTGATGCCATTTGGTCAGGGCTGAGCATAACATTTGCCATTTGGATGACTGGTGAACAGTCCCTCATGATCCACCTTCGGTCTTACCATGTCCTGGCTTCCTATCTCTAACTGACTCACACTGAGGTTTCTGCATAAATTGGAGCTGAAACTCTTAGGACATAAAAACTTATGCTAAGTGAATTCTACCATCCATTTTATGCTAGTTGTCAGTATTATTCCTTTCCCATATAGATAGAACCCAGTATTGTAATCTCTCAAAGCATTTCCTAAATCAGAGCTATTTCACTCTCTATGTCAGAATTCCTCAAAGCTTCCAAACCCAACCATCTCATCTGTTTAAAACAAAGAATTTTAAATCCCTCCATTTCTACATCGCTTTGGTCTTACCAAACATGCACCTCTAGGTTGAAAAGCCAGAACTTTAGAAGTTAGAAGAATGAGAAACTTATATAAATAACAGATACTGAATAATAAGTACTAGCTGTACTACAAATTAATTAGCAGTAAAATGTAATTAGCTGAAAAATACAGTAAGATGAAAAGGGTGCAACCGAGAAAGCATCCAAAGATGTTGCATTTGTCACATGCAACATCTTGTCACATGCAACATTTGTCACATGCAACAACAAATAATGTGACAGTAACACATTATTTGTCCTTCTGTTTTTTAAAGTTCTTGAATTGCCCATGGAAGATGCCTGTTGTCTTTTCTTTCTAAGTATGCTCTCTTCTGGTGATGATGAAATCACTCTTCTTTTTTTCTCATGCTCTGCTAATGTAGTACCCCTGGCTACAAGGGTGACATGTGGACCAGGCCTTGCTAATCAGAACACTCCATTCCCCCAGCCACATGATTAGTTCAAGGATGAACATGTGACTTAAGCCAGACAAATCAGGGGCAGCCTATTTTTGGGGTATTAATGTTAACATTAAGGACTATGGGAACTTTTGTTTGTTAGGAGCTATTTTGTTCACCATACATAGAAACCCTGCTATCATGGAGGAAAGCAAGGTCATAAGATGCAACAAAACATATTTCTGATGATGCCACCTGACCTAGCCAAGCTTGAAGTTCCGTCTCATGAACTATTCAGTGGCATGAACACTTTGTGCTTTCCTTACATTAGCATGAGTTAAATGTCTCTCATTTTAAATCAAAACATTCCTGACAACTATGGGTCTTCTCTTTAGGAATGATGAGGATTTAGTCAGGGACACAATGAAATTATGGGGGTAGAAAGTAGTGGGTGTTCCTGTACATACAAGGCAAGTAATATACAAGCCAAGCTCACAGCAGTTAACAGGGTTTAGCTTTTAAAAGTATTTCTTCTCTTTCAGAGGGAGATTGACATTTGAAAACAAAAGATGTATTTTACTCTAGAGGCCCAGATAGTTATGACATGAAACCACAGTTTTCAAATATTGCTGGCTGAAGTCATTGGAAATTGCTGCATGATCAAACAAACTTGAGGGAAATCCAACTGTTTTTCAAGCATTTAGAACTAAAGTACAATGAATCACATGACAAACCTCTCTGCCCTTCCACTTTGTCATGAAAATGCTAAGTGCTGAGACTTATCACATGAACGCATCATGATACATAATTTATTTTAGGACCAGGGTAATTTGCAGGCACTATCAATTGGCAGCATAGAACAGAAAAAAATGAGAGTAATAGTGGCTTGAACAGGACAGGAGATTGTGTCTATCTCAAATGAAAGAAGTGTGGAAGCAGCCAGAGAAGAGCTGCTCTGGCAGCCCTACTAAGTCATCAGAGACCCAGGTCCCTCCCAGCTCTCCCCTCTGCCCTCCCTGGGGCTCTGAGATGTCTTCTTGAACTCCAGCCTCATATTTTTGCTCTAGGCAGCTAGACAGATGTAGGGACCAAGAGCATGACCCTCCCTTTTTGGAAACTTCCCAGAAGTCACATGGAACTCTATGGCCAAACTTAGTTACATGGTCACTGCCAACTACTTTATGGCTTGGTGAAGGTAGTCTTTCAATTGGGTGGCAATGTGCCCAGGTAAAGAGCAGGGATCATATTACGTAGAAAAAGGACAGAATGGATGTTTAGGGGTAACTAGTAGTCTGTGTGTGTTGGGAGGGGTATGTAACAGGGTGGAAGCAAGAATTCAGGGATCCTGAATCTTTTGAGGCTAACAGATATCAGTGCTTCCTAAACTTCGTATGTTTGAGAGGAAGCTATCGAATTGTTCATCATGGTGAATACTTGGTCTCTTACTTCTTTGAAAAACTTTGTGTTCCAGCTTTCTCTGCTTTGTCTCTCGTAAAAATCAAGTTCCAAAAATGCACACAGTAGACATTTCCATTACCCACGGCTTTTTATTCATTGTATCAGCTAGGCTATTCACATGTTTGCTGATAGTGGCTGTAAGTCAAGATTTTAATAATAAAAATGAAATATGAATATGTTATTTTCTCTCTTACTATGCATATCTTCTAGTTCTTCCCTCTGAAAAATGAAAGCAAAACAATCATAGCTCTTAGATTCAATAAAAATTCATTTGGTTTAAACCTTTAGATGATGACAGAAAGAAGAATACTGCAGTTTGGAGGAGGTAGACTGAAAGTTCTTTCTCAAACGTTCATTGTTTATCAACTCCCACTGCCTCCTCCCTACCTCTCTGCAGCCTTCCAAAATTTAAAAGGCCCTTTATGGGGCAGGCTGGGGAGTCTCTGCATGGAACTGTGTATGGATTCTAGTCTGTGTCTGTTTGGTTGATTGATTGGTGAGTAGGTGAGTTGATTGGTGAAATAAAGAAGGATTAAAGAGTGTATAGAGACCTCCAGTCATAATGTCACATATGTTTATACTTTGATGTACTCATGCAAAACACATGGCAAAAATGGGTTTATTAATGTGAACTGTATAAGACTGCTGATATTTTATCATTTTACCAAGAAACTAGCAATTTCATATGGTCCAGTCTGGTAATGTAAAGAGAGAAAGAAAAGCAAAATGACATAGGATCAAAAATAAAACAAACATAACTTAAGATTTGGGAAAGAATCACTAAGTGATGAAAGGGGCTGAAACCACTGGTATATATGGGATCTTGAACTCAGACAGTGGTATATAGGAGTTTGGCTCTTGTAGGGTAATGAAGACTCAACATGCTCTGTGTGAGATTTCTGAAGCTCACTGCTTGAATTAGTGGAGCCACCCTGATCCTAAGAGGAGTCTGAAAAAAGCTACTTCAAACTGTTGTCTGGGGCAAGGCTCTTCACATGATACAGGTCTAGGAAAATAGGAAGAACCAGATATAATCTCGCAACCTGGAGACAAACTAAGCCACTGGCTGGCTAGATGAATCTGCATGTCACCAATATCACATCAAGGCAGGAAAACTGAACTTCTGTTATGTTGCCAGATCTGGAAGCTAACTAATGACATCCATAAAACCACTGCACAAGGATAATTGCGCATAGGGGGAGAAAGAGAATGAAAAACACTGAAAATTGACCTGCAAACTCAAAATGCAAAACATGCAAAGAAATTTAATGCTAACAAAGATGACAACTTTGAATCTTTAACATGAATTTATTTTAGAGGAAATGAATCTTTTAATAAAAGTTTTATATTAAGCCATAAAACAAAACTAAAGATAAACTAAGAATGAGAAAATAAATAATTAGAAATTTTCAAAATTAGAAAAATAGTCATTGAAATAAAAATTTAATAGATGCCGCTTACTTTAGATTGGAATGAATGAAGAGACAATAAATGAATAGGTAATTTGTACAGGACATAACACAGAGAGACAAAGAGTTTAAAATTATGGCTGAACTGTTAAAAGATACAGGATAAATGAAAAATCTCCAACATATATCTAATATAAATGCTAGAAAAAGAGATGTGAAAGAATAATAAAGAGTAATTATGTGAAGAGACAATAACTTTAACTTCTAGTTAAGAAAGCATTTATTACTGCTTCCTACCAAGATTTTACTAACATGACAGTAAAAATATCACAAATAAATCGATTAAGTTATAGCTAGGAGAAATGAAAACAGATCCAAAACTTAAGCTTGAAAATAAATGAATAAATTATAGCAGATTTGGTGAATGAGAGCTTAAGCCAAATCCACAAAGGGAGAAGTCAACAGTAACCAACATGATTTATACTTCAAAAAACAAGAATGGTTCAGAAATTGGAGACTTGGATATATCTAACAGGAAAATTGGTTGAAAGTCTTTATTGAAGAAGCAGTGAACTACCCAGATCTCCTTTTTCACCAGGTCCAGCCAAGTCAAGTCACCACCCCTCCTCACTCTCTGGGAAAAGACTGGAGTTTTGTTTGTTGAAGAAGTTATAGTGAGGGACTCTGGAATCAGGGAAAACAGGAACAGATGAAATGACTTAATTCTATTCAGTACAATTACAAGTACTGAAGAAAATGTGTTTCTAGATTACCAGGGCCCACCAAATTCTCCCGCAAAAGAAAAAGACCCACACCAATGTATGTTATTTTGAAATTCCAAGTCCCTGGAGATTAAGAAGAGTATCCTGAGGTCAGGAGCTCAAAACCAGCCTGACCAACATAATGAAACCCCATCTCTACGAAAAATACAAAAATTAGCCAGGCATGGTGGTGAGTGCCTGTAATTCCAGCTAACTGGGAGGCTGAGGCAAGAGAATCTCTTGAACCCAGGAGGCAGAGGTCGCAGTGAGCTGAAATCGTGCCACTGCACTCCAGTCTGGGTGACAAGAGCAAAACTCCATCTCAAAAAAAAAAAAAAAGAATCTAGTATGTTTTAAATATTATTTATAAAAGTTCAAGCACAAAATATCAAGAATAAGAAATGTAAGCTGCCCAACAGCAAATTCTGAGAAAATTTTTTAGTCTAGAATTCTCTTTCTCTGTCTCTCTCTTTTTTTTTTTTTTTTTTTTTTTTTGAGATAGGTCTCACTCTGTCACCCATAATGGAGTGCAGTGGTGTGATCTCGGCTCACTACAGCCTCTACCTCCTGGGCTCAAGTGATCCTCCCACCTCAGCCTCCTGAGTAGCTGGGACATGAGCACCACCATGCCCAACTAATTTTTTCTTTTATGTAGAGATGGGATTTTGCTGTATTGCCAGACTGGTCTCAAACTCCTGGGCTTAAGTGATCCACCTGCCTCAGCTTCCCAAAGTGCTAGTAGTCTAGAATTTTATACTAGGCTACTGTAGTCTATTCATTCTAGAGAATGAAATAAAGATCTTGTTTTTCAGGCATGCAAGGTCTCAAAAAATTTACTTTCTGTGCACCCGTCCTCAGAAAGCTGTTTGAGAATATACTCCATCAACATCAAAACATAATCCGAAAAAGGACAAAAGCATAAGATCTAGGGAACAGTGAATTCAATTAGAAAAGAAGAAAAAGGAATCGAGATGATTAAGGGAGATTCCTGGATTACAACTGTGCAACCAACCTAGGAAGCAACCCCTTCAGATTGTAAGAGGAGGTTGAAGGACTCCACGAGAGATATCTATAAGACATAAATAAAACTGGCAGATTATCTGATGTGTCTGATCATATAAAAATATGTTTTAAATTTGGATTAATGCCAGGTATATAAAAATTTAACTGAATAAAAGAACAAGGCAATTATTTGTATAGGGGAAATAAAATTTTTCAATAGAAAAATGTGATCACAGCATGGCTCAGTTATGAATAATAATAGTTATAATAGTGCAAATGTTCCCTCAGTTTAACTAAAATTATAACATAACTATATTGGAAGGATGGAGATTGCAAAATGTGTGTTTGAGGAGGGTGAGGATTAAAAGGGATAAATTGTTATCCCTCATGTTAGAAAGTCAATAGATAAATCTAAAACTAAAAAAAAAATAATAGTATACAAATGTTATTTTTAATAATAGAAGTAAACTCTAAAAGAAACAGCTAAAATATTTAAAAGTAGAAAGTGGCTGCTTCAAAGGAGCAAAAAAAAAAAAATCAGGACTGGAGAAAGGTGAGGCAGGAATTTGCTGTTTTTCATTCTGTCTTACAGAAATATTTTACTATTAAAATTTTGTGCATGTATTTTTATTTAGATAAAAATTGAATTAAAAAGCCAAAGACAATAGCTAAGAATATTTTATGACTCCTCAGATGACATACACTCCAAATACCCAACAGAATAAATAAAAATAAATCTATTCCTAGACATGTTAGAGTGAAATAGAAGAATATAAAGGACAAAGAGAAAGCTACCAAACAAAGGAATAAAAGTTAGATTGGCAGAGGCTTCTTTTTAGAAGGAACTTTTAGACTCTTCAGAAACAATAGGCACTATGGAGACATAATTTCAAAGTGTTGAGGGTAGAAAAGCGCTGTCAACATACACATTTATACCGATATAAACTGTCATTCAGGAATAAAACTAAGACTTTTTAAAAGAAAGACTAACATATCTGATATGGTTTGGCTGTCTCCCCACCCAAATTTTTGTAATCCTCATAATCCCCACTCGTCTAGGGAGAGACCTGGTGGGAGGATACTGGATCACGGGAGTGGTTCCTCCATGCTGTTCTCCTGGTAGTGAGTGAGTTCTCACGAGATCTGATGGTTTTATAAGGGACTCTTTCCGCTTGGCTCCTCACTCTTTTCTCTCCTGCCGCCAGGTAAAGAGAGTCTTTGCTTCCCCTTCATTTTCTGCAATGATTATAAATTTCCAGAGGCCTCCCCAACCATGTAGAACTGTGAGTCAATTAAACCTCTTTCCTTTATGAAGTTTCTTTATAGTAATGTGAAAATGGACTAACACTATATCACTCATAGAACAATAAGAGGATGTACATCCTCTAAAAGAACGATTAGAGAATGTACTTCAATACACATCAAAGTGAATTCAGGGGAACAGAATAGAAAAATTGATAATGGCAAATTTCATCAACAATTATATGTTTATTTACAAAATTATTAAATTTTTGTGCTTTTAAAATAAGGTAGAACCAAAACTCTAGGGAACAATAACACAAGGAAGGAAGTGTTAATGGGTAGCTAAAACCTGTTCAGGTCCTTATGGCAGGGAAAAAAGAGAACCCAGGTATACATTTTGAAAATTCAAGGGTATTCACCAACAGAATAGAAGTAGTAATGCTCTTATCCAGTTGGAGTGTAAGCTTGTATAACTTTAAAAAGCAAGTTGGCAATACCTAATAAAGTTAAAACTGTACAAACTCTAAAACCTAGGAATTCCATTTCTAGATGTAGATGCCAGAGAAACTCTCAAAACTTGCACAAGAGATGTGTATGAGAATGTTCATTGCCACATTGTGATGCAAAACGTTAGATGCAACCCAAATGCCAATAAAAGAAGAATGGTTAAAAAAATTGTTAATGGTTAAACAAATGTATTCATACAATGAAATATTATATAGCAAAAAAATTAATGGATTTAACTAGAGTAACATATATAAACTACATCAATCTAAAAACATCGAGGACAAAAAACAAGTTATAGGATGTGTGCAAAATAATATAATTGCATAGTTTGAAAACACACAAAACGATACAACTCTATGTTGTTTATCTGCAGTAAAAGTATACAAATTGCTTGGGAATTGGAAACACAATACAGGATAGAGTTTACCTCTGAGAAGAAAGGAGAGCACATGGAATTAGGGAGAGGTAGTTAGGTGACTTCAACTGTGTACGTAACATTTTCTTGTTTTATTTCGTTGAATATGAAGCAGTTGAGCAAAATGTTAAGATTTGTCCAAACTGGGTGCTGAGAACACAAGTGTTCATTTTCCTGTTCCTTATGCTTCTCTGTATGTTTGAAATATTCCATAGTTTTAATAATTTTTTTTTTTTTTTTTTTTTTTGCTCAGGGGCACCAGGCCTCAACTAAAAATAATACTTAAAAAAGAAAGTGATCCAGAAGCCCAAGAGAAGGAATAATAAGAAAAAACTTCACAGGACTTAGCATCGCACTATTTCATAAAATCAGGAATGCAGCTGTCTTATTCATTGTCATGTTGATACCATGTCTAACATGTAGTTCATGCTTAACAAATATTAATTGAATGAATAAATTAGGATGTGTTAGGAGTAAGAGAAATAAAATACACCAGGAGTGGATGAGGGATGCCCATAATGACAGCAGTGGCCTTTGAATATTTTTGTTCACATAACACTGATTTTCCAAAATAATTTTGAAAAATGATGTAGCCCTTGCACATTTTAGATTGACACCCCCCAAAAAATCATCATTAGCTGAATAGTTATGAAGGGTGTAATTTCCAGCATAGTGTAACTATTGACTATTAAAAATAAAACCTTTACATTGCCCTTTAAAACATATCCAAAGGAATCTAACTACTATAGTAATTTCATACACATTATCCACTTAAAAAATGAATGTGTTATATCTAAGAAAAGAATTCTGTTATCTCAAAAGATATATAAAGATCAATGCAAAAAATGAGGGAAATATATAAGCTCAGCTTTTAAAATGGGAAATTTTACATTATTCCTTTTTGTTCTTCAAGTTTCCCCCGAAGAAATTTATCTTAATGTAGTAATTTTACTTACAAATCTTACTTTTTTTACTCCATTATACTTTGCAACAAAAAATTGTGTGTATGTGTGTGTGTGTGTGTGTGTGTGTGTGTGTATGGAATTTAATGTTTCAATTGCTTGTGACTAAGTCTTTAAATGATAAAATTTCTTCTGGATTGGTCATCAATATAAGTTTTAGAAATATTAATGAAAATAGCAAAAATATGTTAGAAAGTTTGATAATGTTTAAACACAAAAGTAATATTTTATTGAAGATTTATTTCTTAATATGAATAGGGCATGTAAAATTTTCACCTTAATCATTTGTTAGTAGATGGAGATACTGCTAAAATAAGGTAGAGTTCAACAACAATTTTATTCCCATTTTGTTTTCATTGATATAAACTGAGAAACCATATTTAGCCAAGTGCAGCCTGTGTCCGCAAAAGCTTTGGGATCAGTCTGCCTGAGTTCAAATCCCAGCTCTTGTCATTTCCTACCTCTCTGACCTTGGACAAACAGTTAACCTTTCTGAGCTTTCTTTTTCATCTGTAAAACAGGGATGATAATAAAACTTACCTTATGGGGTTCTTGTGAGTATTAAATGGGTTAATGCTTGTAAAGGGCTTAAACCTGTCCCTGGCATATAATAACTTTCTCCAAGTATTTAAGCAAAGTGCTGAATAAGTAGATGGAATAGAAAGAGGTTTGCTGTAATAGAGTTCCCAATTGTGTTCATCCGTCTGAGTTATTTGTAAAACAAAAAATCACATAATGATCTATTATCCAAAATTATTTTTAACAATATATGAGGTGACAACTAGATTCAGTCTTCGTTTAAAAGCTAAGAATTGAAAACCACCTGACATGAGAAAGAAATTGCTACCCAGTCATCAGGATCATTTCCTTTCTCAGTGCCTACACTAATGTCCCTAACTTTGCTTGGTGACTCAGAGGTTTTTACACCCCTGGATCATCAGTAAAGTTATAAATGAGAAAGCAAGAAGGCTTTTCTTGCCTTTTTTGATCAAGCGGCAAAGGCAGATTGTAAAATGGATTATTTGTCTGAAAGCAAGGTAACAAGATCGGTTATAGGTAAGGGTGCATCTGGAAGTCTGAAATCTTCACATTGACCCCAATAGAACTACGGTTGATGGTGAACCTTGGACATTTCTGTGACTCCCCAGCAGCTAGCGCTTCCCTGTTGGAGGTCTACCGATGAGATTCTGGCTCTGGGGGTGGCAGCAGCTATGTGGGATCCACTTTAGTCTGCACCAAAGGAAGCAGCTGGAATAACTTAGTTCCAGGAGGGACGAATAGCCTTTCCTTAGCTCACAGGACAGAGCATCTCTGGCAGTCAGCAAACTGGGAGCTGGAGAGCAGCTGAGCTTGTGAACTGATTTGTGTTTCAGGCGTCACCTTCCAGCATTGCATAAAGCCCAGAGGGCAAAATTCTCTCTACAGCCAAGGACTCATCAGCCTGACCCAAATGCTGGGTTTGAACCACAGATGTGGCTTTGCTTTAATCACATATTGGTATCAAATTCTTCTATACAAGAACGTCCTCTTTGTATTGGTTGAAAATGGGATTTTTAGCTGTATCCCTACACACACACTTTAAACCTACAAGTGAATTCAAATAGCCAGTTATTTTAAAAATTACCAGCTATTTTTTAAAATTCCAGATCACAGCTGGCTAGGAAATGCTTTTTTGGTTTTCATGAGATGCATGTGGGTGTGGTGGCACACACACACACACACACACACACACACACACACACAGCCTTTGCCAAGAGGTGCCCACTGGGGCTCTTATTACCCCAGAGGCACATCTAACCTGCTTCTGGACTTAGGCACTAACACATTTCAAATACCAATGAAATATCACCTCATTGGGACTGCTCTCAGGTTATCAGTTATTTTGGGGGGACTGGGAGAGGTAAGATGTGCACAGGGTATCATTTAATTTGTTGAAATTATGTATATTTGTGAGAGCATTTGCCATGCCTCAAATGCTTTATGTAATTTTATAAAGTCATCTTGTAATCAAAAGCCAGGATTTAGAGAGTAGGCCATTCCCATAGAAAGAGAGAATGAAAAGGGTTAAAGAAAAGATAAAAAGCTATACTTCAAAAGGTCCTACAAGATTATTTATAGAAACAGCATCAGACAATGAAAACTGACAAAATTATTTCCCGATGTTACATGGTCTGGTATCATCAAGGGAACCTTGCATCTGATTAAAAATAATTATTGCTGGCATTAAATCCAGTTGGAATCACCCCACACGATTTATCTTCTATTTCATGCTGCTACCATATGCCTGACATTGTGGTACAGAAACATTCTCTTTCATTCTGATAAGTAGTACTTTGTAAATATTTAGAGACGGGAGCTCTGGATCGCTGAACAATTCTGACAGGGAACATGTGCAATCGAGCCCGTTATTCATGTTCCTGAGAGAGACTCTCTTTGAGATGTGGGACCCAAAAGCATTCGTGAAACTGAGAATTCCTTTCCCAACATTCTTGTTCAGAATTAGCAGCAATTGGAGGAGCATGGTTGGGCACTCTACATGAGCCATGCTGCCCCAAGGGCGCACATACATCAGTGAGACATTTTGCTGTCTGGCATGTGCTGGATAAGTTGATAAAACTGCTACATTTATTCAACTGGCTTTTCCTGGAACATTTGATTCAAGAAACCATACCTAACATGACCTTATTTGGAGACAGGGTCTTTACAGAGGTAATCAAGTTAAAATGAGGTCCTTAGGACAGATCCTAATCCAATGTGAGTGGTGTCCTTACAAAAAAAAAAAGAAAGAAATTTGGACACAGACAAAGAGGGAGGACAATGTGAAAAGATGAAGATGACCATCGACGAGAGAGAAGACGGCTATCTTCAAGCCAAGGAGAGAGGTCTGGACAGATCCTTCCTTATGGCCCTTAGAAGAACCCAACCCTGCCAAGACCTTCATTTCAGACATTCAGCCTCCAGCGCTGTGAGACAATACGTTCCTGTTGTTTAAGCCACTCAGTTTGTGATATACTGTTACAAAAGCCTTAGCAAATTGATATAGAAAGACTCCATACATAACACTCTTTGTAGACTTCTATTTGGAGAATTTGAGTCTCCGAAGAGAGAGAACTTTTACTTCACTCTTCAGGAGGCTGCTGCCTAGAGGAATCCTTGTCCTTCTTTACCTTCATGTGAAGAGGAGTGAATCATGGGACACACTGGTGCATCATGGGTAACTGACTGTGTGTGTCCCGGTGTTTCTCTCTTTGAAACTGTCAGCCCTCAGACTCTGCTTCCTCTTCACCACTCCTGCTTCCATGTGGCAAACTGTCCACACCAGGCTGCTCACTGCCTGCACAGGGGCAGCCATCTTTCCTCTAGTGCTTGACTTGGGCTCCATTCAGGGAGAGTGGTAAGAAGTCCCAGGGCAGGCTCATGCTTAGCTGGCTTTCTAGCTAGCATCTACAGTGATAAAGTTTGTAGTTTGATATCTGTTGTCTCAATCCCTTGTGAGAATAATCTGTTAGCTGGGACTCTGGTACCCTGAATAAACCCCTTCGAGTTTATTTGACTTAAATACTAGATTGTGTGGGTCCCTGACTCTTCTGGGGACTTGAATTGGGCTATGGTGCTCATCCTTCTTGTTTATGTGTGGGAGTACTATCCCCCCAATTAGAATTTTTACAGGAGCATTTTAAAAACGTAATTGCAACATTCGGTTATCATTGGATTCAAGTTGGAAGTTTCTGCTCTTGTCATTTATGGATATCTGACATCTCCCCCCAAATGAGGAAACTTGTCAAATTGACATTTCTTCTGTGATAGTTGATGATGTTTCAAGAAGCCTATAGAAAATCATTCTCTGAAACTTCCAGATCATTTCCAAGGGACTTTTTTTTTTTTAAAGCAACACCCCATCTTTCCCAAGGAGATTCTACTCCTGTTCAGAAGAATGCAATTTTAAACTTAGCAGCTGTCAGGAGCAAGGCTGGACATCTTAGGACATTGTACCTGGAAACACAAATCAAACTGTTTTTTCTCTGCTTTCCAACCACAACAACAATCAACACAGAACACTTCTTTGACCAAATGTGTGTGTGGGGTTTCCCCCACCAACACTCAAGCACTCAATTCTGCAGTGGACACCAGTTGGGAGTCCTCTAATTCAATTCCAACACTATCCTCCTGGAGATAGTGTTAGATTCCCACAGGTTGAGGGCTCAGTCCCCAAGACTGTCCTTCCCACCTCTGATGCCTGTCACAAGCCCCAGGCAATGTTGCCTGTGTTTCTGACCAACAAGCTATGTATCAGAGTTCCCACAACCCCCTCCTCAGGTTTGAATAATTTGCTAGAGTGGCTCGTAAAACTCAGGCAAACATTCACTTATTATCAGTTTTTTGCAAAAGATACTTTAAAAGACACAAATAGTCAGGTCAAGAGATATATTGGCTGAAGTCTGGAAGGGTCTCGAGCATAGGAGCTTCTATCCCTGTGGAGTTGCGGTGCACCACCCTTTCACCTGCCTGTAAGCCTCCATGTGTTCAGCTGTCTGGAAACTCTTCTAACCCTGCCCTGAATCTTCAGTCCCTCTCCTCTCCCTAGAGGTTGGGAGGTAGAGCTGAAGGTCCCAACCCTCTAATCCTGCCATGGTCTTTCTGGTGACCAGTCCCCATGCTGAAGCTGCCTAGGGGTTGCCAATCATGATTCAACTCATTAGCATACAAAACACATCACTTTGGAGATTCTAAGGACTCTAGGAGTTGTATGTCAGGAAACAGAGGTCTAAGACCAAATATATACTTCACAATATCACAGTCATTTTATATCTTACCTGCTCATTGTTAGAAATCATTTATTCATCTTAACTACATCTTCCTAAATATTTGCTATGTGTAATTTATCAAGGTAAAAGAGTTTTTCTCCTCAGCAAAGTCAGAAACTGGTAGCTCTTTGATATAAAAAGTGAACTGTGCCAAAAATAATTGGCACAGTTGTCATGACATACAAAGAGCAAGAGGAAGAAATGGGAGAAAAATGTAAGGCAAAGAAGCAAATTCATTGTTATTAAAGTGTTCAAAGTATCTGCCCTAGGAAGTTAGAGAGCTGGCTTTCCATGTTCTCCTGAAACTATGGACCAGAGCCCAGCCATGCTGTCAGAAAGACGGAGGGAGGAGCGAGAGAGAGGAAGAAGGAGATAATAAGAGAATGCTAGTAAAGTTTTGAAACACAGAGAAAAAGGAGGAAATTATGTGTCTTCATATATTTTCTTCTGGTTAAGCATACATAGACAAAATCAAACACCAAGGCTTTTCTAAATAGTCACCAATTCCTTTTTTTTCCTTTTTCTTTTTCTTTTTTTTTTGAGATGGAGTTTCACTCTGTCACCCAGGCTAGAGTGCAGTGGCATGATCTCAGCTCACTGCAACCTCCCCCTCCCAGGTTCAAGCAATTCTCCTGCCTCAGCCTCCCGAGTAGCTGGGATTACAGGCGTCCGCCACCACGCCTGGCTTATTTTTGTATTTTTAGTAGAGATGAGGTTTCACCATGTTGGCCAGGCTGGTCTCAAACTGCTGACCTCATGATCTGCCCACCTCAGCCTCCCAAAGTGCTGGGATTACAGGCATGAGCCACCACGCCCGGGCCACTTTATTTTTCTCTATCAAATTTGAAGACTCAGAAGCTCTACTGGACAGGATGGAAAACACCAATCTCAGCTCTTCTTGGGGCTCTCCAGCCCACTCATTACATAAAGGCCCTGCGGGTCAATTCAGCACAGTCTGGCCTTTTGTCTTCACTGGGTACCGCTGAAGTGCTTGGGCCCATGTGGTCCTTTTATAGCAGTCAGCAATCTCAAAAGCCTGGGGACTCTAGCACCAAGGACACAGACTTCCCTAAGAATACCACTCTGTCATTTTCCTCTTGGGTTGGCAAGCTCCATAAAGTGCTATAAGGGTTAAGTCTTGAAAACCTTGGAATGCGCAAAGCTCAACTCTAATCTAGTCTCAAAGACTCTTCTGCGCCCTGGGTCTCATATCATTTCCACTTCTAATACTGCAAATACTTCCCAGTAAACCATCCTCTTCTGATGAATCCTTAGTGACTGTCTTTCAACCAGTCTTTGGAAATATACCCTGAGGATGGGGCTGGGGTCAGGACTGCTGACACTGGCCAGCTTTCTTTTACCACTTACCCAACTATACTCTCATTTGGTATTCACTATCTAGAACTTGATGGCTTGGTACCTTTTCAACTTCAGTGTCTCATCTGCCCCACTAGTTCTAAGTTTCTGCAGACGTTGACCATACATCAAAAGTCCTGAAATTCCCTACAGTGCCAGGCAGACAATGATTTATTTTTATTGACAGAGAAAATCAGTTAGCTAGGTTTTTCCTTTCATTATTTCAGCCCATTGTGCCCCCTTTCTCTTTACTGAAACTTCCAGAAAGGGAGGTTTTCTTATAGGGCCTTTTTTCAAGGAGAAAGAGATTCACTATAACTTCTAAGTAATATTTATTTTATAGAACTTGGTTCAAACATTATTACTTCTCTGAAACTTTCCCTGATTTCTCTGAATATGAGTAATATTTCTTTTCTACAACCCCCCACCTCCATAAAATATTTTAGCCCCTTTTCTTTTTTTCTCAGCCCTAGATATTGAAGAGGTGACAGTGAAGTGGCTGAAAGCACAGATTCTGGAGCCAAATTGCTTGAATCAAAAATCTGGCTATGCTCCTTCCTAGGTTTGCAACTTTGTGCAGGTTTCCTCATTTGGAAAAAATGATTACAATAGCACTTATCTCACGTAAGAATTATATGAATTTATACATAGAAAGTACTTGAGGCAAAGTAGATATTTAATATACCTGAACTATTAACATATGCTGATTTGACTAACGGCACTTTGCTGTTAATTTAGACATCCCTAATCATAATAGCAAAAAAATGACAATAACTTGGAGTAAATGGAAGAATTTTTAGAATAAATCACTGACAGAACTAAAATAATGACATGTTTCCAAAACAAGGCCCTTTGATGATCGGCTTTAAACAGAAGAAAATAATCTGTAGTTAGCGTATCAATTTTTAGAGTGCTTCTAAAGTACCTGAGTGTTGAAAACACTCCAGCACATTAGAGACTTAATCTACTTTAAACATTGCATACTAGATATATGCACAATGTTTTACAAACCAAATAAATACAGGTGCAGTTGTCCATTTAGGAAGAAAAGTCACTATATTATTCTAAAAGTACCCAGTTACATGATGTCTAAAGGGTGACAAACGCTAACTTGGCCCAAATCAATGAAGTTTTTCAACATTGTAATTATTTATCTGAATATACCAAATGCAAATGACCTAGGATACTTCTAGGAACTGAGTTGTGCCCATATTTTGCTTTGCAAAGGGTGGTAGAGATGTGGCTTACCTTGAGATGCAGATCTATTTGCAGGCGGTTTATTGGGAGTACGCTGAGAAACAATACCCTTCAGGAAATGAAGGAAGCAGGACTGGGCAGAGGGAGATGAACGGTGATGCAGTTGCAACAGAGTCCTCTTTTGATGCCGTAGGAACCTCTGGAGCTTGAGTGGCCCTTCAGAATTATGCAAATCGAGGAAAGGGTCTGAGCCTTTGTATAGCCACCACTACCCACATCCACACCCACACTCATGTTCCCTCTTCACCCTATGCACTGACCAGCCTGGGAGGGAGAGGACATAACATCGGGTGAGGTAACTCCCTTCAGCTCTTGGCAATTTTTAAAGGGTAACTTTGCTGTGACCCTTCAGCAGCCAACACCGCAGGAAGCTGAGGGAATGAGGGTCTAGATTCTAAAAGCAGGATTTGGGTGCTGTACCACAGCATCCACTACACCACATGAAGGAGGAACAATTCATACAACTTGACTTTAACCTTTTGGTTTGCTATATCTCAACCAAGTGCTATAGGTTCTATTGCAGATGCTCGTTGACTTAACAATGGGGTTACATCCCCATAAACCCATAAGTTGAAAATATTGTAAGTTGAAAATGCATTTAATACACCTAACCTACTGAACACCATAGCTCAGCCTAGCCTACCGTAAACATTCTCAGGACACTTACATTAGCCTATGGTTGGGCAAATCCTCTCACACAAAGCCTATGTTATAGTAAAGTGCTGAATATCTCATGTAACTCATTGAATACTGTACTGAAAGTGAAAAACAGAAAGGTTGTATGGGTACTTGAAGTATGGTTTCTACTGAAGACGTATCTTTTTTGCACAATGGTAAAATCAAAAAATTTTAAGTTGAACTATTGTAAGACAGGGGCCATCACCATCTGTAGTGGATCCTAATTTCAGGGCTGAACAAGTTACCTGTGGACTAATTGCCTAGGGTTCTTCTGTGGAAATTGGAACTACTATATGAGAAGTAGCCATAATGGGAGAAAAGAGTCACCTAGATCTGTTTTAAATTGAATATCCATGAACAACCTCTTAACAAGGCTTATACCACTTTAATACAATAGGTTCCCAACCCCTGTGACTTTCTCCCCTAGGGTCAAAAGAATAGCTCATTCACCTCTTGCCTATTGCATTTATCTTGATTCTCCCTGGGCAAGAAAGGGGAATCAATCTGGCAATTATGTGGACAATGAAACTCATAGGATTTTCTTCCTATGTACTGAAAATGAGAAATTAGAAGGATTATATCATATCTGTACTGAAAATGAGAAATTAGAAGGATTTTGCCTCAGTATTGGAACTTGTACATATCTTGCTTCTTCATGGTATCATAATATAGCACACTTGTTTCAAATCTGATTAAAATCCAGAAGTAAAAAATGTGTATTAATTGATCCATGCATTTAGGTGAATAATAAATTGAATCCCTAGATTGATTTTTCTGGGGAAGCCTGTAAAGTAAGAAATCTTGCATTATTTATCACTGATCAACCAATGTAATGTTTAAGGTAGCTGAACTGGTGTCCATTCTGTCTCCCCAGGGAGAAGAGCAGGCTTATTTAAGAGAGATCAGATTTTTTTATACAGTATCAGATTTGTACTCCAAGTCTTTCAAAACTTGACAGAAGGGTCATCCAAAGCTGCCTTCCTGCTTTCCAGGTGAGTAAACCTGAGTAGAAGGAAAGACAATTCCTCTGTAACCTTAGAAAGAAGACAGTAGACCCAAGTGAAACCAAGTGTATTTTTACCAATCAGATGAGTCATTTTTCCCACAAGGTTAATTATCGTTAATGACTAATTAAGGAGTCATGTGAAGTATTTATCTTGAATAATGTGGATCCATGTGGTTTGTGCTATTGGATTTTAGCTCTCTGCTGTGACAGCGCTCTTCAAAACACCATATTGAGGTTAAATCTCTTTGGTACTATATGCTAGGGTTGTGAAGCCTGAGGACATATTTTACAGTGACACTGGCCAGGTTTAGCCTGGCTTTTAGCTAACTGTGGAGCTAGAATTATTCTTGTTCATTTGAGGCTTCCAGCTTGGAATTTGAAGATAAATGAGTCAGTTCCATCTATTCTCTAGCAATTAACTGATAATTGGGATGTTTAATCGGAAAACTGACTTGAAGGACGTTAGCCTGATTAGATGCGTTGGCATGAAAAACAGGTTCTACTCCTAGTTCATCTACATTCACATGCTATATTAACACCCTAACTCCAGATCAAACCCAAATCCAGCTTGTTAATGAATATCTAAAAAATAAATGAATACTTACAAAAATGCTTTCTGGAAACTTAATAGATTTAGAAGCCAATCTTCTACAGACTACTTGAGTCACTAATATTTATTCTACAGTTACTTACAGCTCACCTACTTAGGGCAAGGAAGGTGCTTATAGGTATGTAAACATTAATAATGTAGCTTTTGAATTCAAGAAGCCTAAGTCAACCTAAGTTTTTCTTAGAGTATAAATCAAGGTAAATAACACCCTCAGTTTCTTCTCTGAAAATCAGACAACCACCCAACTTCTTGATCCATACCATGAAGACACAATGGGCATGCAAGGTTTGTACCAAAATAATCAAGACTACACCTGTATTAGGGTTCTTTAGAGGGTCAGAGCTACTAGGTATATATAAAGGGGAGTTTATTAAGTATTAACTTACATGATCTCAAGGTCCTGCAATAGGCCATCTGCAAACTGAGGAGCAAGGAGAGCCAGTCCAAGTCCTAAAACTGAAGAACTTGGAGTATGATGTTCAAGGTCAGGAAGCAGCCAGCATGTGAGAACGATGTAGTCTGTGAGGCTAGGCCAGTCTCTCTTTTCACATTTTTCTGCCTGCTTATATTCTAGCCATGCTGGCAGTTGATTAGATTGTGGCCACCCAGATTAAGGGTGGGTCTGCCTTTCCCAGCCCACTGAAAAGTCAATAGTTAACTCTAGGCATGTATTACAGTTACCTGGAATGTTTTTAAAAACATAATAATGCCTGGACCACTCCTTCGCTGTGTTAAATCAGGATATCTGAGCATGGGAACTTTGCATCGAGATTTTTGAAGCAGCTTAGAGATTTTAACATGTTAAGAAATGCTGACAATAAGCAAATACAATTTTATTTAACTTTAAAGGTATGAATCCAGAGCTGCAGTCCATAAGGCCATAAGAAATATAGGCATGGGTATAAAGGGACATGGAAGCCAAAAAGCCATCATCTGGCCATCTGAATCTGGCCCTGCAATTGTCTCTTCACTCATGAATACGTGATTTTACTTGCCAGCAGAAACAGCTGACAGAGGATAGCCTCTGCCTCCCATCTGCCTTCCAACCAAGCAAGTATCATTTGATGACTTTTCACCTCTGCAGAATAGTACGACACCATAAAAGAGGGGTGGAAATGGGGTTGAGATCTACAGCCTAAGTATCCCTCACTGACTCCCAATATAGCCAGGTGATTTGACTGGTTATTTATTCTTGGCCTCCTTCAAGGTTTTCACCTGACCCACACAAACCTTGGTGTCCCCGAGGTTCTATCCTCAGCCATGGCTTTTCTTGCCCAACAGGCTAACGGATGATTCATACTTGGAGATTCGTACTTGGGAGATCACCTCCATTCTCTCGCCCTCAGCTAGTATTTAACTCAATATCTGTAGCTAACACCTCTCCCCTGAACTTCAAATTAATATATCCAACTCTCTGCCAGACAGCTCCAGTTAGATATTCCAGGTAATGTGAAGTCAACCTATCACTAAGGCTGTACTTGTTTCTCTTCTTATTGCGATTCCAGTTACTATGAATGTCACCATCATCGACCCAGGCACCCAGGCTGCATTCCTCAACTATATGTAGAGCTCATTCCTTTGCCTCATCTCTCATATTCGCTATCCAAGAACTACCTGTTTTGTCATCTAAATCTTTCTCATTCATCTTGTCCTCTCCAGCCCTGCTACCACTGTCCTAGTTCAAGCCCCTGTCGTTTCCCACCTAGATTTCTGCAGCAGCTTCCTAGTTGATTTTCCTAGATCCAGTCTTCAACTCAGCTCTGTCTTCTGTGTAGTTGACAATGATGGTATTATACACAAGCTTGATTACATCAGCTACCTGCTCAAACCTGTTCCATGGTTCTTCAACACCTGTTGCAATGGCCTTAAACTCTGCTGCACATCAAAATCTATATAGAGTCTATTATAAGGCATTATCTTGGGAGCTTAAAACTATCAATACCTAAGCCTCACTTCAGACCAATTGAATCAAGTCCCTAAGGTTAGAATTTGGGAATCAATATTTTTAAAAAGCTTCCTAAGTGATTTTAATATGTAGCTAGTGCATATGAGGCCTGATTCTGTGTTGGTTGTCTGTTGCTACCCAACAAAACTTTGTGCAACAACTCAGTGGCTTAAAAAAAATCATCATTTTATTATATCTCACAGTTTTGTGGATTGCAAATTCAAACAGGGCTTGTCTGAGCAAGCATTTTAACAAGTCAACAAGTCAACATTTTAACAAGCTCCTCAAGTAATTCCTATCTACAGTGAAGTTTGAGAATCAGTGACCTATAGGTCAAAGTCTAACATGCTTAAGTTATTTGAGGTCTTATTTTATCTGGCACTGGCCACACCTTGTCAGCTTTAACACTCTTCATTTTTCCCCCTGGACTTTAAGATTCAGGAACACTAACTAACTTAGTTTTCTGCACTTTATTCTCCATGCTTTCGTTCATTGGTCTCTCTGTTCTTTGTTGTTAGACACCAACAAAGAAAATGTAGTAAACTTAAAGACACAGCAATTGAAACCAAAATTAAACAGAGAGAGAAAAGACTAAAAAAAGAAAAGAAAAGCAGAGCATCAGTGAGCTGTGGGATAATTTCAGGTGGCCTAATATATACGTTTTAGAGTCCAAGAAGGTGAGAAAAGGAGAAGTGAGTAATATATATATATTATTATATATATGTATTTATATATTTATATATATATTTATATATAAAATTTATATATATAAATATATATTTATAAAATATTTTATATATATTATATATAATATTTAATATATATAATATATATTATATGAAACTTAATGACCAAAATGTTTTCTATTTCTTGCAAATTATAATTGTACCATTTCAAGAAGCTCAATAAACCACACACACACACACACACACACACACACACACAAATGAGGAAAATGACACTGAGGACATAATCAAATTGCTTAAAACTGGTGATGAGGAGAAAATCTTAAAAGTGGCCAGGGAAAAAAGATACATTATTTTTAGGAAAACACAGGTTAAAATTTGCATTTAGTCACTAGAAACAGTGCAAGCCAGGAAACAGTGGAACAACATCTTTGGAGTATTAAAAGTTAACAAAAAATTCTGGAATTCTAAACTAGGGGTAGTTCAGAAATACTTACCAAAAACAAAGACTTTTGAACATACAAAAGCTAAAAGAATCCATCACCAGCAAACCTGCATTTCTATGACATTAAAGAAAGTCTTCAGGAGGAGGAAATTAGTCCACCAAGTATCAGATGGAAATCAGAATCTACATATAAAAGTATGAGGCACACCTGTAAATATAGCAAATATTTTTCTTATTTTTAGTCAATTCAAAATAAGTGGCCATCTAAAACCAAAATAGTAACAATGTGTTGTGAGGTTTATAACATATGTAGAAGCAAAATGTATGAGAACAATAGACAAAGGCCCAGAGGGGAGAAATGAAAGTATACTGGTATAAGGTTCTTGTACTACATGTGAAGTAGAATAATATCACTTGAAGGTAGACTGTGATTAATGAAAGATATATTCTGTAACCCTTAAAGCAACCACTAATATAAAACAGAAAAGGTTGTAACTGCTAAGCCAACAAAGAAGAAGAAGGAGAAGAAGGAGGATGTGGAGGAAGAGGAAGAGGAAAGCGGAGGAGGAAGAAGAAAGTGAGCATAAAGCCTGGAAAGGAAGAGGTAAAACTTGTCTTTACTTGCAGACAACATGATTGTGTATGGAGAAAATTCTACCAAATCTCCAATAACAACAACAACAAAAACAAAAACTAAAGCGGCATGATATGAGGTAGATAATTTAAAAATCAGTTGTATTTCTTTATACTAGCAGTAGACATAAATTTAAAGACAGTACTATTTACAATAGCATCAAAGATATAAAATATATGGGGGTACATTTGACAAAATATATGCAGGACTTTTATACTAAAACTAAAAAGGATTGTCAAGAGAAATTAAAGAAGACCTAAATAAATGGAGAGATACTGTGTTCGTGGATCAAAACACTCAATGTTGTTCATCTATCAAGTTGATCTATAGATTTAATGCAGTCCCAATGAAAATTCCAGCTGGTTTTTGAAGAAACTGACAAGCTGATCCTAGAATTCTAGAAGATCTTGAATGACCAAAGAAACTTTGAAGAAGATTCTACCTTTTTAAGAAGGTTCCTAGACATGATGCTGTTGCTAAGCCATAGACCACATTTTGTGTAGCAAGACAATACTGTATGAATATAACTAGATTTATATGTATCAACATAGATATATCTTAAAATAGTAGAAGGAAAAAAACAGTTTCAGAAAGATTTGTACAGTATGATAGCTTTGATGTCAAAATGTAAAAAACACAGAGTAGTACTATACATTGTTCACAGATACAAATTTAAGAGGAAAAAAGATTAAAAACATATACGTGGAGCTCAAAAAACAGGAAAGGTTGATTGTAAGAGGAAAGAAAAGGGAATAAATAGTGCTGAAGCGGGAAACAAGAATTTGCACTTTAACCCTAATTATATGTTTTATTTATATTAAAAAACCCTGAAGGTAAAATCTAGAAGAATAACATTTTTTTCCTTCTGTTGGATGTGTATACAGAATTTTATAGCATAAGGTAAACTTTGACATATTTTAAACTTATAAAACAAATGCAAAAGGAAATTCATTTCCCTTTCCAACCTATTACACATTACAACTTCTATAATATTAATAGTGCCAGATCCAACCTATTACACAGTTCAACTTCTATCACAACCTATTACAAATCCAGCCTATTACACAGTTCACCTTCTATAATACTAATAGTGCCAGAAACCTCCACACCCAGTACAAAGGTGGTATGTTGTTACTGGACCTTGAAGACAGCCTCACCAAAGCCTCACAAAATACAAGGTAGCATCAGATAATGTCTTGGTAGAGACCCTAGCACACTCTCATTTTTGTGGCCTCAGGCTCCCTAAGCGAATGCCACTTTGCAATGATATTTTCTTTCTTTAGTCATCAGCTTGTGCTCTAGTGTAGTTGAAATTTATGGACTATACATGTATATGACTGATGCAATTTGATTATAATGTGATATTTTGCATGTAGGTGGCAATGCTATGCTTCAAATGCAAGTGTGGGAATAGCTGTAGCCATATGATGTTAAAGGGTGGGATACTTTAGCCTGGTCACATATGATTTGACAAGACAGTGCAGCCTTCATGCCTGGCTGCTCTCTTTCAGAGACAGGTCAACATTAGCTGGCCTCCTGAAAGGAAGAGCTCCAGAGCAGTTTAAGGAATGAGGATAGTCCCTAGTTTGTATTACTATAGTTGCAGCTCCTGAGACCTTTTAAATTCAGGTTATTTCTTCCCTCAAATGGATAGAGAAGGACCCAACTTCCCAGGAACACATAGGCCGTCAGAACAACTCCTTCCTCACAGCCAGATTGCATTGAGTCCCACCTGAATTGGTGAGAAACTTTAGCCCTTTAATTTTATATGAATCCTCCCTCTTCCCCCAACTCGGTAATGGGAGGACAGTGAGTGCCATTAAAGTGTGGTTGTTTTTGATGTCTACTCTGAGTCTGTGCTTTTGTGTAGAAGAAAAAGGTCACACTTCACTTCCGGAATTAGAGAATGGATCTTAACCACACTGGGAGACTTAGTTGGGTGCAGGGCTCCCCTCAGCTGTGATGAGGGAGCCTCGGCTTATGATCCAGCCTTCCACTTACTTATCCAGCCTCTGCAGTCAGTGTCAAGCCCAGAATCTGCAGTCTGGGCCCTGGCAGGTTCACAGAGGTGCCCCTCTAGAAATGGAACTTGGCCCTTGTCCCTCTAGGCACCTGTGAAGGTGGGAATCCATTGCAGTCATTGTTGGGGAAACTGGAATGATGCCACTGTACCTTGAGGCCAGAGATCTTGTCACCACTCTGGCAAAAAGAGAAGAATGATCTTCTGTATTTTGCCCAAACACGGAGGCAGGGAAAGAGAAGGAAGAGTTGTCAGGAAGGGTTATCGAGCCCGAAAGTGCTGCAGTGCTTAATATACAGCCATTCAGTTTCACAAAGCTAAGCTTTGTTTCTACAACAACACATGCTGTCACCTGCACTAGGTCGGGATGACTCTGGTATCACCTGTTGGACCATTTCTGAAATCCCCTTCCATTCTGGTTTCCTGGGCCAGACTCCTTGTTCCCTGTGATAACTTTTCTCTGAAGACTTGAATGTCCTTCTGGCTCCCATTGAGATCAAGCCAGCCCATCAGACATGGCTGCAATTCCCAACAGTGGACAGGATCAAGTCCTTTGTCTTCCCCAGGAAGCTTCAGTCCCCTTGTAAATTAGTGGAAGGGAGAGCAAATGTCAAGGGGAGGAGCAGAGTCCAGTCCTACTTACCAGAAGCTTCAAGGGCTGGTTAGTGCCTCATGGAGACTCTGTTGTCAGCAGGTTACCCCTTGTTTCCCTTTGGTTTCCATTTGATTCTAACATGAACTCTGTGAGCTGGATAGTATCTAGATATTCCAGTTGGGACTCAGTGAATTATAAGTGAAATGGTCATTTACAGAAGAGAGAAATTAGTCAGAGAAGGTAAAATGAGCCGCATTTTAAAAGAGAAAGATTTAGAAAGTAACTGTGAAAAGTGACATTTTAAGTTCAGAGTGTTTAGGGAGGGTTAATAGCCCAAGCAAATAATTCAAAGACAGAATGAGCTTGGTACACATAGGGAGAGAGTGCACAGACAGCCCTGCTGGGACAGAACTTATGATGGTCCAGATTCAGATAAGTGGAGTGAGGCCTGTCTCCAGGGGTATCCAAAGTTAGGCAGGTGAGGCAAAGGATGTTATTAAGCAAGGACAGAAAGATCTCCTAGTATAAAAATTCTGTGGGCTGAGGACAGGGCCAAGAGAATGACAGGAGAGAAAAATCTTGGGGACAGTAGGTTGGAAGTTACCGCAGCAACTCAAGCAAGAAAGGCCCAATCTAGGGTGGGAATAGAAAAGAAAGGACAAATCTGAGGCATTTCAGGATAATAGGCCACAGTAACAGACAGAGGATAATGAGGATGTAAGAGTCTAAAGTGTGCAGGATATAAATGGGACTGTAGAAAACAGGAGCCATTTTGGAAGGAAGAACCAATTATCTTTGGGACATGTTACACTTGAAGCAACGGAGCAGTTTGAAATCCAACAAAAGATAAATTTTTAAAGAAAGTATCTATTAATTATAAAGTTGGAGTTGAACTCTTGAGAAGAGCAATTTAAGACTTAGTTTCTATATTATAAAGTAGCCCTTCAATGTCTGAGATTTTCCAAGGTAGACCTGCGTGAAGTGGTCTCAGGAGTTCGGAATAAGAGGACAGTCACAGGATAACATTCTGTACTGTGGGATGATCATGTGGAATGTCATAAGACCAGAAGACAAAGTGCTACCATGGAGAGAAGTAGCTTATTCATTTGTTATTCAGCCATATCACATCAGAATCAGAAGTATGGATACCACAGTTAAAAAGAAATCAAGTTTCTAAGGTCTCCAGGGCTTTGACTATTATTTCAGTAAAAGACATAGTTTAACTAAAATCCCAAAATATTGTTGGGAAACTTGAGCTAGAAGTTAGAGTTGATTCAATAACATAATGAGAAAAATTGCTCTTCTAATCTGAACTGTGTTCTGGAAAACCCTTTTGATTTACTGGACATCTTGTAGGTTTTAATCATGCAAAGGTAATCCTGGAGCTTCAGAAATTTGAGTGGCTGCATATTAAAGGCAGTGTTGGGTTTGGCATGTGGATTATCTGGAGTATGAGGGAGTGATGAGCCCAGGGGTGGGGCCGGTCTGAAGCATCTCTGCACAGCATGGTGAGTGTAAAATCTTGGTGGGTGAGAGGCCAGCAAGGATGTGTAATGTTCAACTTAAAATTGCTTGAAATATTATGTTTAAAATATCTCCTCTTTGGAATAGACAAAAAATTTCTGAAGACAGGACTTAGAATATATAAACCATAAAAGAAAAAATTCAATAAATTTGACCTCATCAAAGTTAAAAACCTTTGCTCATCAAACAACAGCATTAATGAGATGAATAGACAAGCCACAGAGCAGGAGAAAATGTTGGCAGAATATATACCTGAGAGAGGGCTTTTATCCAGAATGTATAAAGAGCTCTTATAATTCCTTAGTAAGAAGACAGCTCAGTAAAACAGGCAAGAGACTTAACAAACACTTCACCAAAATAAGATATATGAATGGCAAATAAGCACATGAAATGATTTTCAACATGAAATCATAGGGGAAAAGCAAATTAAAACCACAGTGAGATACCATTACGTGTCTGCTAGAACATCTAGCACTAAAAAGACTGCTAATTGTAAGTGTTGGTGTGGATGTAGAGAAAGTAGCATTCTCATGTTGTGCTGGTGGGATTCTAAAATGGTACAATGATTTTGAAAAGTAGTATGGCAGTTTTATGAAATTAATCATACCTAACACACGGCCCAGCGATTCCCAATCCGGGGTATTTTTTCCAAAGAAAACAACACATGCATCCACACAGACTTTTAAATAAATGTACATAGCAGATTTAGCCATACTAGACAGACAACTCAGTAACACCAGATGTCCACCAACAGGTGAATGGATAAACATTTTGCAGTACAGTCATACAATAGGATACTACTCAGAGGGGAAAAATACTTAAGTACTGATACTTAACAACAACATAGATGAATCTCAAAAACATTGTGTAGAGCAAAATAAGCCAGACACAAAAAAATACATATGGTATGATTTGATTTATATAAAATTCTAAGACAGACAAAACTAATGTATAAAGACAGAAAGCGGATCACTGGCCGTCTGGGACTAGGGGTGGGGTGGGGAAGAAATTGACCAAGGGGCCAAGAGAACTTTGTAGTATGATGGAAGTGTTCTATATCTTAATTATGGTGGTGGCTACAAAATAACTACCTGAGTAAAACCTCAGCGAACTGTACTCTCAGAAGGGATGCATTTTACTATGTTTAAATAATATCTCTATAAACTTGATTTTTAAAATCTTCTTTTCTTACCCCAAATATTCAGTAAAGTACCTTCCACATATAAAGCCTTGTAAGTGTTTTTGGAAATTCAAATATTTACATCAGGATTAATGTGGTGTCGAATAAAATAACACATTTGAATTAGTGAGAGCAACCCTAAATTGAATGATTTAAGCAAGGTCAGCCTCTTTGAGCCCACAGTAAAACTGAGAAGATAAACTCACACTCTGCCATGTCCTTTCACCACCACTTTCCCAGAAAGTTACAGAAAGCTCAGGGCGGGGGAGATTTGGACCTCTACGAGACATAGAATAAGGATGCAAGGCAAACTTACCTCCATCTCAAGGGGCAGGGAGATCCCAGCTGCCATGTGGGTTATATTAAGAATAACCTTTACTGGGCCATTCTGATATGGCTTGCTGGGTTTGGATATGTGTTTGAAAACTTTGTGTGGAAGCTTGAAGAATTTGGACAAACTCTCAGTAATTTTTATTATGTACTCACCAATGAGATCCAGTGATGATGTTTAGTCCAGTCATGTTTGTTTTTTTTTTAGTCCAGTCAATTTTTTTCCTGCCCTTTGTAAAGGCTTCCAAAACCAATCTTTTCTCCCCTTCTCCCTTCCTTGCCCTTTCTCTCTCTCTCTCTCTCTCTCTCTTCTTTCTTTCTTTCTTTTTTTGAGACGGAGTCTCTCTCTGTCGCCCAGGCTGGAGTGCAGTGGCGTGGTTCAGGAGATTCTTCTGCCTCAGCCTCCTCAGTAGCTGGGACTACAGGCACACACCACCACGCCCAGCTAATTTTTGTATTTTTAGTAGAGACAGGGTTTTATCATATTGGCCAGGTTGGTCTCGAACTCCTGACCTTATGATCTGCCTGCCTCGGCTTCCCAACCTCTCCCTTTCTTTTTCATTATTTCCCTCTCCTTTTCCCTTTTCCTTTCCCTCTTCCTATTTTCCCCTTTCTCTGCCTTCTCCTCTGTGCCTCTTTTCTTCTTACTTTCTGCTTCTCCATACCTTTTCTACCTTTATTTACTTAAATATTGTTTTATGCAATACATTTGTCGTTCTAGTAAAAAGACCATTAATTGTGTAAAATAAAAACAAACAATGATTCTACAATATTAAGCATTATTTTTGTTTATCCCCAAAAAGTGAAAGCTGGACTTCAAACAATTTGTTTAAAGGGCAGCACTCATGAGAGTGGCTTGGATCCAGACTTCGCTGAGTTATTACCAGAAAAAAGAAACACAAAAACTGACCAAAGGCCTAGCTAATTTATGAATGAGAGCCTTGAATCAATTCACACAAAGAACGTAGCCGTCCTCACACTGTTCGCCTGTCGCTACTTGTAAGTTTGTAGCATTTCATAGTAAATAACAACAGATAATGTTACTCCAGACACAAGTGCCCAGCGGACTCGCCTACCAGGGTGGCAGAGGACGATAAGTGTTATTGTTGTGTTTCTTTTGTTGGGATTTTTTAAAGTCTGAACTTGGTAAAACTAAAAACACATAATCAATTTTGAGACAGACGTAAAATCTTCTCGGCATTTCTCTCTCAAGAGAGGACAAAAATAAGCAGCCTCCAGTGCAAGAAATGACTGTGGTTCCATGGAAAGCTTTGACTCTGTTTGCCTTCCCCATCCATTCGAGCGCTCCAAGAGCAGCGTACAATTATGGAGAAAAACCCTTTGCAAACTTGTTCTGAAAGGGTTATTTTGGGGAAAGTGTAATTGAAAAAAATCATGGCCAGTTGGTTTAGAATTTGCTCATGTAAAATGCATGTGTGTTTGCCTTCCACAATGCACAAAGGGTTTCTGTTATAAGCCGCCCTTGTACCAGTGAGGAGGGTTGGCCTACTGGCAAATTTATCAAGGGATTTCTCAGATTAAGTACTGTTTGTCTGTGAAATCTTTTGCAGATAGTGAAATTATTTTAGTTCACTCTAGTATCCTCCAGATTTGTATATTAAAAAATTGAACCTATGAGTTGTTACAATGCTAGGATCTAATTAGACACACTATGCAGATATGGCTTTTGCAAGAAGCTATGACATCCAGCTAATGTCAACAAGCTTAATTTAAGAATAAAGAAAGATGTCCCAAATAATCTAATGGTTTCTGGCAGGAAACAGGTGAAGAAAAATAAAGAAGAAAGGATGGAAGAGAGGAAGGGAGGGAGGGAGGGAGGAAGGGAGGGAGGAAGTGAATGAGGGAGGGAGGAAGGAAGAAAGGGAGGGAGGGAGGAAGTGAATGAGGGAGGGAGGAAAGAAGGAAGGAAGGAAGTGAATGAGGGAGGGAGGAAGGAAGGAAAGAAGGGAATGAGGGAAGGAGGGAGGGAGGAAAGGAAGGAAGGAAGGAAGGAAGGTTCCTCTCACATTGAAATTAGAAATTTTGCTGGAAAATGAAATCCATTCTTCGGCCACCAGAAGCATCCATTTTCAGCACATGGATCACTGCTTCCGAATAGGGTGCCAGCTGTGTGCCATACATGCTGTTGGCAGGGAAAGATTCTGCTTTGAAACCTCAGGTTGGTGTCATATCACCAGAAGATCAACCAACCTGGAAGGCCAAGGATGTCATTTATCTTAAAAAGACGAGATGGGAAAGGTGAGCTCCCTAGCCCACAATGCTCAATCATGTGAAGGAAATCAAGTCCCTCCTGTAGGTCCCACCAGCATCCACCATGGCGAAACTCTGGGATAACAGTGATGTAGAACATGTGGCCAGAATGTGCTTTCCATTTCAGTGCAAGCTCCTAGAGGGTAGGGCACACACCTCTGTCCCCGCAGGGGAAAATAATAATAACTGGAGTTCGAAGGGGGAAACTGGGAATGCGTCAAGGTCAGATAGGAAGCTAGAGGCTGAGCAGGATTTAATCCGAGTCGTCTGACTACAGGTTCTTAACCCCCATTCTACACTGCCTGCCCTGTATGGGGAGAGGGGCAGCATTAGGAATGTTTGTTATTGACAGCTTCCAATTTCTAGGATTCTTTTCCATGATCCATTAGTCAACCTCCCTTACTTTATCGCCACCCCCAAATAGTAGTACAGACAAAGGCAAAGATGTCCCTGTAGGTTATACAGAGAAAAAATAAGAAAATACTTGTCTCCCCAGTACCAGCAGCTTTTCACTGCAGCAAAAGCTTGAAGCTCTGAAAAGTAACGAGAAAATGGGATGGGGAGGGAGAGGGGCAGGAATGAGATAATCAGCATGCAAGTTACAGGATGCATTTTTCTGTTTACCCAGGAATGTCTGGTTTGGGCTTATCTTGATCACTCTTTGTGCTTCTTTTAATGTAGACAAAGGAAGCTGTGAAGCAGAGAGCTGAAGAGAACTCCAAAGGTATTGGACATAGCCAAAAGTCTAAGGGATTTCAGCTGAAATCCAATAGGAGCAAGAGGGAGAGGGTCATTATTTATGCTCTTCCTAAGCTGGGGAGGGGAAGCGGGTTGCCAGGGAGAGAATCTGCTCTGTGTATCTGATTCCATATAGCTAGCATTCCAGCTCCAGCCCACAAAGATTGGTGAATACAATGATATATTGGAAGATAAATCATTGCAGAGTCAACGGAAAGAAAAATCTTACCTCAGTGTACAGTTCTAACCCCAGGGGAGCACATCTACTGTCCATTAGGTATTCACAAAGGTAAACAGATTGTTATAATGGCTGCAGAGCACAAAGGCTACAGGCCATCAAACAAAAGGACTAAATGCATTGACATCAGAAACCTCTGGGAAGGGAGTCGTTAGCTGTGAACAGGCAGCAGCTGGTGAGACAATGTCCCCGTAGTCCCCAGAGCAGGAACTCAGATGTACCACCAGCAGTTGTGAGTTGCTTAGTCTTTTGTCAGTCTCCACCTACCACCGTTTCTAGACCCCAACCCCCATCCCCTGCCCCAATTCCATCTCTCAAATCAACCTTTGGACTTTAATAAAGAGACGTGTGCAATTTTAACAGGTTATTAAAATCTCCAGTCCCACCTGTGCAGACTTGCCTTTTTACTAATCGTTTTTATAATCTAAGACTACCTCACTCATCTGGTAAGTGTCAGCGATGATTTGTTACACAGGTGTGTGGTTAGAGTTTCTGCAGAGAAACGTCCTAGGTCAAACCAGTGTAGCCAGAACCCTTCCAAGAGACCAACTCTGGGCAAAAACTGCTTTTCAAAATGTGGAATCAAAAATTTTCTTTCATAGTAATAGAGCAAAATCAAAGAACAGTTTGGAAAGAATTGTTTTTGTAATTGATTTAACTATATATTCAAATATTATTCAGTAGTCGTGAATATTTTTCATAGGCCTACTTTGTCAGGATGACAATTTTTTTTTTCTGCAAGGTTTGTGTGAGAAACCCTAATAGGAAAAGTGGGATTAACTGATGGTTTTGACTTACTCTCTTTATGTACTTCCTGCATGGAACTGGGAACAGAGTATGGGTGGCCTGCAAACCGCAATATAGGCTAAACCTGTGTTTAACAGATCAATTTGATGAGTATCAACATTTTTTTAAAGTGGGACAGAATGGAATAGAGAATATCAGAATTGATTGCATATGGTAAGAGTAAGTATGTTTTTCACGAAGAGCTTGCTTCAGTTTTGTGTGTTTATTGGTTCTTAAATTTGGTATTTATGTGGATCTCATAAAAAATTTGAAAGCTACTGTCTTGACAGACAGCAGAGAAAATGGCAGTTTCTGTTAGATGGAGAGAGGTTGGATTATTCAGGATGTTGAATATCAAGATAAGGAGCTTGACTTCATGTAGAATTCATTGTACCTTCTTAGGCAGAGAAATGATATGATAAAAGTGAAGTTTTTAAATGAGTTTTGCAGCGGCATGGGTGATAGCTTGGGGGAGGGGGCTGGATATAGAAATGAGAATATCATTGAAGGTTCTCAGAACAGAAACTAATTCTTGCTGTCTTGAGCATAAAAGGAATTTTTCAAATGGATTATCACATCACTCACAGACATGCTGGAAGATTAGAAAACCAGGTTTAGGAAATGAGCAGGAGTGAAGGGGGCTGTATAGCCAGAGCCATGGTTGAAATCACTTCCATGGAATTGGTCTGGTGAGGACACCCATAGCACAGTGGCTGACCACTGGGCACTGAGGCTGACCTGGTGTGCTAGGACCTCCTGTGTGACACTAAAGGCATCCACTGCTGTTGCTGCCAATGCTGCTGCCACCTAAGATTTCTCAACTGTTTCTGCCCTGTGCGTCACTAGCCCCAGACTTCATATCGAGGATGGATGCTTCTGATTAGGCAACTGAGCTCCAGCTGCAAGAAGCTGGGAGACGGATGAGCTGCCCTTCTGGGCTTCTGCAGCAGGAAGCGGGCTCTATCTCCTATCAAGATTCACACAGTGGAGAGCTGTCTCAACACAGGAAGAGGAGCTGGTTAATCATGGACTAGCTAGACTATTATTGCAGTATTCCAGCTGAGGTGGTGAGGGCTTGGACTAGGATGGTGACAAAGAAAAAGAAACTGGAAAGAACTAACCTGAGAGAATAATGAAGGAAGAGGCAGACTTGGTGATGGATTGCATATACATGATTAGCGATGGGGAATGGAAAGAGCTAACTCCAGGCTTCTGTCCTGAAGTTGATGAAGAGAGACTGTTTCTGCCCACAGATGTAAGAACTGAGAGAAGAGGAAACTGTAGAAAGATTGTGAAGCTGTATTAATGGGGACAAAGGGCTTAATTGTTTTTGGAATTAGCGGCCATGGTGAAGATAACTCCTTCAGCTGGTCCCAATCTTTGGGATCATCTGCAAAAACTAATTGTGTATCATTGTCTTGAGTGGCTCTTCTATATAGTGTCACTGGTGCTCTCACATTTTTGTGGGTTCAGGATTTCCTAAATCAGTGTTCCTATGTAGCCTTGTAGTCTGCATTCTAAACCCTTTCAATAGTTATTTTAACATGCATTTGGAAGACTCGGACTCAAAAGAATCTAGAATGCTTCATTTCTTTTAAAACTGTAACTTTAGCACCCACAAGAATCTCAATTCCCACTGAGATTCAGCATGTTGAAAGACACAAGCGTGTATTTATAATGCAAACACGCAAGCCCAGATACACACTAGATAGTACATCTATGTGGTTATTCACTGCCCATGCTTTCCCCTTCCCAGAAGAGGAGGTATTCTCTATCTGTCATGGCTCAGATACCCTTCATCCTCCCCATTTGAAATTAGGACTGGAACCTCATAGCCATGTATCTACTGAGTTGATGTGCAACCTTGCTCATTTGCATCCTATGTCTCACCACAGCTTCTAATACTCAGTTAAGAAAGTGCAGCAGGCTAAGTTGTTAAGAGAAGATGAAAAGACCAGACAAGAGAAGGGTTCAAGTCAGTTGGTAGCAGCTTGCATCTAGAAGAATGGATCCTAGATCATTGCTTTCCTGGTATCCCTTCTTCATGCATCTTCCCCACCTCCTCTCATATGCAGAATTCATCCTATGTGGTTCACATTTCCTTGCTTTTAAGATGAAAGCAAGATATCAAAGTATCCCTAATTCTAAAGTTTTTATTTTCCATTGGACATTGTGATCTCTATACTTCCAAAGTTCCATTCTTTTCCTTGTATTTCAGACAAAGAAAGTGAGAAATTATAAATGAAGGATTGAATTTAATGGGAGTTAGGTGAAAATCAAGAGATTTTGGGTGAGAGTAATTTTTTCACTTCTGGAATAATATTTTAAAAGACCACAAAAACCACAAATGTTTCAGTGAGTTCAGAATGAGTTCCAATCAATTCTTTTATTTTTGCAGCTTTAAAAATTATACCAAACATGTCACTCCAGATCCAGTTTTACCTTTCTCCTAAACACAGGTAGTGTTTTTCTTTTCGCAAACAGGGATTGGAGATTGGACATTACATTCATACCCCACACCTTCTTAAATCAAAGGAAAGACACAAACAAGAAGGCTGGAAAAAACCCAGCTGTATTTTATTTGATTCAGTAGTCAAGACGTAGTGATACATACTGGAACACACTCAGAATCTTTGCACACAGGGTCCCTTCTAACTAGAATTTTTTCCTGCTCCCCCAGGCCATCCTTCATCTCATTAATTCCTACTCATCCCTCTAAGATCTCAGCTCAGATGCCATTTCCTCAGGGAAGCCATCCCTGACCTCCAGGTCGGGTCAAATCCCGTGGTGTCTTCTTTTCATAACATTCAAGTTTGCACATATAGATCTCCTTTTCCACTACATACAAGGGCAGCAGTATTTCTTTTTGAATTGTTTATATGTTCTAGTATCTTACACAGTGCTTGACATATAACAATTGCTTAATAACTATTTCCTTAATGAATGGCTCGTGAGTCAGAGTTTCTGAGTTCAAATTCTAACCTTGTTCCTAATGGTGCTGTGTGACCTTGGAAGAATTGTCTTCTTGTCGATCTTGATTTCTTCATCTATAAATTGAAGATTTGGGGCTAGATAATACCTTAGAGGCTTCCACTCTGAATTTCATGGTCTTGAAATGTTATGTGCAAATAATTTTTTGGTAAATTAAATAATATTAAAATTTGCCTTTAAGAAAAATTCAGTAGTAAATTCTTTTTTTTTTTTTTTTTTTTTTTTTGAGACGGAGTCTCACTGTGTCACCAGGCTGGAGTGCAATGGCGTGATCTTGGCTCACTGCAACCTCTGCCTCCCAGGTTCAAGCGATTCTCCTGCCTCAGCCTCCTGAGTAGCTGGGACTACAGGTGCATGCCACCACGCCCAGCTAATTTTTGTATTTTTAGTAGAGACGGAGTTTCACTATGTTGGCCAGGATGGTCTTGATCTCTTGACCTTGTGATCCAACTACCTCAGCCTCACAAAGTGCTGGGATTACAGGCATGAGCTACCATGCCCGGTGTAGTCAATTCTCAATGATAGATGAGGGAATATACTTCCTCACCAGTTGAAACATTTTATTAGGAGAGGTAAACTGATTATTTTGAGCTGATGGGGAATGCTTATTTTGAGATGTTTGACAGTCTCCTGTATTACTTAGGTTATCAGTTCTTAGGAAATTCAAACTGGGACAAATTATTGTGAATTGAAGTGAGAATAGGGGACCATCTATTAAGGAGAAATGAAAGGGCTATTACAGGGCCAACTGATAGGGAAAATAAGAAAAGAAAATATTTATATATACACACATACACGTGGATTCTGCTTTGCCTGGGTGGCTAGTGAATCCTTTTGAAAAGTGAATAGTTGTATGCAAAAGTATTTTGTACGTTCAGGTATTCATCTAATGAAATTTGGAAAGCCATGTCTAACCAAGCACATTTTGATCTCTGTGCCCACTTCTTTGTATCAAATTCTGCATTCTACAACCTTAAAGCCAGCTTCTAGAAAGATGCTCTAGTTGAAGGTGGAGACTGAACCACATGAGGCCCTAAGCAGGAATGCATTCCTGCTTCAGATAATGACAGGAGAAAATATCCTGTGCCTATATTTGAAACTCGGACAGAAGGCTTTGTCTTAGTCCATTTGTGTCGCTATAACAGAATACCACAGTCTTTGTAATTTATAAAGAAAAGAAACTTATTTCTTGTATTTCTGGAGGCTGGAAGTCCACAGTTGAGGGATCCACATCTGGCGGGGTCTTTGTGCAGCATCGTCCCATGGTGGAAGGCAGAAGAGCAAGAGAGTGCAGGATTGCAAGAGCAAGAGGGGGCGACAAACCCACTCCCATGATCATGACATTAATCCATTCACAAGGGCAGAGCCCTCATAAACTAATTACTTCTTATTAGGCTCTACTTCCCAACACTGTTGCATTGGGGATTAAGTTTTTAACACATGAACTTTGGGGGACATATTCAAACCACAGTAGTTTTTGACACTTTGCCAATGTCTTTCATAAAATGTTTGTCTAAAAGTGCAACTGCAGCCCAACCATCTCTGAAATGTATCTCATTTCACTTTAGGACATTCATCATTCTCTGTTCCTTTCTCTGCTCTGCTTTAATCTCATAGGGGTTTTCATTAAAAACTGATGTGAGGAGCAGAAGCCATGTCAGTGTTATGAATGGACTTCTGATAACATCTCCTATTGGGCTGGAAGGGAGATGCTTGCTGAACTGACATGCTGGGTGAAAAGCAAACTTGAGCTGCGAACCAGATGGGGAGCAGTAGGTGGTGATTGGATGCTGAGAGCTGGCATTGTATCAGCACTCCTTGGGTTCAGTAGCTCAGGCCCAGAGTCCAGTGCCCAGTTAGAGGGATGAGCAAGAATAGGGGCCGCTGCCCTCAAGAATCAATGCCATTCATGGAGGGAAAAAGAATAGGACCAGGCCAGAGTGCCCTGCTCCAGGCCTCCTCCTGTGTGTTGCCCTCAGGGGTGTAGCGCAGTTTCCTCTTAGCTCACAGTGACCCTTGAAGCCAAGGCAGAGATTTCAGTTCAAGATGCTCAAAGGTTGTCACTTCCTGCTCCCTCGTCATTCACATTTCTCCTCTCTCAGCAGGATTCAAGCAAAGAGGTAGACATAGGTTACTATAGCAAAATAATAATAACTAATAGTGGTTGAGTGGTTCTGGATCAGGCAACGTGCTAAGTGCCCTATATATATTCATTACCTCATAAATGCACATAGCAACCTTATGGCGTAGAACTCTTTTCCAAGTGAGAAAATCAAAGCACAGAATGGTTAAATAACTTACTCAAGGCCTCAGGCTGGTCAATGGTGGAGCCAGGGTTTGAAATTGAGATATATGACTTTGTAGTGTGAACAGATGCTTTCAAACATCTAGTCAAGGCACTTAACACATCAAGTAGGTATAAATGGATACATGGGCATGTGGCCTCGATCAGGCCTTACAGTTGACATAGTAAAGATTAGACACTAGTCCATGTCTTTGCATAGTTTATATTACCATATCTTATCACAAAGATCCCCCTTGTAATTTTAGACATTCTGAAATACTAAAAAAAGTAAGAAAATCATTTGCTCAAGATCAAAGATCAATTAGACTTATGAATGAAATCAGGCCTGATAAAATTTCTGCCATAGGAAAACTTTTTTTGCTTCTAGGACTGATGTTTGGGGGCTTATCAAACAGGAATGGGAACATCCAGAGATTTGGGGCATGATTTTAAAAGATTGTGGTCTAGGAGTAAAAAAAAAAAAAAAAAATCTGAGTCTTAGACTAGTGCTGCCTCCATTCAGCCACCCTGGGACTTTGAGCAAAGCTTTTAGAACTGGGTCTTGGGATTCTCATCTGAAAATTGAGGGGTAATTGGATCAATGATTCTCCCTTAAAATCACCTGGAGAGCTGCTAAAAATAGTAATGCCCTGTCCCAATCCAGATGATTCTGATTGAATTTGTCTAGAGTGGGGCCTAGACACATAATTTTTTGAAGCTCCCCAGGTGATGCTAACATCAGCCTGGTTGAGGAAACTGCATCTGATGGTCTCTTATTTTTCTGGTAAACCTAAAATTCTCTGAATTTGCAATATGGAGTCACTGAGCTAGGAGACAGGCAATTTCCCAAGGAATTTTAGGGTGATTTTCATCTCAAAAGACAGAAGTGCAGAAGGTTGAGTGAATATATATATATATATATATATATATATATATATATATGAACAATTTAAACACTTATCTGGTACCATTTGTGGATTGGAAGATGTGTGCCTTAGGTAGTCTTTTCCTTCTCTCTAAACTGACATAAACAAGTTAGCTAAAATCCCTAAGATGTTCTAATCTGATTTCAGCCTCTTGTGGCAAACTATGAAGTACATTGTTAAGAACAGAGCTAAGGTTTGAAAGCACTTAACAGTGAAAGCTGTGAAACAGCCTGAACAAGAGAGTGGGAAAAAAGTATTTGCTTTATAAATATACGGCCTCAAAGTCTTTCTTGCTGAGTTGCTGAGTCTTTTTTTTTTTTTCTTTTGAGACGGAGTTTCACTTTTGTTGCCCAGGCTGGAGTGCAATGGCGCAATCTCGGCTCACTGCAACCTCCGCCTCCCAGGTTCAAGTGATTCTCCTGCCTCAGCCTCCTGAGTAGCTGGGATTACAGGTATGTGCCACAGGTGAGTCATTCTTTAAATTAAGCCTGGTTCAGAATTCTCTTAGAAAAGAGGGTGAGCAAAGGAATAGAAATCATTCTATTATAAAGATACAGGCACACATATGTTCATTAGAGCACTATTCACAATAGCAGAAACATGAAATCAACCCAAATACCCACCAATGATAGACTGAATAAAGAAAACGTGGTACATATATACTATGGAATACTATGCAGTCATAGGAAGGAATGAGATTATGTCCTTTGCAGGGACATGAATGGAGCTGGAAGCCATTATCCTCAGCAAACACAGGAACAGAAAACCAAACACCACATGTTCTCACTTATGAGTGGGAGCCGAACAATGAGAACACGTGGACACAGAGAGAGGAACAATGCACATTGGGGCCTGTCAGCGGGGCAGGGGGAAGGAGAGCATGCGAGGCTTAATACCTAGGTGATGGGTTGATAGGTGCAGCAAATCACCATGGCACATGTTTACCTATGCAACAAACCTGTACACCCTGCACATGTATCCTGGAACTTAGGATAAGATAAATTTAAAACAAAAGAAAAGGGGGTGAGGAGGACAGACAGGAAATAATGTTAATATATGATGTCAGTGGTGTAAATATTTAACAACTGCTTTCAAAACGAAAGGCTCTGATGTATAGTATTTGTCAATTTCTGTGGTGTAAATGCTCCCACCATGGCTAATTTCAAGCTAGCAACCTGATGTCACTGAATGCAGAGTTGAACGAGAGACATACAAATGGCTCTCATGAACCATTATAAACTGCTCCAACACACCCTACTTAGGTTCATAAAGCAGCATAGTGTGAATGATTCAATCAGATTGACTTCCTCTGTGATTCAGACATCTGAGCAGCCTGAAAGTTCAGGATTGAGAAAGCAGTAACAAGGTGAGGGCGGGGGGAGGACAGGATGAAAGCAGCAAAGAAAAATGGGAGATACTACTTAATGCCACTAATTCAATAGACATTCTACAAGTAGCTACTACTTGCAAGCTTCTCGGATGTGTGTGTGGTTGGGGGTAGAATAGCAATTTATTACAGGTGGACATGGAATATAACCCTTTCCTTCAGTTGGTTTACAATCTGGTTTTGCCCAGAGCTGACTACTGGACCTTGAACAGTGTTCACGGTGATGGAACCAGCTGAGGAAACACTAATGGATCCTTTATAACAACAGGGAGACCTAGCGGACAGAGTTGCTGTGACAGTGATTGTCACAATGTTAATGTTTAAAACAAGCATCAATCAATGTGATAATCTTAAGAGAAGGAAAACCAAAACTGCCCAACATCATCCAATCACTCACTCAGAAGTATTCTGCTACCATGTTTTGCAATTGATCATTCTGATCAGACTTCTGAGTCAACTCTCCTTGTTTTGAAATAGAAAGGAAGAGAAAAGAAAGAAAGGGGAACAAGAAAGAGAAAGAAAGAAAAAGAAAAAGAAAGAAAGAACGAGAAAGAAAGAAAGGCAGGCTTCAGGTCAACTGTTTCACATCAATAGAAAACTTAGGTGGTAAAATGCTGTTGCACTGCAATATCTGCTGCTTGAAACAGGCAAAGGGGTCTTACTTCCAAGCAATGCGAGTTCAGTTATCTGGTATATTCATTCATTCACGAATGAATATATATTTATTCATCAAATATTTACTGATGGTCTTCTAAGCACCAGGCCCTGCAGTAGGCATTAGAGATACAATGGAGAACAAGATAGATGCAGCCACTCCCCTTATTATGCTTAAAGTCAACTGGAGGAAGTCAAGCAATAGGAGCTGGTAAACCAATGGTTACCAACTGTGAGGCTACCAAGAAGAGAACAAGCAAGGAGCTATGATAAAGGAAAGCATCAGGAATCTGGTCTGAGGGTACTCAGATAAACCTCGCATAGGTTACTTTTCAATCTAGGCATGAAAGGTGAAGAACCAGCCAAGTGATGTGTGAGAGAAGGGAATGGGGAGCCTGAGGAGTGGACTGGCAAGCCTATGATGCAGAAGAGAGAGGATATGCAAGGGACCTAATGCAGGAAAGAGCTTTGTGTGTTCAAGAGCTAAAAATAAGACAGACAAATCTATAAAGACAGTAGATAAGTGGTTGACTTGGACTGGGGAAACTGGGGGAATAGGGAGTGATTGCTAAAGGGTACGGGATTTTTGGGCGGAGATAAGATGTTCTAAAATTGATTGTGGTGATGGTTGCCCAACTCTGTGAATATACTGGAAACCATTGAATTATATATTTTAAATGGGTGAATTGTATGATAGGTGAATTATAACTCAATAAAGTTATTAAAAAAATTAAACACCTGAATATTTGGAACTTAAGAAGCAAGGGTGGTGCAGAGAGAATGAGATGAAGTTGGAAATTCTCAAGCAGGCTCACATCAGCTGGGGCCTACAGATCTAGGTAACAAAGTCAGATTTTATTCTAGGTAAGACAAGAGCAGCTGCCATATTGTCTGCTGTGTGGATTTGGGGTGGAATGAGAAGGCAAGGGTGGCAGGAGAGAGAGATCAGTTAGGAAAATGTTGCAATAATCTAGGTGAGATGGGGGTTAAGATCAGGTGGTGAAAGTGGGGATGGAGAGAACTGGGGATTTGAAATATTTTAAAGCATGTGATTGATGGGAATTGATGAAGAATTGAATGCAGGGAATGAGGGAAATGATCCATCAAGGAGAATGCCTTCCAACTTGTATTCTTTCCCAACTGCAGCTTCTAGATTCTGAAGCAGGAAACACAAATAATCAGAGCCTGTGGCCCTTTTAACCCAGGCCTTCCCTTAAGAATTTTGTTCAGGGTCAGAGACTGAAATGGTGAAGAGGCTCTGCTATAATCTCTAATAAATCCCTCTCCCATCATTCACACATACTCCCTTCTTTTCTCATCTGGATTTGTTGCAAGACCCAAAGATCCCAACAGTCCTTCCTGGGTCTTGCAAACTGTAGAGGATCTCTTCATTTTATTTAAGTTGTGTTAGAAAAAAATAGTGATTAGGCAAAGAGAAGAGGATGAAGAGCCCAGTAAACAGGTGTCTGAATGCTTCACACTTCCTCGGGAACCTGTCTGCATCTTCATCATCTGTACTACAGTCCCACTTGGCCAAAAGTGAAGTGTGGGCTAGGCTGGCCTACATCAGAATAACTGGTTTGTTTGACTTCTAAGGAATCCTGGATTACTAAGCTCTAGGCAAAGATTCCCTCTCTGTGTGGCCACAGTGATTATAACCACTTGCTGGTCCTGGAATCAGAGAACTCTCAGAGGACAGCCTACATCTAACAGCAGCTCCTCCGAGTCTAGAACCTGACCCTTTCCTTTCACTGGCTGCCTCCTCTATTATCCATATGGCTCTTAGGCCAAGAATAAGTCTTTACTCTTCCCTGTTCACACCTCTGTCCTCATATTTCCCATCTGTCTCTTCTTGAAGCTGAGGCTGGAGCATTGAAATAGTGGAATAGCTCAGGGCTGGTCTGATGGTAGTGGGTTATCAGTGGTTGTTTCACTAAAGCTGGTATACAACACCCACTCCTAAATTTGCCTGGCTTTTTTGAAAAAGAGAAAAAAGCACAGACTTTGGAGGCAAACAGAATCTCCCTGCTCTAACTAGCTGGGTTCTCATGGCGAAGGTACATAACTTCTCTGGGCCTGTTGTCACATACTCCTGCTTAACGAAGAGCTGCAAACAAAACATGGATAGAAAGAAATATGAATAAAATAGGATGCAAACCCAGAGTTGGTGGCTTCACTCATTCAAGAAACAGCTATTGAACACCTACTCTAGGTTCAGGTTCTGCAGGTGGTGAGGATATTATGATGAGTAGAACTCACGAACCCCTGCCCTGGGGAGCTTATGTTTTTTTTCTTTCTCTAACGTAAACAAACTGTGGTACAGTATATATACAGACAAGTGCACAAATATTGTGTCAGCTTGATGAGTTTTTGTATATGTATATACCAATGTAACCACTGCCCAGATAAGGAAATAGAAATATTTCCAAAATGCCAGGAGGTTTTTTTCATGTTTCTACCCAGTCAATACTACCCCTGCTCAGAGGTAAACACTGTCCTTACTTCCATGACCATAGACTAGTTTTGCTCATCTTGAATGCATATAGATGAAATTACATAGTATACGCTCTTTGGGGTTGCTCTTTTTGTGTTTGGCTTCTTTTATTAAGGAAAAATTTCTGTAAGGATCACCCATGTTATTGCAGTATCACTAGTTTGTTCTTCTTTATTTTCATATAACATTTTATTGAATGCATATATAATTATTATTCATTCTACTGCTGACAGATAATTGGTTTGTTTCCATTTTAAGATTTTATAAATAAAGCTGATATGAACTTTTTTTTTTTTTGAGACAGAGTCTCTCTCTGTTACCCAGGCTGGAGTGCAATGGCACCATCTTGGCTCACTGCAACCTCTGTCTCCTGGGTTCAAGCAATTCTCCTGCCTCAACCTCCCGGGTAGCTAGGACTACAGGCACATGCCACCAGGCCAGGCTAATTATTGTATTTTTAGTAGAGATGGGGTTTCACCATGTTGGCAAGGCTGGTCTCGATCTCCTGACCTCAAGTGATCTGCTTGACTCAGCCTCCCAAAGTGCTGGGATCACAGGCATGAGCCACTGCGCTCAACCTGATATGAACATTTTTATACCTGTCTTTGGTGGACTTATGCACTCATTTCTCAGATAGATAGATAGATAGATAGACAGATAGATGACAGACAGATATTTCAAAGTAGAATTGTTAGTAATGGTAATCTTTGGTAACCTTGGTACACACTGCCAAACAATTTTCCAAAGTGGTTGTAACAATTTACATACCTCCCAGCAATGTATGAGATTCCAATTGCCACTGGGAAGAGGGACAGTCTCTAAATATAAGAAGTTACATTATATAGCATGTTAGAGGTGAGAAATGCTATGGGAAAATAAAACAAGAAAAGAAAGACAACTTCAGAGTCTGTGTTCCACTATGTGTCCCTATTTATCTTTTTTAACCATTTCACATGTAACATATTCAGAGATGATTTAGTCATCAGTTAAAGGAAAAAATATTTGTTGGATATCTACTATGTATCCAGCACTACGTTAGAGGGATAGAAAGTGTTAGGCAAGGTCTATGCTTTTAGGGAGTTGAAAATATGGAGGTGAGTCACAATGGGCAGCTGATCCAATCTGAAAGTGAGCGGCATTGCCCTGGGACAGACTGTCAATGTGACAGGAGATGCGGTGAGGGAGAAAAAAGTGTCAACTAGGCAACGAGGGGAGACTCCAGAAGAGAGATAGACATGTGTCAGAATACAAACTCATTCTTCACATTTTCCACCTATTTAAATCCTCTCCCTTTTTTTGTGTTCAAAAAGACCTCACAATATCTTTGTGCAGCCATAACCTACCTTTTCTGGGAGGTTCGCGACCCATACATCACTTGAGATTTCAATAGCCTTTGGTGCATTCGTTCCTACAATAGACACTGATCTCTGGCCTTGTGCCAGGCACCTTTCTAGAGGCCAAAATATATACAAGTCTCTGCCCTCAAAAAGTTCATGGTCTAGTAGGAGAGAGAAAATAGATGTACAAATAACTATAACAAAAGAGGAAGATAAATGTCATAAGAGGGGTATTAGTGAAACATTTTAGGGGTTTGGGTGGGAGAGAGATGTTGAGAGATCAAGTAGCTAAAATTTCACATAAACAGTACACATGCACCCTCTGTAATACACACACACCACCCCCCCAACACACACACCCAGAATTAGCTGTTTCTGCAGCCAGAAGCAGAACCCATAGTTGGCTGAATGGCTGTGTCTTTTCTACTTTGTATGTTTCTGTCTCACACCCTGAGAGCTAATTCTCCAAATGCTGCCCAGAAGGAAATTGCCTTCATTGTGGTCCCTGCCATTCTATTGTAAGGATCTAGCAAGTCCCAAAGCAACCTAGGAAGTAGTAAACTCTTCAGCTCTGACTGGTGCCTGCTTGGCGAACTGAAATGTGGTGTATGGAGAGGGGAGAATATGGAAAGGGGATGTGGAAGGAGAAGAAGGCAGGTGGAGTGAAGGAAGAAAAAGAAAAGACCCTGAGAAGAAGGCTTCAGATACCACTGCTATGGTCTAGAGTCAGCAGGAAAAGCAGCTCAAGATTTCCTCTATGTGCTGTGCTTTCATAGAATATGAAACTGGCGATTTAGAAAAAAATTATGCAGACGATGGAGCTGGCTCTGGCCCTAAATGAGTCCCTTCTTTGTCCTTCTGTTTTTGTGTGTGTGTGTGTGCGTTTTTCTTTCTTTCTTTTTCTTCTTTGAGACAGGGTCTCACTCTCTCACCCAGGCTGGAGTGCAGTGGCGTGATCTCGGCTCACTGCAACCTCCGCCTCCCAGGGTCAAGTGATTCTCCCGCCTCAACCTCTGAGTAGCTGGGAGTACAGGTACGTGCCACCACGCCCGGCTAATTTTTTTGTATTTTCAGTAGAGACAGGGTTTCAACATGTTGGCCAGGCTGGTCTCGAACTCCTGGCCTCAAGTGATCCACGCAGCTCAGCCTCGCCGAAGTGCTGAGACTACAGGCATGAGCCACTGCGCCTGGCCTGTCCTTCTTCTGCTTCTGAGAACAGGAGTGAGACATCGATAGCTCTAGGCCCATCTTGTACCATGAGGCTGAGGCCACACACTCAAGATAGAGGAGTTGGAAACTGAGCTCAAAGGAGCCATCAGGGAAACAGCTGTCAAAGTAGCCTTGGATTGTCTATCTCCAAAGAAATATAGTCCCTGTTTGTCTAAGACACTGTTATTTCGGGTCTCTGTTATTCACAGTTCTAACTGATACAGAACTTTTTCTGATATTGCATGAGTTTATTTGACAAATTAAAATTTACAAAACAATTCCCAGATGATTACCATTATATATGAGAGCAATATGATCTTTCTTCCAATTATATTTTAAATCACAAAAGTAATTTTGTACTTTCAAACAATATGGAGATATTACAGTAAAGAGCAACAATTTCTCTTTGAAATTCTCATCCTCCTCCTCCCTTACCCATCCTATTTATTCCACTCTCAGCTTCCAAAATAAGCATTTTCAAGTGCAGGGATCATCTTTTAGATCCTTATCTAGACATTTACAAACCTGTTGAGGACCTCACACACACTTTTGTTTAAAAAGTAGTCCTTGACGAGTTAATGGGTGCAGCACACCAATATGGCACATAGATACATATGTAACAAACCTGCACGTTGTGCACATGTACCCTAAAACTTAAAGTAAAATAAATAAATAAATAAATAAATAAAAAGTAGTCCTACTATGCATATTATTCTACAATTTCTTTTTCACTTTACAATGTGGCAGGAGTATCTGTCTGTAGTGATGTATACTTTTCAAGCACTTTGAAGTACTTCATAAGTATGGATGAACCAGGTCTAACTAAGCAGTTGCCTCTTGATAGACTTTTGTGTTGTTTTCAATTTTTAAAATCATAAATAATGCTTCAATCAACAACCATTGCAGGAGTGAGATTTTAGTAGGATGGATTTCCAGAAGTAAATATACAGGGCTTTGACTTAGGAAGTAGACTTTTACACTTTTTTAAGAGTTGAAAGTCACATAGCAATTTAGGTTGTGTTGCCCCACAAGAGCAGCTACAAGATGGCAGAACTAAAGAAGGAGGTAGGGTTAGTGGGAACGTCAAGTGTCAAGTTCAACCTCTTGGCCTTAGGGGGCCGGAAAAGGAGATGTTCTGTGAACTGAGGGAGGCCTCACATGTCCAGTGAATGGACACAGCTGGCCTTGTGGTCAGCTGAGCTGATTGCCTCCACCCCCATGTATCTTCTCTGCCCAATTTCAAACATTATTCTTTGTGGCTGAGTGAACACTAGGATCTGGACTCAGGAAAGGAAAAGTCCTTCCCAGGGACAGTTATACAAGTCTGCCATTGCTTTACATTCCTCTCATCATAACTGATTTTAACAAACAATTCAACTCTCTGCTGAATGATGTTCGTTTTAAGAGTGCCCTACTCTGGGATCAGTACACACCATCACATTGGCTCATGGTTCTTGTCTTCACAATTTCCCAAGAGCAATGACTGAAGCCAGCCCAGGGCACATTTTGAGCAGGAGACTTTGGATCTATAAAGGCCAACTATTTCAGGCGGGAGGCCAGAAGCTTCCTAACCAAACAAGTGTAAACTTCATTTTCTTTTGCAGTCAACCATTTCCTTTCATCCCAATCTATTTCTGGAGCTCTGGGAATAGGTCACATCCTTCTCAGCACATTGTTGTTCAGCAGAAGTCCGTGAATTATTGAACCAGCCTGGTGCCTTCAAACTCTGGACCAGAGGTTCTTGACCTTTACTTGGTCCATGCATCCACTTGGCAGCCTGCTGAAGCCCACGAACTCCTTCTCGGAAAAATGTTTTTAAATACTTGACATCAAATATGTGAGATTACAAATGAAACAAGTCATGTAGAAATATAATTATTAAAATACTAAAAGCAAAGGTGTGACATAGTATGCATGCCTTTTATTAACATTAAATAATATTTAGCAGCAGGCATAATAAGCATCATTTTGAAGCAGTGATACGTGTGAGCAAATTTCAAGATGTCTGCAATAACTGAAAAGTGGTATGAATGCATCTGTCATTTCTACAGATGACAAAGTCAAAGGTACTGCTAATATCACTGTGGTCTGTTGCCTACTCTCATAAAGGAAATACTGAATTTTAGTTAGAGGTTAATGAAAAGAAAGATGCAATTTTTTTCCCACACAAGATCACAGACCCTAAACTCTTTAATGTAAGAATCCCTAAATTATCTTGCCTGCTGGACCTCTCACCCTGATGTCCCATAGGCAACTCCAATTCAAACAAGTGGAATGGGCTCATCATCTCATCTACTCCTCCACTCCCAATCTCCGTGGCTGCTCCACCCAAGCCCGTAGCCTGGGCTGGCTACGAGGCTGCATTCTCCCTCACTCCCACAGCCACTCCCCTCGTTGGCTTCCCTCCTGTAAGTCTCTTCACCCTCCACTGCTATTGCCTTGGCTTAGTCTCAACTGGCTGGACCTTGCAATGGCCTGCCATCTGGTCAGCCTCAGCCCCCTGCCCCTCCAATCTCTCCTCTGCATTGCTGGGGGAGGGATTGTTCCAAAACAGCAATAGTTTACAGTTTTAACATGATTAAAACCTTCTGTGACTGCAGGGCAGAGCCCAGTCTTTTTAATGTGGTGTAGAAGGCCTTCTGAAATCTTGCCCCTACCATGTTTGTGTCCCGGTCACTTGATGCCCTCACCAACACTCCAGATTCCAACCGTCAAGACCACGACACACTCCCTCCTTCACCCTGCTGTCCCAGTCAGTGCCGACTCATCTTGCAAGACTCCATTCAAGGGCCACGTTTTCCCTGAACCCTTTCTTATTGATCTACATCCCCAACCCTATCTTGCATGTATGAGAGCACATGCGCGCACGTGCACGCACACACACACACACAGAGTTAATTGACCATTTTCTCCTTTTTTTTTTTTACCACATCCAGTAAATATAAATATTTCCAGCAGTAGCAATTGCATGTCTTTATTTTGCTTGTTTGTTAATGTGACAATCTTTTTCCACTAGACACTAAGAGTCCTTCAAGGGCTGGTACCATGTTTTTGTTTTTGTTTGTTTTCCTTTGATTCTCTAACATCTAGCACAGTATCTAACACACAGAAAATTCTTCTTATGTGTTTGGGTTTTTAAAAAATGACAACCAAAGAATGAATAAATTAATGAGGAGAGAGAAGTACACCTATAATTTATTTAAATAAAGTTTCGATTGTAGCACAGAATCATATTAAAGAGTATTGTGGAGATAAAAACACAGCCCCTCTGCAATGTAATTTATTCTTCAACCATTCTGTTGGGCATGCTCCTCAGAGATGAAAGAACTAAACGATGGAGGAGGTCTATATCCTGCTTCGTGTCTGAAGTTTGTTAGAGAGAATCTAGAACTCCATCCTCGGTACCACTGCTGATTTGCTGTGAAATATGTTCTGGGAAATATAAGGCATTGCTGACCCCAGGAACAAATGTTTTTCTGCCAGTAAGTAAGAATTCTAATCCTGTTTGAAACCAATTCCAGGTTTGGAGAGTCAAGGAGATCATTGAGTCAAAGTCTCATTATGTCTAACAGAACAAAATCATATTTTTAGCCTTCTACTTCATCACATCTGTGTTTTCTATCTTCTGACATTCTTACTTCACCTCTAGTCTCTCTTGTTGGCTCAGTATTTCTTCTTAAAGAAATATTCTTCCCACTCACTACATTAATTTGTAAGCAGCCACTGGACAGGACTAAGCTATCCATGCAATTATCCACTGGTAACTGCAGAACTTCTACCCAAATGAAGCATGGTAGGAATGGAATGATGACCATTCTCGTTTTCTAGAATTCTTCCAAATGAGGAGGAAAATTTGATATTTTTTCTTTAGTCAGTTCCATGCTCAGTATAGTATTAGGTTGGTGCAAAAGTAATTGCGGTTTTTGCCACTACTTTCAATGGCAAAAACTGCAATTTCATTTGCACCAACCTAATATTATTCTATGGGCTAACAGTGTTTGTGAGTTTTTATGATCACTATTTGGGGACTACTATCTTCAGAAATATTGTTGCATTAAGATCCCTTGCTGTGTGCCTCTGGCCAGCAGGACTTTCCTTTGGCTGTGAACTGTATGTGAAGTAGCTGGGCAGATGCAACGGCTTTCACTAACTCACTAGAGCAGTTGGCTCCCTTGTTAGGAAGACCCTCATTATCACTAACTTGAGAACTGCTGCCAGGTATAAGACAAATGTGTTGGTGCCATAGTCATTCATCAAATGAAGGGAAAGAGTGACCTTTGCCATCTATTAGGATGAGATGGAATGCTTTGGTGTCAGCTCAGCTAAAGTGGTATATGTGCCCATACCTATCCATTCAAACCCAGAGTCAGGGAATTGTTAGGAGTCATTTGACTGAGCTTTCTGCTCCTGCACAGATGAGTGTTTTATACAATTCAGACTCTAGTTCTAATAGTCCAAAGCCTTTCATTATTGCCTGGCCTGAGAGAGACTTCTCATTCAGTGCCTTCCATTCTTTTAAGGACAAGGGACGTCTTTTGCTAAATGTTGGAATACATTTAGTTGCAGCTTCTCAAAGAAAAAACATCTCTCACCAGAGCTAGCTATCTTTAGCGAGGTCTTCCCTATGTCTTTTTTTGGAAACATGAAGCATATATTTCTCTGGCTAATTGGTATTTCAAAAGCAAGCTCAGAAACAAGGCAAGGACTCCAGAAAGTTTTTGTAGAAATGTTTATTTTTGATGTAGCCAAGGCAATTTAAACACACACTTAATCAGAAGCAGGGATAGGTTGGAAAATAGATCTGAGGTCTCAAGAATTATCGGACGAGCAGACTAGAGAAGTCCTAGGAATATTTTCTGGACATGGGATTGTGGGCTAAGCAAGTGAATTCAGCAAAGGAGGTCACAGGAGTGGATCCTGTCAACTCACCTTCCCGCACCTCCACCTCCACATTTACCTGCTTTGCTCCTTTCCTGCCAACCGGCCCACTAATCCTGAAACCCACCCCATTGCAGGAGCTGGTTTCCTTAGAGACAAAACTAGGGCCAGAGAAAGTAAGTGTGCCGACAGGGCCAGGGTATTGGATGCTCCAAAGTAAGAAATGGTGCTGAGCCATAGGCTGAGGCTCCATGGGGCAAAGCCACTGCCAGAGCCTTGTGCCAGGGAGAAAGTCAAGGAGTACCAGGTTCCAGGAGTGAGAACCAAGCACAAAGACCTGTGCCCAGAGATGCCAGGCCGAAGGGTAAGGGAGAGCAGATCCCAGGTCACTAGCTCCAAAGTCCACGGATGCAACGGCTTATTCAAGAAAGGCTCAGCACTCATAGAGCATGGGCTGAGATGAAATTGGAAGCACTTACTATTTTTCAGCTGTACCTTTCATATATGAGTCAAAGAAATTCATGAGTAGACACTAATTCCCTTCCTTGTATTAGAAACAGGCATCTCTCTATCCTCTATTTCAAAGCTGAGGCCTTCCTCAGCACGCTGGATTCCATGTCCCTCTGCCTTCCCTATTACTGTGCACTAAATCACTCTCTCTGGCTCTGCTATCCTCAATCTTTCTCCCTTGGATCTTTCATATCATCCTATAAACCTATCCCATTTCCCCACACCGGGAAAACCAATGATTTCTTAAATGCTGCCTTCTCCCTTAAGTGACTTAGAGAAAGAGAGAGAGAGAGAGAGAGAGAGAGAGAAAACTCTGCAATGATGCACGTATACATAGGTCATAAAATTGATTTTTCTAATCCAGAAAATTATGACAAAGGTCCAGATGAAGAGGAGCGAGATAGTATACAGTTGGCTTCTGGGCAATTGATATTCTATATCTTAACCTGAGCAGTGAGCATTCAGTATTTATTTTTTAATTTGTTAACTGAACACATAGGTTATATGGAATTTTCTATGGGTAGGTTGCATTTGTAAAATTTAGGAAGTTTTTGAAAACTGAAAGAACAAAACAGCAACAAATCCTGTGCTGGGGGTTCTGTCTCTTCTCCCTCTGGCGACCTTCCCTCTGTATTGTCTGTTCTTTCTCAGGCAGGTTTTCTACACAGCAAGAAAGTTTGCCATGAGCACACCTCACAGTTTGCAATGAGAGTGAAAAAGGGCACGTTTTCCCTGAGATTTGTATATCAGATCTCTGGGAAGACATTCATTGGTCTGCATGTGTTTATGCCCACATTCAGTCGTGTGCCGGTAACCTGGCTCTCGGCAAGGAGGGAGGGACTAATTTTTAGTGTTTGCTAATTTCTGTGGTGTAAATACCTCCACCATGGCTAATTTCAAGCTACTGATGTAATGCCACTTGTGAAGTGGAAGGAGCCCATTCTAGCACGTCACTGCCACATCGCCGATCAAGTCACTGTGGCCAGGGTGATGAGACACATACTCTGTCCATCCTGGAGCAGGAAGCATAGCATAGTTTGGACAGGACACCATGAAGGTTTACTTCAACAGAATTACATGCAGCAGGGAGGTGTGGCTGGCCAAAGGAAATAAAGAACTAACACCAGAAAAAAGGAATGAATGCTGTGCAGCTGAAAAAGCACATGCCCATTGGACTTTAATTTTTTCCTTTTCCCTTCCCTCTTCCCATTCTCTGTGTTTGGTCTGCATGATCTCATCCATCTCCATGGCATCAATTCTCATGAAGTAATGATATCCAAAATCTTCAGTCCTCTCCTGGCTTCTGAGCTCCATCTTCACATTTCACCTGTCAATTGGATATCTCCATCTGCACGGTCCCAGCAACCACAAACCATGCATATTGTTAAGTGAATTCATTCTCCCTCCCCACAAGCATGTTGCTCTGGTTCACTAGTTAAAGACTTCAGAGTCATCTCTGTCTCACTTCACTCTCCCTCACTCCTATCTCCCCACGAACAGCCCGAGTCCTATTGATTTGTGCCTCTACAATATCTGTGAGATATATCCTTCTTCTCCCCTTTCCAGTGCCATTGCCCGAATTTAAACCTGCACTGTCTTGCACCTTGATTTTTAGAGTGACCCCCTTCCTGCTTTCCAAGCCTCCTCCCATCCATCCAAACTTTAAACAACACAACTTTTAAAAAATACAAGTGTGATTATGCCCTATCCCTGGGTCAAGACTGTAAAGGCTCCCTGTGTCCATAGGATGAAATTCAGATCCTAACCCAGCACACCAGGCCTTTGACACCTGCTCAATCTTCATCACCTGGTCACACCAGGCATTCTCATGCTCCTTGGCTTTTACACGTGCTGTTCTTTCTGCCCGGAATTCCTTCCCCATCCATTGTTTTTACTGGACTCTTGCTCATCTTTCAAGTCCCAACATAAAATTGGATCCCCTCTCATTACCCACCCTCAACCATAGAACTATCTAGGCTCCAACATCTTGTGATCCAAACCTTAATAATAATACTTACATTGTGTTATAGTTAGCCATTTATTAATAAATGTTTTGGATGAATGGAATGAATGGGTGGATGGATGAATGAATGAATAAATGAATGAATTCTGGATGAGTAATGAACAGGAAAGGCAAATGGATAATACCCACCAAGCTCTGCAGTCCTGGAGGTTTCTGTTCAGTGATCAAAACCCCTGTTCTCCCTTATAAGCAGTAAAAGTTTTATTTAAGTGTTAAAAATTAAAAAAAAAAAACAGTAAATTATCTACGCAGAGTCTTGACAGTTAGGACCATAAGCTCATCAAATAATTGGGTGAAAGATGCTGAAAGTTCAAGAAGAACACATTTCCTTTTGAAAAAGCATCTGCATTTACACCTTATGTTCAGATAAACACATTTTTCTCCATTTCACTTATAATCAATATGTTTTAATATTAAAGAATTATTTTTGAGATATACCTTCTGCATCCGTCTGCTAGGAGGTACAGTGCTCCATGATGTAACAATAAAACCTTTTTGTAGTAAAGCTGGGATCACCATGAATCCTGAGGCATTGTCAGCTTTTTGTGTGATTCAGTCTACTAAAGTGAAGGGGTATTAACTTCATTTTCTCTCACTGTGCCAAAAGACAAATTTAGGCACAAGAAAAGGCAAGTTTGACTCAAAGGAACATAATTTGATCAGCGTGCTCCTGTTTCTTACTCTAGCTTCTAGGACACACTTGCCTTCTTAAGAAGGATTAAATAACTTCAAGTGGAAAATTAAGTAAAGAGAACTGATTACCACAGAAATAAGGATCTTGTTATTATGTAAATGGTAAGACTGAAGGAGAAAAACTAAAACACAAAACCAAGGATAGACTGTGGAAGGAAAATTGAATCCAACTACAGTGTTTATCAAAATTTCATCTGCCAGTTTTAAGTTCTATAGGATAATATGGTTTTAAATTTTCAGGTCATCTTTGGCTGGGCACGGTGGCTAGCACTTTGGGAGGCCGAGGCAGGCAGATCACAAAGTCAGGAGATCGAGACCATCCTGGCTAACACGGTGAAATCGTGTCTCTACTAAAGATACAAAAAATTAGCTGGGCATAGTGGTGGGTGCCTATAGTCCCAGCTACTTGGGAGGCTGAGGCAGGAGAATGGCGTGAACCTGGGAGGTGGAGCTTGCAGTGAGCCAAGATCGCGCAACTGCACTCTAGCCTGGGAGACAGAGTGAGACTCTGTTTCAAAAAAACAAAAAAAATTTCAGGTCATCCTCTAGTTATAATTTCCTTCTTCATATTCATATTAACATTTGGGTATCTTAAACATGTAAATGAAAATCATCAATAAGCCTCAACTAAATTATAAGAGCAAATACTTGATCCTAGATTGAAGTTCCTTATGGCCCAATCTTTATCTACTGCAATAAAGGTCTGTGGCAGGAATAGGAAATATATGGGAGTTTTGCCATTTTTCTCTTCCTCCCATGCCCAAGGTCAACAACAAAGAATCATAGCAGCACTTTGGGAGGCTGAGGCAGGCAGATCACCTGAGGTCAGGAGTTCAAGACCGGCCTGGCCAACATAGTGAAACCCCATCTCTACTAAAAATACAAAAATTAGCTGGCTGTGGGGCTCACGCCTATAATCTCAGCTTCTGGGGAGGCTGAGGCAGGAGAATTGCTTGAACCTGGGAGGTGGAGGTTGCAGTGAGCCGATATCGCACCACTGCATTCCAGCCTGGGTGACAGAGCAAGACACTGTCTCAAAAAAAAAAAAAAAAAAAAAAAAAAAGAATCATAGCATTTGTTATTGTGATCTGTATGCCAGTCTTCGAATCTTCAATACAACATTATCCGTGGCGGTCACCAGTAATGTATCACTGTTAGCCCACATTTCAGTCAGGGATGAGCAGGAAGCAGCTGGTAGATTCAAACTAGTAATTTTAAGGGTGCTTAATACAGGGACTATTGTTAACCTTTATCACTCTTAGGCCTGAAGGGACAAGTGGTTACAAGAATCTAGAAGGAGTGGCTACATGGAGAAGGCGTTTGACAGGAGCCTTTGGTGGAGAGAAGCAGTCTTTGCAATCAGACAAGGAGGGAGCTGGGGAATCCATACCCAGACCTCACTCTCCTCCCTCCTCCAGTCTCCTGCCAGAGTGTTCCATTAACCAAGCACAGTTGGTTCTGTTGCATGAAGCAGGGTGGAGAGTAGATTTGGAAAGGACAGTGGCAGACATCTGATTGAGATAGGGTTGAAAACATGCTGCCATTTATAATTTCCCTCATTGTGCTGTCTTTGCATGTGAGCACAAAGACAAAACAGATGCCGATGCTAGGATGTCATTGACTTTTCATGTCTTCATTTCCCAGTGGTTAGGCAGGAGTGAGCCTGCAGACCTCTAAGACAGATGATGCAATTCTCCAAGCTTAGCATTCTAAACCAATTGAATTGTTGGCAAAAGACTACCAGCCGATGCTTTTAGAAAGATGTGATAGACTATTTTGTTTCTAACATGTCTCAAGCAAAGCACCCAAGAAAAATTTCCTCCTCTTTTTCATCTGTCTGCAGATGGGATCCTTGTTTCTCCGGAGTCATCTGCAAGTGTTACTGATCTCCCCATCTGAAACCCCAGTCAGTGGAAGAGAGTGAGATTTCAGGGGAGTTTATTCATATCCAGTCTATATATTTTTGATTGAAACCTGATATCTTGACTCCAAGTGTCTCGTGATCTGCCGTCACCCAAATGTGTTTTTGAGGCTTCATCCCAGTGGTGTTTTCTTGTGCTGCAAATAGAAAGCTGATGCTTTCTTTCCTGTTGTGGAAAATGTTTGTATGTCAGTTTTCAGAAATAAATATTCTAAAACTGTCCATGGAACATTCTAGGGTGAATCTTAAGAGTGGAGAAGGCCTTGTTTAAGTAGGGTTTGGTTAGCATCTGGCCTGGATTTAAATGATCACATTAGGAGAGCAGCCTGTGAAATTTCAGCTTAATTAACTATAATATTAACTATTAGTGCAAAGAAAAATGGGAGAAAGAGAGGAACACAGTGGGGAAAGGAAAAGGGAGAGGCAGAAGCTGGGAGACTGACTAGATTCGAGGAAGAGAAGAGGAAAAGTTCAATGCAGGTGCTTAGAGAAAACCATCAAAGATTGGAAGAGAACTAAGGGTTCAGTGACAGGGAGGCTAAGGGATGAAAAATTCCCAAAGGAAGGCATCCAAAGTGAGAGATTTCAATAGAATAATTAGGCTAGATTGCCATAAAAAGACATAAAGGTATTGAGTTTTAGCATCTCGTCCAAAAAGTTTGACACAGTGAAACTTAAGAAATGCAGCAGTGGCTTAATGGATAGCAGGCATTTTTTAAAATTTGAGGCATGAGGCTAAATATGAGCTTGAACATGTGAGAAGAGGTTCCCATTAAAGACATGGGAGGAAGTGGCATCGTGGACACACACAGAAAGGTTATCTTGGAAAGATAAGGGACACAGCTTCCTGCCTCTGAGATCAGAGGAAGGAGGGTGGAATAAACATGAAGCAAATCTGATGCAAAGGGTAGAGGAGTTGAGGAAGTTTACCTAGGATGGCCTCCCTCTTCTCACTAAAGATTGCTAATGAAAGGAGCTAGGAGCTCTGAAAGTAGAGGAGTGCCACTTTAGATCATGTACTTGGAAAAGCTGATCTGTAAAAAGTCGTAAATGTCCACTTGGAATGCCTAAGAAGTATATTTGAGACACAGAATGAAGAGCAAGAAAACAATGCTGCTATGGAGGTGGGGGGAAATGGAAGCTTGTTTTGAAAGCAAGCAATCCCAAAGACCAAAAAAAAAAAAAAAAAAAAAAAAAAAAGCAGCTTCACATTCACACTCTAGTTGTGTGCCTAAACTTCCTTCCTTACTGATTTTTGCAATAAAATAGTAGACCAATGGTTTGGACATGTGTATACCAAAGAGAGCTCTGATAAATTAAAAGTCACCTTGGCAGAAAGCAGTGTTCTGGATCTGGAATGCCCATGGTATATCAAAAGGTTCTTTGCAGAACAACCCCACAGATCAAGGGTCTGAGGTAGGAGTTTCTGAGTTATCTAGAGAGCTAGGCTATGGACAGGGCAGGAAATTCCTTCATAAATTACCGACGTAGTATTTGCCTTTCCTAAATGATCATAGAGCAAAGTACAATGAAAATAGCACAGTGCTGGGCTCTGAGAGTCCAGAGTTCAAGTCTGGGACCCCTACTTACTATATGGGCAAGTTACTTAATCTCTCTGAATCTGATCTATAAGATCTAGATAATCATACCTACCTCATAGAACTGTCAGAATTGGATGACATAATAAATTCCCCTTCTTCTTTCCCTACCTGCCTGAACACTTCGAAAATTTCAAATTCTAAATTGTGGAAAAGAGTGTATTTGTTATATCCATCATGATTCTATAAACATCTCTCTTAAAGATTTAAGGATGAGTTTTTTAAAGTCATGAAAGTAGAGAAAGGAATTATCAGGGACAATCTCAATGTAAATCTGGAAAAACCAGTAAGATACAGGACCTCCCTGAAGTTTCCCTGGGGTTTCCTTCGGTCTACTGTTTGCTGCGACTGCTTCCAGAGCATGCTCTCCTGAATGTCTGAAAAGAGATATGACAGGGAGGGGGAACCTTGAGAAAGAGAAAAAAGGCAGGCACTCAACGAAATCAAGATAATGGAAGGTTTATGTCTCTTCCCCTAGGAATGACAGAATTGGGTATGTGAGACTTCCTCAGAACTGTCTAATCTGGGTGTCAGGAATTTGTTTCTAGAAAGACAAGCCCAGTCCTAGGATAGCAGAGCCATCTATTCTGAAAAGTATGATAAGTTAGGCACAAAACTAACAATAGCTGCACAACTCATTAGGTTTCCTAGTCACAAAATTCTCAACATTGACATTCCTTAGCTTTGTAAAAATGTTGAAAGCAACCTCTTTGCATGAAAAGCACACTACTTCAGCAAGAAAATGGAAGTGATGAGAGAAGAACTGTCATGAGGTTTCTACCTTGCATCTGCCAGCCTACCTGCTGCTGGCCTAGCCTCTACCTTCCCCTATCACTGTGATGACCTAGCCTTGCTCCTGCCCTCAGCCAAAGTCTCCACCTGGGTGCTGGTTCCACTGTCCATTGTACCCAAGGACATTTGCTCCAGCAATTCCCTGCCGCCTCCATCCCCAACCCTGCACCTTCAAGTTCTTCTCTACAGTGGCAGTCCTATCAACTTATAAACATGCTGTTCTTTCCTAAAAATAATTCTCTTCTCTCCCTACTTCCTCTTCCAGTTATATCCCATTTCCTCCTGTCTTTAAGAAGAAAACCCCTTGAAGGAAACATCTGTTCTTGCAACCTCCAGTTGCTTCTCTCTCTTTCTCTCTCTCGTGAACCCAGTTTGGGACCCCCACCTCTCCACTCACACTACTCAAGGTCACCAATGGTCAAGAACACTGCTAACTCTAATGTAACTTCTCAGACCTCCTCTTAATTGACCTATGGGCAGCATTTGGCAAAGTTGGATGCTTTATGCCTTGAAACACTTTTCTCTCTTGCCTCCCAGTTTCTCCCGGTGTTCCCCCAACCTCACTGGCAGTGTCTTCCTCATCCCTCCAAACTCTAAATGTTGGACTTGCCCAGGGCTCATCTCTTGATACTTCGCTTTTGTAATTGCATTTACTGTCTTGGCAAACATTTCCAGTCTTACAACTTTAACACCACCTCTGTGCTGATGACTCCCAAAATTGTATCTTCACTCTGGACCTCTCCATTAAACTCACAACCATCTACCCACTTGACTCTCCAATTGGATATCTAATTGATGTCTCAAACTTAACATGTCTGAAACCGAGATCCTCGCATTCTTCTTGAAACTATCTTTGCCTGCAGTCTCCGGTTGTTGGCTACTCCATTCTTCCAGTTGTTTCAGCCCAAAGATCCTGAGGGCATCCTTGACTCTTTCCTCTCTCACACTCCCTATATATGATCTGTAGGCAAATACTGTTGGATCATATATATATATATATCTATATCTATCTATCTATCTATCTATCTATCTATCTATCTATCTGTCATTCCTAGGGGAAGAGACACCAGGGTCTTTGCACTTGCTGTTCCCTCTGGATTGCTCCTCTGCCAGGTATTCTTATGGCAAGATCCCTCACTTCCTTAGTTACTCCATCTTAGTTACTAGTTTTTTTATATATATAATAAATTATATATATATTTTTAAATTATATATTATATAATATATAAATTATATATATTTATAAATTATAAATAAAGTATATAAAATATATATATATATGTCCTTCACATTCTTCACATCACCCTCTTGCTACCATTCTGTTTCAACTCTTCATCATCTCTCACTGCTGTGGCAGTCTCTAGTCTCTCTGCTTCTATCCTTGCCCTCTGAGGTTTCTTCTCAACCTAGCAGCCAGGGCTATTCTGTTAAAAAACATAAAGTTCAATCATGAGACTCCTCTGCTCAAAACCTTCCAAGGATTCCCATCTCATCCAGAATAAAAGTCAAGTCTACATGATGATGCCCTCTTATCCCTTGACCCCGTTTCCTACTGCTTTCCCCTCAATTATGCCAATGTAACCACACTGGCCTCTTTCCTGTTCTTCAAACAACTGAGGTGTGCTTCTGCCCCAGCGTCTTTGCACTTGCTGGTCCCTCTGGATTGCTCCCTCTGCCGGGTATTCTTATGACAAGATCCCTCACTTCCTTAGTTACTCCATCTCAGTTCCTAGTTTCTTCTAAGGGCTTGATTAGGCTTGGACATCACCAAATGCTAGTTACTCTTCTTTCATCAGATCGGCTTCCTCCATATCAGTTCTGTTCTCATGCCTTTTGTAGTCATTCAGATGTTTGCCAGCAGCTTCCAAGATTATATCCTTCCAAGCTTGAATACAAGAGGAATTGGCAAAGCCTTTGTCCCTTCATTATTAGCAAGCATCTAGCAATTTAGAAGCACAAATCCTTTCCATCTTAGGAAAGCCTATCCTGCTTTTCTGCTTCATTTTTCCCCTCATTATTGTTTATCACTACGTAACTATACATTTTACTTACCTTGTTTGTCGGCTTCCTCACTAGAACATATGTCCCACAGGGTCAGACATTTTTCTCTGTTTTGTTCACAACTTTATTCGAGCACCTAGAACAGGACCACTCATGTAGTATTTGTTGAAAATTTGAAGAAATTGATTTTATTAATTGAATATATTTGAGTAACCAAACATATTGCCATCCAATATTTTTAAAGGTATTTGGGGAGAAATATGGCAGAAATCTAGTTTAAACTTATGCCAGACCTGGGAAAGATACCATGCAGTAGTAACCTTACCCATTATACTCAAGAATGAGATCTCCAAGAATAGCGTTTTCTTCGTTGCAGGCCACTGGCCAGCATCCAGCCAGACGCCTCATTGCCAATGAAAAGCCAGCTTCATGACCCTAAGGATAAGAAAACCAGTGCTCACAACTACCAAGCGAGGCATCACAGACAGGGTGGAATCACTTCTTACCGATTGATAACATCACAGTGATGGGATAATATCTCGGGGCAGTGAGGAAAGGTGCCGTGTTATGGTCTTGGTTATAGTTATGGTTATGGATAGGAAATTTGGCTCTGTCCAGTTTGTGACCCAGTCACATTTCAAGAGCTCAGGTACCTTACTTGAATTAGATTTAATGTTCCTTTTGTATGAGTGAATCATGTCTTCTTTTTTGTTTTTGTTTTTGTTTTATTTGTTTAAAGAAGGAAGCTGTACTTCAAACACCCAGGTATAAGAGATTAGTGGATAATAAATATGTGGTAGCATTTGAACTTACAAAGAAATTCAAAAAAGTTTTTTTCCCCTAAAATATTAATTAAGTGACTAGTTGTGCGATGTTAGGTAAGTCTCCTGATTTTTCGGAACTGTAATGTCCTCATCTGTAATATAGTAGGGCAGGACATATGATCACTAAGGTCAGTTTCTGCCCTTTTGTTCTTTTGTTGTGACACCAATTAACCCTTATAAGAATAAAATAATAATCTTTGTCTTATATATCTCATGTTTTGCTAATGAGGATCAAATGAAATAATGTTTCTGAAAGCTTTTGGTAAACTAAACACTTTGCCTATGCAAAACATTATTACTATTCTCTATAAGTTTGGTAAGATATGTTTACTGTCCCTAAAATATTTTTGGAAAAATATACAACTCTAATGAAGAGCAATTGTGACAATCCTAATACATAAAGTACTTGGATAACTGTCATTTAAATTTCTTAAAAGCTTCAGGTGTGGCTTGATCAGCTTTAAATGACATCACCAGAAACATTACTCTTCTTTCTTCGGGTCAGCTTCCTCCATAGCAGTTCTATTCCCATGCCTTTTGTAGTCCTAAGATGTCTGCCAGCAGCTTCCAAGGCTACATCCTTTCAAGTTTGAATACAACAAGAACTATCAGAGCCTCTGTCCCTTCTGTATAAGTAAACATCTAGCAATTTAGATGCAAACCTCCTGCAGTGTCTGTGACCTAGAGAAATGCAATATGTTTATTGGCTTAGACCTGGGCATGAGCGCTATCTGAAAGCTGGGCAGATCCCTGTCCAGCCCCGCTGGATGAGGAGTGAGTAAGGAGTGGATCCCCCAACAAAAAAAATGGTCCATTGAGAGTGTCCTTGCTGAAGAGGCAGGCCACATGTACACATTTCATACGAAAAATGTGAGCATTAACTTTTGTCATAGCTGTTGGATAACCCCTCCAATTGCCAAGAAATCTGCACGTCGTTTTTACTGTGCAAACGAGCAGGCTGTTGGGAGACTTTTGTTAGTAGAAAGCTCTGAGTTTGCAGAGTAGAGCCAAATCTCCCTCAAGAGCCCATGCAGTCTGCTGTGTTTATTTTGTTCTTGCTTTCAGGTAAGGCTGGCTGGAACAGATCAGCCATGCCGTTAACAGCCATGAGAAGTGCTGTATCATTCACAAGCTTTGGTACAGACAATTTCCAGGCACCACATTTTCCAGGGCACCTCAGTGAGGCATCACTCTCGCACAGTTCAGGGAGGAGAACTCAGTCTATCCTCCGAGAGCACATTAAACACAAGTTTGTGGGTTTGGTGGTTAGCTGCCAACAAGAAGACTGATCTCTGAATAAATAGTTCATGACAGGAGGACTCCAGAGTTCTTGGCAGAAAGAGGTGTTTCCAATACTAATGCTCCTTATGGCCGGCAAGGCGCATATGCTAAGTGGTCCATGTTTACTGGTAGTATTTGCATAAAGGATCAGCTCTCTTATTTTATTCAATGCCAAGATTTCCCAAGATGAAGGAGATGGTGGATCCTCAGCACGAATATGGTAATGTGGCTGGTGCCACTACAAACCCTGTAAACAGTGTAACTGTGGAGGCTGTACCATCAACGTGACAGGTTTTCACATGAGATTACACTGCTATGAATATGAATTTTCCTCTGTGGCATGTGAGAACTGAATCTTACAATGGAAGCTCTGCTACAAGGAGATTTGGTTAAGCTGTCAGACTGTTAAATAAGTGGTCTCTTACAATTTGTTTATACCTCTACTGAGCACAACGTTTCAATAAAGAAGGAGAATTTTAACTGCCTGAAGGGAAATGGGAAAGAGATTAGAGAGTCTCTGTTGGTGGCTGACCTTTATCTCATTTCAGGGACTTTATTTTTCTAAGCATTGAGGAGCAAATAGTAAGAAAGTTGCTTCTAAAGATTCTGAGGAAAACCCCACATCTGTTAAAATAACTAAATGAGCCCCTGTTAGCCAAATCAGGGGCTTTCTCACACTAATTTGTAATGGGAAATAGGAATTAAGGTCCACAGTGGCAAAACGATTTTACCTTTTTCCTACTTTCACTGTGATGCCTTGTGATTTAATATGACTCTAAACTAGTCTCTCGTGTGAAGGCAAGGTTAAAGAACGAGAAAGAATGAAAACTCCTAAGGTCTGGGGTTCACAGGATGTCCCTTGCAAACTATTTGCCTGCCTAAATATTTTGGTTCTTTTGGTTTTTGTGATTGCTAAATTCTGTCCCAGAGTATTTGTCACCAGAACGACTACAGAAAAATTTGGTTAACAATGAAGTGCCAAAAGCAACTGCTGCAGCTAATTCTGATGCTCCCAACAGTCAGAACCAGCTGCTCTCCATAAGGGATTCATCTGTGGCCATGTCTAAACTCCTGTATACAAAACGGTGGGAAGGGATCAGCTGAAGCATGCCAATGTAGCCTTTATTTATTCATGATGGGATTGGAAAAAACACATTGAAGGCAGTTTTTTCTCGAAAAGTTTTAGAGAGACAATTATTTGCCACTTGGCAAAGGCAGGTAGGCAAGTGTCATGGTTAAGTGTTCAGATGCCAGGAAGAGATGGACCTACTCAAGCCACCTACTAGCTGTGTGACCTTAGGAAAATTACTCAATCTCTCTGGTACCTGGTTTTGTCATCTCTAACATGAGGATAATATTAGTTTCTAATGCAGTATTGTCTTGAGAATTAAATGAGATAATGGGCATAAAGTTCTTAGCATAGTTTCAGGCCCATTTGAAGTGCTAGATAAATGTTAGCTATTATTATTATTACCTGATTTACCTTAAATATTAGCTCTTGCTCCTGCTAATTAGAGACTATAAAGGCAGAAAAGAACTACAATAATGTTGGAAGATGCTTGCTTTCATGTTTTCAGAGATGAACATCCAATATGTTCTACTTAAAATATAAGATATTAGGAATCCAAGGTTTCCATTTCAAAAGCCAATTAGAAGTGGTAAGAGATTTTAATTTGGGAGGTAACACAAGGCTCATTCTAGGATTACCCTAATGAACATCTCGTTACTTTTGCTTTGAATGTGCTGTTGCAGAAAGAGCTTGGAGAAAGTGCTGGACAAGCTGTGAAGATAAAGTGTAAGTATAAAAATTTTCCATACATAACACACACACACACACACAATCTGAAGAATTGAATTTTCTGTCTGCTCGGAACAGTTACCTCTTTGTGCTACCCCTAAATTTGCTGAAATGTTTCCCTTAATGGTGGTGCATTTGAAAAGGAGATTTAAAAACATGTAATTTTTGTCTTCATGAACATGACAGAGCCAGTCATGTACTGGAGGCCACAGGGAGAGTCCAGGGGCCTTTGTGGCTGGGATGAAATCCTGAAGGCCCCAATTCCTGCTGAGAATCCATCAGTGCCAAAGGCCCATGGAGAAGGCGAGGAGAGAAAAAGCATAGGGCAGCTGCTGCCATCCACATGTTCATTTTGCCTGGCAGAAGGGTTGACCAGAAAGCCTTTCCTCCAAATGGTATAAAGCAAGTGAAAAGCAAGTTACAAATACATGCACTTTTGAAAATTACCATGTGGGCACAGAAAAGAAAAAGATTCTCCTTGTTCTTATTTTAAGAGAAAAATACTCTTCACATTTCCTTTCTGTGAGAAAGATAAATAAGAAACATTAAGTAGGGAAAATAGGTGGTGAGACAAAAATTATTATTTTTTCCTTAGCCAATGACCTTTGAGAAATTGAAATTTCCTTTGAAGGAATTAAAAAGGAAAAATAAGTAAAAACTAAAGCAGCCTTCTGGCTTTCTTTGTTACCCTACACATTGAGCACAACTGACAGGGTGGCTGCTGCAGGACAATTCATAGGCCTTCATTGTTGAGTCGTGGTCTCAGGTGGTGCATTGGAGGTCGCCGAGGCCTTGGCCTGCAAATGGACTGAGAAGGTCATTGAACAGTGTGGCGCATTGCTAATTAGTGGCAAATTTGGCCAGTTTCTGCGTGTGAGGAAGCTTGAGCTGAATATGGCCCCATCTGCTCTGAAAATAATGATAACCAAATTTTAAGCAAAGGCTTTTCTTTCACAGGGAACTCCTATCTACAGTAATTTTTATTTTCGTCTTTGCATTTTTTTATTTTTTTATTTTTTGGTTTAATGCACAAAGACTGTTTTTTCAGGATGTTGTTGTCACGGGATGGGCTAACAGGCCCCCTAAATTTGAGGAGGTGTTCTTCATTTCTTTTGTTGCTTTCATTGAGCTTTCATTGTTGCTTTCATTGAGAATTATCTCCTTCAACTTCCGAACCCTGCAGAACACATTTTAGAAAACTGGATTTAAACTTAGCTCTGCAAGGTAAAGTAGCTTCCCTTCATTCCATCTGCCTCTGTTCATTTTTCACTGCTGTGCAAAGGCCATGTCTCCAAAAGTTGATTTACTGGAGGCTGACTTTTCCTGGAAAAAAGTGTCAGAAGACTCTTCCCATTCCTATAATGGTTTCTGAACTGGGAAACTCATGTCTTCTTGTTTCTGTGTGTGCTTATTTATTTTTTAGTCAGGCAATAATAATTGCTCATTTTTTCCCTAATTTACTCATATTTACCTGGGGTTTAAAACCAGAAAAAAAAGTAAATAAAAAGAAAACAAGTACCAAGAAAAACACCAAAACAGAGTATGACTTTTCTCAGATCCCACATATGGATTCCAAAAATAAGTAAGTAAGCAAAGGTACAGAACTTTTGCATTTTTCCTCCCTCTCCTAAAGGCCTGACCAGAGAAGGGTCCCCTACCTTTTTGTTGTCTCATCTAATCTTCATGCATTTTCTTTTTTTGCTTTTTTGTTTTTTTGAGGTGAAGTCTTGCACTGTCACCCAGGCTGGAGTGCAGTGGTGCTTTCTCAGCTTGCTGCAACCTCCGCCTCCCAGGTTCAAGCAATTCTCCTTGCCTCAGCCTCCCAAGTAGCTGGGATTACAGGCGCCCGCCACCACGCCCAACTAATTGTTTTGTATTTTTAGTAGAGATGGGGGTTTCACCATGTTGGCCAGGTTGGTCTTGAACTCCTGACCTCGTGATCCGCCTGCCTCAGCCTCCTGAAGTGTTGAGATTACAGGCGTGAGCCACCTTCTTCCTGCATTTCCTAGGAGCTTGCACAAATAACCCTCATTAGCTGAATGGTCCTAATAACTCCCCAAAACTAATTTTCAGCAACTTTAAAAAAATCCACTAAGAATGGAAGTCTTGTACCACTTGCAGCAGATAACCATTTTTCTGTTAATTAAGTTGTTATAATCTTATTGCTATGAGAGGGACTTTGCCTGTATATCCATCTACTCTATGGCCCAGAATAATGAAAATTCTGCAAGAACCTTTGCTGATGGGTGCACCTTTGAGTTTACAATGACAAATGATTTTAAAATGGACTCTATAGACCACTAGTAATGAAATTGACCATATCCAATTTTGAAAGCCCTAAGACCTAGGAGAAACTGCAAATTAGTGGAAGGTAGTATGTTTCTGGTGATGTGAAGCCCAAGCTGATATTGGTCCAGTGAAGTGTTGCAGGATTTGATAGAGTAGGTTAATATTGTCCCACCAGGTTAAAGGTCGACCCAGACATGAAATGTGTAGGCAGCTTTAGGCCTAGTACATTTGCAATTTCTGAAGAACTGAAGTAGTAACAGAAGAGTGGCTGGTATGATTATACTGGTACTCTACGGGCATGTGATACAAATTAAAAGAAGAAGTAGCTTAGGCTATTATCTTTCTTATGTAGAAGTAGTAATGACGGTAGCAACAATAGGAGCTGATATTTATTGAATATCTACTGTGTTCTAGACATGAGGCTTAGCAATTAGTATTCATTACTCCACTTAGTTCTCACTGGAGCCCAAGTGGGAAACACTTATCGTCCCCCATTGTATAATTGAAGAAACTAAAACACAGAGAGGCTAAATAACTTGCTTGGCTTAATCAGCGGTCAAGTAGTCGAGCTGAGACTTGAACCTCCATCTGATTCCAGAGGGAAATCACTTAGTCACTATCCTCCATTACCTTTCTGCTACATTACTCTGCCGCTATAGTTTATAGAATTATGTGACTGGGCAGGGGTTGCCAGGATGGTGCCTACAGCCAAGACTTTCATCATCTGAAAGTCTTTTGAATAACATTTCCAGTTTCTTGTGAAACCTTCTCTTTGTTTAACAATCAACTTAAATTCCTCATACTTCCCTTTCAAACTCTTAGCTGTCACTTCCTCTTGTGCAATTACAAGATCAATCATATGATCATCCTTTTTCTTCAAAGAAAATGGAAGCAAAGATAAGTGTTATGGTCTCTATACCTCCTTAGTTAACATCTCCAGGCCCCAAACTCTCAGAGAGTCCCTGCACATTGTAATATTTGGGCACTGTCCTTGCTGAGGTAGGTAACCTTGGGTATCTAAATCCTGGACCCATAAACGTAAGGTGCAAATGCTAAGGTGCAAAGCACTGAGAGGTAATGTGATGTATAAGTCCTGTTTTACTGTTCTCATGTAAATCAATTTCTCCTTCAAACATTGCAACACAGCATTTGAAATTCAGCTGAAGAAAGATTCATTCAAGTGTTTTCTTAAGTGCACGTTTCTAAGTTGTTTTGGTGTAAGGGGAAAACGCCATTTTAAAGACTTACTTTTATGAGACCTAAAACTTTTTATGTTCTCCTGTTTTTTTTTTTTCTCTTCCCTCTCTCCTCATCCTATTTAGCCTTTCTCAATGGCTTTATTTTCAGCAATACCACTTTTACATTGAACGTATGCTTTACAGTAACAAAAGGTAAAGAGTAGTCTGTGTACTGGATTGATTTTCAATTTCTTTTCAAGAAAGGCTTTTTTAGCTCAAAAGAAGGGCAATCAGAAATAGAGCATTTTCCCTCTTTCTTTCACAATACTCAGTGCTTGGTTGTGGTTCCCTAATTTTTTCTTCTTCGAATCTTGGTACACATTTCGAACTACCCTCACCTGTACTATCTCTCAGGCTTCGCAGTCTCAGTCTTGGCCAATCTCCAAGTAGATTCTCTTTATGTGATATAATTTTAAAAAACAGAAGCAGTTTGTCATCTCAAACACTAGAAGAATGTGCCATGTCACTCTGCTGTAACTCCCTCTCTTCTGTCTTTCTCTCCCACTCCATTAAGTTTCAAGGGAGCAAAAGTACCCAGGAAGTTTTCGCTATAAATGAAGCTCCCTCGAGCTGGACGATAATAAAATGGAACAGATAAATGACCTCCTTTGTCTTTCCATGACTGCTTTATCAGTTTAAGGAGCCAAATGATGTGGCAGATTTGCATTTCTATCTCATGGAAGCTGGCATATTTTTTTTTGTAGCCACGTCATAGTTCATCTAAATTTGAATACGTGAGACACAAGAATCCAGAGTTAGATGCTTTAACTTATTTCTATAGCAACTGGAGTACAGTGCTCTATAGAGGGGAGCCACTCAATACGTATGTGCCAACTTCAGCACCTCTCAGCCTTACAAAGATACTGGAACGCTTGAGCAATTCCCAAGACAGGAAGCAAAAAAGTGATAGGTTGTTGCTGATAGCTTAGCTGCCTGGAGCCTCAGTAAATTATTAATATGAGGGGATCAGCTGATCAGCTTCTGATTTCTATGGAAAAATGCAAGGGGGGACTCCCCCCAATGAATCTACCAGAAAGAAAATGTTTCTGGAACATATTGAAATATATAACCAGAAGGATAATTGCTATTGAAAATTAGAGGACGGGGAGCTGTGACCAAAATTTGGTGATATCATTTAATTAAAAATATTAGTAAGCACAGATGATGATGATGGAATTAGTGCTGCCAAAGTGTTTGTTCACAAATTAGAGAAGGGCTGGGACGTGGTATGAGTTGAGCCCTCACAAAGGGGCATGCAAAAGAAGTAGAAAAACTGTAAATATTTACTTTTTCATATTTGATATTACTTCATGCAGCCTTGCCTCCTTCCCCCTTCTCTCTGAAGTCAGCAAAGGTGGAAAAGCTGAGACTTTAGGGCCTTCAGCTCTGGAAACAAAGTAACAGAGTAAGGGAAGGAGGAGGAATGAGAAAAAAGTTCTTTACCAGTTAAATATGCATTTGGGACTATAGGATCCTCTTTAAAAATAAAAGCAACAACAGTAATTCCTTAGAGAAACTGGCAGAAGAGAAAGGCAGAGAACTGTTTTGAGTCTTAGCTCTGTGTCAGGGGGAAGTGACTGAACCTTTCTGAACTTCAGGCTCTCCATTGGTCAAGATGAGATCAGGAATCTACTTCTGCCCTTCTTAGAAAGTGGCATTGAAATAATGTATGGGAAAGTCCATTTTGGAGTGAGGGGCTGGGGTTGTGGTGGTTGGGATTTCTGAGTGTATTTATGTCCTGTGGCTGCCCTGACAAATTATCACAAACTGGGTGGTTTTGAACAACAGAAATGTATTCTCTCACAATTCTAGAGGCCAGATGTCCATAATCAAGATGTTGGCGGGGCCATGCTCTCTCCAAAGTCTCTAGAGGAGAGTCCTTCCTTGCCTCTTCCAGCCTCTGGTGGCTCCAGCATTTCCTTAGCTTGTGGCTGCATCACTCCAATCCCTGTCTTCTCCTCTTCTTATAAGGACACTTGTCATTTGATTTAGGGCTCACCCAACTAATCCAGAATGATCTCAAGATCCTTCACTTAATTATATCTGCAGAAATTCTTTTTCCAAATAAGATCACATGCATAGGTACTGAGGGCTAGAACTTTAACACATTTTGTGAGGGGGGGCACAACCAACCCACTGCACTGGATTTCTAAGCCTCAAGACATATGGATCATCATAGCTTACTATGAATTAGTCTAACCTAATAACAGATTTGTACAAAGCATAGCAAGGGTGATGCTCTGCTAACTAAAGGAGAGCTGTCTTGGAGCTTAGGATATTTGGAGGAGGGGAGATGAAAGTGGAGTACCCCTGGTGATACATTCAGGATCCTGAGAGAAGTTGGGACCACTGTCCTGGCACTGAAAGAGAGGTTGGGCAGGGGGAATGAAAAGTTAAAAACAAACTTCACCTTCCTTACCTTCATTCCCAAGGATCTGATAATTGCTCCTGTCATGGCAACAGAAAGTCACTTGAGTGCCTCTTTGTCACACTTCTGCCACCTGTACCATAAGGTTGATCTGTTACTTAAATGTAAAATGAGAGACACTGGTCTCCCTGAAGAACAAGCGTACATTTGAATCAGGTAGCCAACCCCTGTGGCAGGTGGGACTGCATCTTCACATAATTTATATATTGTCAGGGGAGTTCCTCACTGTGATGAACAGAAAGCAAGGGTGTGTCTGGTTCTTGAGCCTGTAGTAGGATGCTCTCTAATAGACCACCCGTTCTCATGCCATAATCCTGTTAGGAGCTGCAATGAACACAAAGCACTATTGAACCAGGAATGCACGATCCCATTAGGAGCCTGCCCCCTGCAAAGTTCGTCAGCAGAGCCTTAGGTGCCCTCTGGAGTTGTTTTTATTGGCTTTGACACCTCTGCCTATTTCTAACACTCCTAGAATAACTTTGAAGTCCAAAGGGCATTTGATTGATTGATTGATTGAGAGACAGGGTCTCACTCTGTCACCCAGGCTGGAGTGCAGTGGCACAATCTTGGCTCACTGCAGCCTCAGCAGCCTGGGCTCAAGCAGATCCTGATCTTCCCACCTCAGCTTCCTGAGTAGCTGGGGTTACAGGCATGTACCACCATGACCGGCTAATTTTTATTATTTTTTTGTAGAGATGGGGTTTCACCATATTGCTCAGGCTGGTCTTGAACTCCTAGCCTCAAGTGATCTGTCTGCCTTGGCCTCCCAAAATGCTGGGATTACAGGAGTGAATCACTGTGCCTGGCCCCAGAGGTCATTTTAGAAAGCGGGGCCTGGACTCTAAAGCTCTTGCCTGTTCTAAGATCTATGCTATACATTCATTTATTCTAAAGAATAGCTAATGGGTAGTGAACATTCTAAGCACTGTTCTAGGTGCTGAGGAGGCATTATTTCTTTAATTCTCACAAGAATCTTGCAAGTTAGGGAGATCATTGCCTCCTCTGTTCAGGTTAAGAAATGATGATCAGAGAATTTAGGCAATTTGCCCAAAGGCATATTGCTGGTACGTAGAGAATCCAAGAATTAAATAAATCCAGGTGTCTAACTGCAAAGCCCGTGCTGTAGAACGCCTGGAGGGTGACAGGGGTAAGCTGTTTGCACAGGAGAGAGAAGTGGAGAGGGAACCTGGTAAAAAGAAGTCTTTTTCTAAGAAAGAAGGGCTCAAAAACCTAAAAACTGAGACCAGGGAATTTTCAGACCATGTGACAGGGACAATCTGTCACTGCTTAGCACCGTTGCTCCCGTGTCCTCTAAAACACTGATCAGACAGAATAGATCTGCCCGTGAGAAGGTAGTGAAAGCTGACATATGGAAATGTTTCAGGTCAGCTTTTACTAGAACTTCTGGTTTGAAATCAGGATCGCTTAAAACACACACACACACACACACACACACACACACACACACACACGACAGATGGTTGTTTTCAGGAAATCTTCCCTTATGAAATGGAATTCCGTGTTCTTAATTAACACAGAGCAAACCCTGTTTTGGGTGTCTTGCATACCTAGCCACAATTTTTCCCTTTTTATAAACATAAGATGGGTCTCTCCACAGTGATACTGTGATGAGAGTGGCCGAGCTTACTAAGAGGGATTTGAATACATATAGAAATACAAATCAGTAGAGACCCTTTTACCACTTTAATAAACTGCTATGAATAATTCTGAATCTGAGACCACTAGCTATTTAACATGCCCAGCGATAATGGAATATGGCTCTCTGAACACTTCTAAATGATTTCTATTTCAGAGTTGGGAAACACCAGAGAGACTTTTGTTGCTCCAGTTACAAAAAAAAAAAATTTCTTCTTGGGAACTCCAATTCTAGAAAAGTAATGGATAACTGTATACATGTTGGAAGAGGAGAACCATGCAAGCCTTTTTGACACGTAATATATAAACACCAGTTCTGGGCCCTGCCCATCAACTCATATAAGAAAAATATAATTTAAAATGCCTACTTTTCAAGTTATTCCCATGAATAATTATGAAGGGGGCCATATTTCTTGTTCATCAAAAAATAATTTTTTTTCACATGTTAACTCCAGGAAAGTTCAAATAATGTACCTTTCTGCTTGAAAGAAAGTGTTCCAGATACTACTGCCAACAACAAACTCTCCCAAGATATAGCAGCTTAAAACAACCACCATTTTAATAAGCTCATAGATTCTGTGGGTCAGGAATTTGGATAGGGCACAAAAAGGATGTGTTCATTCTGCTCTGGGACATCTGAGTTCTCAGATGGAAAGGCTTAAAAGCTGAGAGTGACTCAGCGGCTGGGGGCTGGAATCCTCATACCTGGAGGCTGCTTCACTCTCATACCTGGGATAAAAAGGTGGCTTGTAGAGTAGGGCTGCTGACCAGAGCACCTCCATGTGGCCTCCCCATGTGGCTCAGCCTCCTCACAAGCATGGTGGCCTCAGGGCTCCAAATGCATGTGTTCTGGTAGACCAGATAGAAGCTGAATGTTGTGTTGTAACTCATAGAGTTACTTCCACCATGCTGTATTGAACAAAGGTGTGAAAAGCCCACGCAGATTCAAGGTGAGGGGACACCACCTGTTGATGGAGAAGCGGCAGGTCACACTGTAAAAGATAAACGTGAGATGGGAGTTATTGCTTCAGGTGACACATATATATTTTACCCAGGATGCAGGTAACAACAATGGTAATAATGATAGTAACTAAATCTTACAGTGCTCACTATGTGCTGGACACTGTTCCACACCATTCACCTATATTCATTCAATTCAGCCTCGGTGGAAACTGGGATACAAACAGGCTAAGTAACTAGCCCAGTTATACAGCTAGAGAGCAGTGAAACCAGGCTTCAAGCTCAGGCAATTCAGTTCCATTTGCTGTATGCTTTAACTCCTCCATAGTGCCTCTCCAGTCCAATGAAGATACCTTAAGTATAAGGAAACACAAACTATAAAGTGACATTTACTTCTAGGCTATACTAGGGAAAGGGGACAGATCTTTATTGATTATCCACCACATGTCAGGTATTATGCATCACACATTACCTTTCTTAATTCTCCCCGTAACCCTGTGAGGTAGGTATTATTACTGTCATTTTACAGAAGACAGACTTGAGGCTCAGAGATGTTAAGTAACTTGAGCAAAGAACAGAGCTGTCAAATGTTGGCCCTGAGATCTAAAGTCAGATCCATCTGACTTCAATCTACCTGCTCTTTCCCCTTTCCATAGCTACAGTCTGCCTCCTCTTGAGGGTTTTTGTGTCAGGGTCCACTTGAATCCTAGCTCACATTAATTCACTATGGAATCTTTCGAGTCTTGATAACATGGCATTTTAGGAATGTGGCTGGATGATTCGGAGCAGCTGAAATCCCTTGTTTGATTATGGAGCTTTGGGGACTAATAGTGCAACATTTGTGTTTGTCTTCGTAAATTCCTGCTGGGCGTGAACTGTGACTTTTATCTTAGGTAATAAGCCTGAATTCTGGAAGGACTGTCTTTTTTCTCTTTCTAAGACTATGACTTACTGAATACCTGACATTTCCAAGAATGTATCCTTTGCCCTATCAGACCATTAAGTAAGCAGTAACTGCTCTGAAAAGGTCTGTGCTTTGCTTTGTCTTCAGCTATAATTTGATAGACACTCAACCATAACATTATGATTATGAAGCACTTAGGCAGGACTGTGCATCTGCAAGATGCTGTCTAAATATTTTCTGATCTCGTGCTTCTTCCTGTAAGTCTCTAATCCCAGCTGTGCTGGGTCCTTAACTGATTCTGAGAAAGTTCCTTGATCTATCATGGAAGAAAGAGACAATTTGATTTGGGAATCCAGGGATATTTGTACACTCTTTTTATTCCGTTAATGTGACTGACAGCTTCAGCTCTTGCGCCAGAGAGCTCTCTTTCAACTTGCTTCCTGGGCTGACAACTGATGTTTTAACTTGCTCATGACCTGTGGACTCAGAGGGTTATACTGCTTGTCCTTTTCTTCAACGACAAAAATGGCACCAAATCTATCATTGCTTCAAGTCTGACACTGTGCTTTCCAAGGCTAAGATTCAGTGGACTTCCCTAGACTTTGTCCAGAGAGAAAGTTGAGGGTTTTCAGTTATTTTTACTCTTAGGAAGCTATAATGACATTATTTGGAATCACATCTGTTCCTAATGGGATAGAATTTAATGACGGGAGATCAGGTAGAGTCACAAAGGTTTTAGATAGGTACAGAATTCACCAATGCAATATTCAGGCATCAATACACATAGGAAGCTAGTGAGTGAATGATATCTCTTATCAGGATTCAAAAGCCGTTTGGATGTGTTTATCTTAGTTCACTTTCTAACACAAAAACTCCTTGACAAGGTGCCAAGCCCTTTTCATCTTAGTGTAGGCTCACTGCCTAGCACATGGTAAGATTTTAGTAAATCTTTGTCGACTTGTTCAGAATTGTCTCAGAAACTTGCTTACAGGAATTTGTTTAAACTTGGAATCCATGTCAGAGAAATTTAAGGAAGAAAGGGCTGAATTTTTTATGTGTGGCTCAAACCCTTCAACTCTCCGGCCCAGTGCTTTCCTTTTGAAATCATCCTTAGCATTCAGTGGGCTGGAGTGTATTACCTAGTAGCTGTGATTTACTCATTGTCCTACTGGGAACCTTACTTAGAACTTACCTAATCTCCTTGAGGGCTGCAGAACTGCTCACGCAGTGCCTAGCACATGCAGTGGACGCTTACTATAATTTGCTGAGTGACTGCAGTTACTGAACCATCCATCTTACGAGGAAAAGCTTTTCTATTAAGTTCCATCTTGGTCACAGAAGTTACTCATCAAATCCCATTCTGGATGAAACTGCTGTTCTTTGCAAATACTTAAGATATGCATGCTTTGGTGCTTGCCTTCAATTTCCTTCAGAGAGCACCAGAGTGGGTGGAGGCCATTCCTTTCTATTTTTTGAGGCATTACTAAATGCAGTATTCATCCAGATTAAAAATATGCACATAAAAACAGAATTATCTTAATCTCATTATAAGAAAAACAAACACACAAGCTAGTTGAAGTAAAGATAAATGTATTGTAACTGTCAAAAAATCCTATGAATCTAATGATACAGCTGGGGACAGGTGGGAACTTAAATTTCTTCAGGCGGATAATTCCTCTTGGTCTTTCTCAGTTTATTGTCTTCACTTCTCTCTGCAGGTCAGCTCCATCTTCCCTATGGAAACAAACTTCTATAGGTCTTTTAGGATCTGCTTCCCTGTAGCTTCAGCTGCATTTAACTTTGGGATGCTATAAAGCCAATCCTAATATTAATTCTATTCGACCTTATGGCTCTTAAGCCTAAAATGTCAATTTACCCAATCTCTATGTTTCAATTTCTGAAATTTCTGAAAGAGGATTTGAATGGTCCTGACTGGATCATTTGCCCACTCTTGGTCCATTTACCAAGGGCATGAGTCATATTCCTTCAGAGTCCTTAGCAGGAAAAGTTCTCTAAGAAGAGAGTTTGGACAAGGGAAGATGATGGACATATCTAGAACAAGAATCTTCCAAAATTATCAAGGAAATCTGACTTTGGAGGGAGATATTTCTGATTAGATTACTTGTCATGAGAATATTGAAAATAAAAATGATAAAAATTAGCCTCACAGACTTTGTACCTAATACTTTACTTTTTATTGCTAAAATACATCTTTATCTCCAAATCTGCTATTTCCTTTCCAAAAATTATCTTTAGAGGATAATTTTGTAAACGTTGACCTTGTAGGTTCTATGTGAGAAGCCAAACAACAAGGGTAAATCCTTTGAACATTTCTTGTTGCTTCTGGTAGTTTCATTTGTAATGACTATCTGGCCTAAATTAAAGTGAGGTGCGGGCAAGTGGAAATCAAACTCCAGGGAAAAGATTGGAAAAGCTGGGGATACTTTTGAAGTTTGTGAAGATGAAAGAGATTGTAAGTAGTCTCAAACCTTTCTTTGATAATTTACTCATTTAAAATCTGCTTTCTTCAAAGGCAATACATAAATTTATTGAAGAATTAACTTTGGAAAATATGGGTAGGCTTACATCTTAAAGATTATGATATTGATTGATTGCCTAGAAATGACTATATTTGATTATTTAAAAATTTTTAAATGGTCCCATTGTAATTTAATGTAATTATGTAAAATAGACAATGTTAATACCCTAGTAACAGGGTATTAACAGGCTCAAGTTCTCAGTTCTGCCCCAAATATCCCACCTACACTAGACATGTTTACAGTGCCTGCTAGCCCAGAGCAGCTTCTAGTGAAGCAATTTCCACTTGAGAGAAGAGAGAGAGACAGAGACAGAGAGTGCACACAACAGTGCATCATTGGCGGCCACGTGCGGTGCGGTGGCTCACGCCTGTAATCCCAGCACTTTGGGAGGCTGAGGCGGGCAGATCACCTGAGGTGGTCAGTTCGAGACCAGCTTGACCAACATGGAGAAACCCTGTCTCTACCAAAAATTCAAAAGTAGCCTGGCGTGGTGGCACATGCCTGTAATCCCAGCTACTCTGGAGGCTGAGGCAGGAGGATTGCTTGAACCCAGAAGGCGGAGGTTGCGGTGAGCCAAGATCGCACCATTGCACTCCAGCCTAGGCAACAAAAGTGAAACTCTGTCTCAAAAAAAAAAAAAAAAAGAAAGAAAGAAAGAAAAAAAAAAAAAAAAGAGTGCATCATTGTCAGCCATTTTTTCTTTTCTTTTCTTTTTTCTTTTTTTTTTGAGACGGAATTCCACTTGTCACCCAGGCTGGAGTGCAACGGCATGATCTCTGCTCACTGCAACCTCCGCCTCCCAGATTCAAGCTATTCTCCTGCTTCAGCCTCCCGAGTAGCTGGGATTACAGGCAACTGCCAACACGCCCAGCTAATTTTTGTATTTTTAGTAGAGATGGGGTTTCACCATGTTGGCCAGGCTAGTCTTGAACTCCTGACCTCAGGTGATCTGCCCGCCTTGGCCTCCCAAAGTGCTGGGATTACAGGTGTGAGCCACCGCACCCGGCCGGCAGCCATTTTTTTCTACCACTTGACTCTTCCTCACCATTATAGCTGATTGAACCAGGAGGGACAACCCAGCTCAAGGCTAGCCTATAACCTCTGACTTGATGTTCCAAAAAAACGTGTTGAGCCAATCAGATTCCTTCTCTCAGGAATGTGAACTTAGAAATGTCAAGAGAAGGAATTCAGAGAGCATTATTAGGAGCAGAAGCGGAACCGTTTGTTACAACATAGAGGAATTTAATTTCCAGTGTGCTCTGCAAATATGAGCCAATAAAGCAAGTCTGACTATAGAGAGGAGGTGGAGAGCAGGAACATATTAGAAATCAAGCATCTGCTGATAACTGGACAGCCCACTGGCCCCTGGAGCTGCCCCAGTTTCTTTTTCTTTTCTTTTCTTTTTTTTTTTTTGAGACGGAGTCTCGCTGTGTCGCCAGGCTGGAATGCAGTGGTGTGATCTTGGCTCGCTGCAACCTCCGCCTCCCTGGTTCAAGCAATTCTCCTGCCTCAGCCTCGCGAGTAGCTGGGACTACAGGCGTGTGCCACGAGGCCCATAAATTTTTGTATTTTTAGTGGAGACAGGGTTTCACCATGTTGGCAAGGATGGTCTCAATCTCTTGACCTCATGATCCTCCTGCCTCGGCCTCCCAAAGTGCTGGGATTACAGGTGCGAGCCACTGCCCCTGGCCTCTTTTTGATCCAGGTGGAGACTTACAGCAAAATCTCCCTTTTCTTGAAGTATCACGAGTGACTCTCTGTTTATTGTGATTCAAAAGACGTCACACCACAACATCATCTTATCTAGAGTTCATGTAAAAAGGCTAAGGACTGCCAACTTACATTAGGCAATGGAACTTGATAATTTGATATTCAGGTTACTGACATTGATCCTTTTGATAATGAAATTTGAGCAGATTTGGAGTTAGCAGTGTTGTAAAGCATTATGTGCATGTTGGCCTGCTTTCGTGGAGCCAGAAGTTTGTATCTCTCCCTCAACCATGCTGATGTAGGCACTCTCGGCAGCTGGCTATGGACTCAGCTACAGAGGACACACTCACCAGCAGACAACAGACAAACCTGTGTTGCTCAGAGGTGACTGGACCATTCCAGTCTAGGGTCTCTTAAGAACAGATAGGATGATGATTAGGATGCCTTCCCAGTTCCTGAACAAGCAGCATGGTTCTTTGGCAAGGCCATAAACTCTTGCTTAGTGTACAGAGTCAGAAGAGCCCTGAAGTTAAAGAAGGTTTTTAGTCACCCTATGCATAATAGAATTACTCTATAGCTAGGCCAGAAGTGATCTGGTGGGGGAGTTGGATCTGCCAGTCGCTTTTGACAGTGAGGACACAGAATGCCTTTTCCACTGAGAGTGAGTGAGTGTGAGTGTGAGTGTGAGAGTGTGTGTGTGTGTGTGCACGTGCGCACACACATGCACATGGTGCTGAGGCAGCAGAGCAGTGAGCAGAGATTGAGCCTTTAAACACTGGCCCCCACCCAGAGAGAAACAGCTCTCTTGTTTGCTCAGCGAGCGCTTTGGGTACATCAACTGGCCTCAAGGGCTTGAAGTTAGCCAGGTGCAGTGGCCCATGCCTGCAATCCCAGCAGTTCAGGAGGCCAAGGGGGGCAGATCCCTTGAGTCCAGGAGTTTGAGACCAGCCTGAGCGACACGGCAAAATCCCATCTCTATAAAAAATACAAAAATCAGCCACGCCAATAGCCCCAGTTACTTGGGAGGCTGAGGCGGGAGGATTGCTTGAGCCCAGGAGATCGAGGCTGCAGTGAGCTGAGATCGTGCCACTGTACTCCAGTGCCTAGGCAACAGAGTGAGACCCTGTCTCAAAAAGCAAAACAAAACAAAAACCCAAAAAACAAAAAAGGAGCCTGGAGCTCTTACTGGAGGGTTGACTGGCACAGTCTGTGATTCCTCTGTTTATAATACCTTGTGAATAGGTATCTCTGGCCCTGTGCTTTTAGTTACTTTGGGACAGAAAGGTACATCTAGTTAGCTAAATGGTCCTCGATGCTAGAAGTGCATGTGTGACACAAACTGATGTGCATGATAGGCATATAAAAGGACATTAAGATAATATCACCAATAGGTGTAAAGTAAAATTTTAAGAAGTAGTTAATGTCATAGCATATTGTTAAAAGGTGTGGATTCTGGAACCAGGTATTTTGAGTCTAAAGCCCAGCTCCTACCACTTACTAGCTGTAGAGCTTTGAACAAGGCACTTAAATTCTCTATGCTTCAATTTCTTTATCTAGGTAATGAGGATGTGATGCTAATAGGGCCTACCTCATTCAGTTCTTGTGAGGATTAGATATATTATTTGTGTAAAGTCTGTACTATAGCACCTGGTACATAATAAACATTCAGTCAGTGTTAATGATGCTACTATTACCTACTGAACTTCAAGAATAAGGCACAGAGAACTGAAGACTTGTTGAAGGCTCTATGGTGATGAGCTGCAAAGTTAAAAGGAACACAGGTTCCTGTTTGACACTGGTTCTTTTATAACATTCTGCAATAAAACCAAGCTTTGCATTTCTCATGCCTCTGGGAAGGAAGTATAATGTTACACATACTTTATTATCAATTACAGGTGGAGAAAACTAGAGAATAAAAAGGGAAATTTACACTCAAGGTGATGTCCTCTCTGGTTTGCCTTTTTGTGGTCACTGAATTGTTCTGACTCTGTTGCCATTCCCCTTAATAGCATCCAGGAGTAGAGTCCCTTAGCAACCCTCCAGGCAGTGAAGACCCTTCAGAGGCGCTAGAGTATATGACTAAACTAATCCCAGAGCCCAGCACTAGGCCTGGCACAGAGTAGACACTCACTGAATAATTATTTTAAATGCATGAATGTCGATTTTGTTCCTGTTGTTTTGACATCATCACCTCCCATCTCAAAATCTTCAACAAGACCTCTCTCCTTCCAATTCAAATTACTCTCCTATATTTTAATCTTCTTGATCTAATCCTTCACCATTCTTTACTTCCATTAATGTGTCTTCTTTGGCTATGCTCTCCCATTTTTATCCCACACATAGTGCTAAATATAGCTCTATAACATTTTTTGTTTACACTCCATTCTTCCCACTTTCTCTCCATTGGAATGATAGTTGTAGTAGACAGTTTCAAGATGTTTCCCAGCCCACATCCTTTTTTCTCTAAAAATTGCTCCCATAGTAGCTATGTTTGAACTTCATGCCCCTGACTGACCCTTAGCCTTAGCTGATGGGACCAGGACTTGTCACCTGGCCCAAGGTACACCAATCAAATTCTTTGCCTTTAGAACTGGAATTGGGATTGCGAGTGGCTAAGCAGTTTTTGTTAGTTACATGAGCTAAGGACATGTAACTGCGGGAGCTATAGGGTGGCCCCCCTCTGACAGGTGCATAAAGAAACAAAGATGACTGCACAGAGAGAAGATAAAAGTGAAAACACAGAAAGAAGAAAAAGAGGAAGAAAAAAAAGACACAAAGAGAATCCATGCAGTCTCAGAGGAAAACAGAGATCAACTACCTTAGTTCTTGGTCAGATTTTCCATTTTCTGGTTCTGTCCTTGATGAAGCTCAAGTGCACTTCCTGTCCTTCTTTTCCATAAACTACCTACATAAACTTGTTACAAATTCCTCATCTTTAAGATAGGTTAAATGGGTTTCTGATACTTGCAACCAAGAATGCTTAATAAGACTATATTAAATAGGTCGGGTGTGGTGGCTCATGCCTGTAATCACAGCACTTTGGGAGGCCGAGGTGGGCGGATAGCCTGAGATCAGAAGGTCAGACCAACCTGGCCAACATGGTGGAAGCTCATCTCTACTAAAAATACAAAAATTAGCCAGGCGCGGTGCTGTGCACCTGTAATCCCAGCTACTTGGGAGGCTGAGGCAGGAGAATCACTTGAACCTGGGAGGTGGAAGTTGCAGTGAGCTGAGATCACTCCATTGAATTCTAGTCTGGGTGACCGAGTGAGACTGTCTCAAAAAAAAAAAAAAAAAAAAAAAAAAGACTATGTTAAATAAAGGGATAGTGTAGTTTATCTTATTTAATCTATGACTGAGTTACAAACCACCCCAAAAGTATTTTGTTTTGCAGTAATAGATAACTGATACAATCATTATCCTCAAAAGCCGCTTAATAACATCTCTAATTGTGAATGAAAATGTATGCTTAGAACTATAGACATTTCAACTTAATATCCATACTTTTTATTACAAAAGATGATTGCCAGAAAGATTATAAATTTTAAAATGCCTAGAGGAGAGGGCAAGGGATTTAATTTTTAAGACTAAAAAAAAAAAAAAAGCTAGCTTGTAGCATCTATTGGTCTAGACGTAGAAGAGGACACATTTAATAAAATGTTCATTTCATAGAGGAAATAAATTGGGTTCTTTTCTCTCATAAATGAATATTTCTTTAAATGGTAAGTGTTGGAGCTTAGTTAAGATTTCTGACTTTTCTGTTGTGTATTTGTAGCTTGCTTTTGGTCAACAGCAGATCTTTCTGGCATATTGACGTTAGCCAATCAGAACACAAGAACTGAACACAAGAGGGAAGACCTCTTTGTGTAATTGACCAGTGACTGAGCAAAGAAAAAGGTTAATAGGAACTTACATTTACCAGGCGGGTGGATGTTTTGTAAATCAACAGTTTTGATTTTGTGGGCCTTAAAGTGTTTAATTCTCCCATTGCTATGATTCAGCTGCAACCTTGGCTTTAATGCTTTTGAAATAAATGAAAAATGTCATTTTATCTTATTATTTATCTTAAGGGAATAGTTACAACTTCTGCCTCCTAGCTGGTGCACTTTCCTACCTTAATTGTTGACTGTGGGGGTCAGTTCCATCTGGGCAGAGCTGTGTGTCTACGTGCCCTTGGATTTTTCACGTGAACTAGCACGTGGTAATGGAGATTGGGTGGCTCTGCTTCATGTGTTTATTTTGCAGCTAAACACACCTGATTGCTTCACATGTGCAATGATAATGGCGGCATTTAAAAGAATAATAAAATGGTAAGAATCAAATGAGTGCCCTTATTGCACCCAAGTTAAGGTCAAATGGATACTCACGGGCTAGTTGAAGATGATTGAAACATTAGATCAAAATTTTAGAGGCAGCTTCCTGACATAAGCTGATCTTTTAGTATTCTCTCACAATCATGCTACTGTATAGTACTCTATAGTTTAGAAAGCATTCTCATTTGGATCAATTTCTTATTTCAATTCTGAGATTCTAGTTGTCACAACTAGAACATTTCACAACTAGCAGGAAAGCTACAGATTATGTGGACTTTACCAGCCAGATTTCCACACCCTCCCTATTGCATAGCTTTGCACTGTCCCTCATTCTGGGATCAGGATTTTACCTCCAAAGTGTGACCACTGGGAATTCTGGTTTCCTGCTGTCTTACTTGCTGCTGTATCACTTGCTGTATGTATCACCAGGCCTTCAAAATAATAGATACTAAATAAATATTTATCACATTGGCTTATTATTACAGGGCTGAACATACGAAGTACAGGAAGCTTTCAACACATATTTACTGATGTGTTATTTAATAGTTCTACATTCTCCCTCACACAATATTCTTCCTGTAGTTTTATTCAAAAATAATAATACTGTACACATGTTAATACTATGCAGTATGCAAATAACCATCACATGCATTACCTCATTTGATTTTCTGAAAAATGTTGTGAGATACATAGCCAGGAAGTGTTACCTCACAGGTGGGAAAACTGAGGCAGGCAAAAGGAAATTTAGTAATGTCAAACTGAGGTCTCTGACTCCTATACCAGGCCTCTCTCCACTCTATTAGAATCCCGTTCTCAGGCTTCAGGTTAACTTCTTACTTGAGTCCCTGTCTCATTATTAAACAAGTGTAGGGAGGCCCTCTTTCAGGACCATCTCACTGTTACAAGTTTGTCTCTGTTTGCAATAATTCTGGCCTTTGGCTAAGAGTGTAAAAATGAATCCTTTTATTAAGAAATCATTTATTACGCAGCTTTTAAAATGAGTATCTTGATTTCAGCCAAGCATTTTATGGTATCTCATGATATGTATGTAGGTAAAATTGTTAGATGATTTTATTTTTTACTGTTTCAACAACTATTCCCAAATCGCCAGAGAATTCCAATATTGAAGAGAAACAAATCAGATTTTCCCATCATTACCCGAAAGCCCAGTATAATCTGACTCCTATCTACCAGTATAATCTGACTCCTATCTACGTCTTCAACTTTTCTTATATGTCTTTCCTGCTCATTCAGTAAGCTCCAGTAGCATGGGTTTCTTTCTGTTCCTAATATATGCCAAGCTCATTCCCATCTTAGGGCATTTGTACTTGCTGTGCCTTCTGTATGGAATATCACCGTTCCTTCATATCTTGCACAGGTGACTCTGTCGTCATTCATTCATCTGCTCAAAGGCCTCCTTTAAGAGTCTTTTCCTGGTCTCTGTGTTAAGTGAAAAAAGTTAGCATAGTAGTATATATAGTGTGCTGCCATTTCTGTATATTTTCTTAAATATTATTTGCACAATCATATACATACACAGAGGATAATGCTGGAAAAATACACAAGAAACTGGGAATGGTGGTTTCCACCAGGGAGGAGAATAGTAGGTTTAAGACATTTTTTACCCTTTGGTACTACTGTCATTGCTTACCATCTATATGTACTACTTATTGAAATAATTAAAAGCTCTTTAGCAGAATGAGAAAAAATTCATTGAATTGACTGAAACTAACAATTTGGAAATAAGATAGAAATAAATATTTAATATTTCACTTAGATTCAGTAATTTAGTTGCACAGGTTCTGATAAGGTAGACCCTTCTTAAAAGCAATTCATCTGACAAAAATCCAAGATTTTATTAACTACGAGCTCAACCATTTTTGTTTTAAAAAGTGAATGCAGGCCGGGTGTGGTGGCTCATGCCTGTAATCCTAGCACTTTGGAAGGCTGAGGTGGGCAGCTCACCTGAGGTCAGGAGTTCAAGACCAGCCTGGCCAACATGGTGAAACTCCGTCTCTATTAAAAATACAAAAATTAGCCAGGCGTGGTGGTGTGTGCTTGTAATCCCAGCTACTTGGGAGGCTGAGGCCGGAGAATCGCTTGAATCTGGGAGGCAGAGGTTGCAGTGAGCCGAGATCGTGCCACTGCACTCCAGCTTGGGTGAAAGAACGAGACTCCATCTCAAAAAAAAAAAAAAAAAGTAAATGCATCCACCCAACAGCAGCAGAATGCACATTCTTTTCTAGGATACACAGAACTTTCTTCAGGATCAATCACCTGTTAGGTCACAAAATAAGTCAACACATTTAAGAAGATTGAAATAATACCAAGTATCTTTTTGGACCACATTGGGATGAAACTAGAAGTCAGTAGCAGAAGGCAAGTTGGAAAATTCAAATATGTGGAAATTAAACAACATGCTCTGGAACAACCAATTCGGTCAAGAAGAAATAAGGGAAATTAGAAAATAGTTTGAGACAAACAGAAATGAAAACTATCATACTAAAACTTATTGGATTTAGCAAATGCAGTACTAGGAGGGAAGTTTATAGCAATACATACCTACATTAAAAAAGAAGGAGGGGCCGGGTGCGGTGGGTCATACCTGTAGACCCAGCACTTTGGGAGGATCCACTAGGTGGGTGGATCTCTTGAGCTCAGGAGTTGGAGACCAGCCTGGTCAACATGGTGAAACCCTGTCTCTATAAAAAAATTAGCTGGGTGTGGTGGCACAGACCTATAGTCCTAGCTACTCAGGAGGCTGAGGTGGGAGGATCGCTTGAGCCTGGGAGACAGAAGTTGCAGTGAGCCAAGATTGTGCCACTGCAGTCCAGTCTGGGTAACAGAATGAGACCCTGTCTCAAAAAAAAAAAAAAAAAAAAAAAAGAAGGATCTCAGATCTCAAATAAGCAACCTGATTCTATACCTCAAGGAATCAGAAAAAGAAAAACATACTAAGCCCAAACTTGGGAAGAGGAAGAGAATAATTAAGTCAGAACAGAAATAAATGAAATGGAGAATAGGAAAACAACAGAAAAAAAATCAAAACTAAGAATTGGTTTTTTGAAAAGAACAAATGAAAAAAGATTCAGATAAAATCAGAAATGGAAGAGGAGACATTGCAACTGGTGCCACAGAAATAAAGAGGATTATAAGGGACAACTATGAACAATTATACATCAACAAAGTGGGTAACCTAGAAGAAATAGATACATTTCTAGAAATGTAAACTACCAAGACTGAATCATGAAGAAACAGAAAATCTGAACAGACCTGTCACTAGTAAGGAGATAGAATTGGTAATCAAAAAACTCCCAGCAAAGAAAAGTCCAGGATCAGATAGCTCCACACGTGAATTCTTGCAAACATTTAAAAAATAACTAATGGCAGTTCTTCTCAAACCCTTCCAAAAACAATTGAAGACAAAGGAACATTTGCAAACTCATTTTGTGAGGCCAGTGTGTACCCTATGAGATAGTCTGGATATTTGTCCCAGCCCAAATCTCGTGTTGAATTGTAATCCCCAATGCTGAGGGTGGGACCTGGTGGGAGGTGTTTGGATCATGGGGGCAGAGCCCTCATGGCTTGGTGCTGTCTTCTGGATAGTGAATTCTCGTGAGATCTGCTCATTTAAAAGTGTGTGGCACCTCGGCTGGGCGCAGTGGCTCATGCCTGTAATCCCAGCACTTTGGGAGGCCGAGGCTGGTGGATCACTTGAGGTCAGAAGTTTGAGAACAGCCTGGCCAACATGGTGAAACCCTGTCTCTACTAAAAATATAAAAATTAGTTGGGCACGGTGGTGGGTGCCTGTAGTCCCAGCTACTTGGGAGGCGGAGGCAGGAAAATCTCTTGAATCTGGGAGGTGGAGGTTGCAGTGAGCTGAGATCGCACCACTGCACTCCAGCCTGGGAGACAGAGCGAGACTCCATCTCAAAAAAAAACAAAAAAGAAAAAGAAAAAAAGAAAAAAAAAAGAAAAAAAATGTGTGTGGCACCTCCTCCCCCCCAACTCTCTCTCTCTTTTTTTCCTTTCCTTTTCTTTTTTTTTCTTTGTTTTTTGAAACAGGGTCTCACTTTGTCACCCAGGCTGGAGTGCAGTGGTGTGTGATGAAGTATGATTTGTCCCTGAGATGCAAGGATGGTTCAACATATGAAAATCAGTCAATGTGATATTAATAGAAGGATGAAAATCACATGATCATCTTAATAGATACAGAACAAGCATTTGAAAAAATCACATGATCATTTTAATAGATACAGAACAAGCATTTGAAAAAATTCAGCACCCTTTCATAGTAAATACACTCAACAAAATAGGAATAAAAGGAAATTCTCTTAACATATTAAAGGCAGCATATGGAAAGTCCACAGCTAACATAATACTCAATGATGAAAAACTACAAGCTTTTCCTCTAAGGTCATAAACAAGGCAAGGATGCCCACTCTCGCTATTTCTATTTAACATTGTACTGAAACTCTCAGCCAGAACATTTAGGCAAAAAAAAGATATAAAAGGTCTCTGTTAATAAATTAGCTCTGTTCTCAGGTAACATGATTTTATACATGGCAAACCCTAAAGACTTCAGAAAATAACTGTTACAACTAATAAATGAATTCAGTAAAGTTGCAAGACACAAAAATCAACATACAAAAATCATTTGCATTTCTCTACACTAACAACAAACAATCCAAAAAAGAAAATAGAAAAACAATCCCATTTACAATAGCATCAAAAAGGATAAAATACTTAGGAATGAACCAAGGAAGTAAAAGACTTGTACACTAAAAACCACAAAATATTGCTGAAGGGAATTGAAGATACATAAATAAATGGAAAAATATCCGATGTTCATGGATTGGAAGACTTAATATTGTTAACATGTACATACTAACCAAAGCTACATATTCAATGCAATCCCTATCAAAATCCCAACGGCAATTTTTACAGAAATAGAAAAACTGAATCAAAAATTGATATAGAACCACAAAGGAGAAGTTAAAACAATCTTGAGAAAGAAAAAGAAACCTGGAGGCCTCACACTTCCTGATTTCAAAACATATTCAAAGCTACAGTAACCAAAACAATATGATACTGGCATAAAGACAGACATGTAGATCAATGGAACAAAACAGAGAGCCCAGAAATAAACCCATTCATATATGGTCAACTGATCTTCCACAAGAGTGCCAAAATTACAAAATGGGGAAAGTATAGTCTCTTCAACAAATGGTATTGGGAAAACTGAAGATCCACATAAAAAAGAATAAAATTGGACCCCTATTTTATATCATACACAGAAATAAACTCAATAGATTAAAGACTTGAACATAAAACCTAAAATATAAATCTCTGAGAAGAAAACATAGGGGAAAGTCTTCATGCACTGGTCTTGGCAATGATTCCTTGATATGACACCAAAAGCACAGTCAATAAAAGCAAAAATAGCCAAGTGGGACTGCAGAAAACTACAAAGCTTCTGTACAACAAAGGAAACCAGCAAGAGAGGGAAAAAGCATACCAAACATAGGTATGGAATGGGAGAAAATATTTGCAAGACATATATCTGATAAGAGGTTACTACCCAAAATACATAAGAAACTCCTACAACTCAATAGCAAAACAAACAAAAACACAAATGACCCAATGAAAACATGGGCAAAGAACTTAAATAGACACTTCATTAAAGAAGATATAGAAATTGCCAACAGATATAGCAAAAGATACCCAGTGTCACTAATCATCAGGAAATGCAAATCAAAATCACAATGAAATATCATCTCATATCTATTAGGATGGCCACTATAACAAAACAAAGCAGAAAATAACAAGCGTTGGCAAGCATGTGGAGAAATTTGAATCTTTGTGTATTGTAGATGGGAATGTAAAATGGTGTAGCTGCTATGGATAACAGTATAGGGGTTCCTAAAAAAATTAAAAATAGAGCTAACGTATCATCCAGCAATTCTAATTCAATGTATTTATCCAAAACTATTAAAATCGGGAACTCAAAGAGATGTTTGTACTCTCATGTTCATTGCAGCATTATTCACAGGAGCCAATCTAAATGTCTATTAACAGATTAATGGATAAGGAAAATGTATATGCTTACAATGAAATATTATTCAGCCATTAAAAGAAGGAAATCCTGTCATATGCTATCATATGGGTAAATCTGGAGGCCATTATGCTATGTAAAATAAACTAGTCATGGAAGGACAAATGACTACATGATTTACTTATACGAAGTATCTCAAAAAATCAAACTCGTCAAAGCAGAAAGTAGTATAGTGGGTGCCAGGGGCAAGGGGAAGGAGAAATGGTGAGCTGCTGTTCAATGGGTATAAAGATTCAGTCACGTAAGATGAAAAGGTTCTAGAGATGTGCTGTAGAACAATGTTCTTACAATTAACATGCTGTACTGTGCACTTAATAATCTGTTAAGGGGGTAGGTCTCATGTTATGTGGGTTTTTTTCCCACAATAGGAAAAAGTCAATGTATCTTACAATAGCAAATCATGAAAATGCAAATAAAAAATTATCACCCATTAAATTAGTAAGGATTTTAAAATGCTGGTGGGAGTTTCCTGAGGCAGCCTCTCACATACTGCTAGTTACAGTATAAACTGGCAGTCACAACCTTCTGAAAAATGGTTTGGAAATATGCATGAAAGGGTCTTAAAAATATTTGTACCCTTTAATATAATAATTTTACCTATAGAAATATGTCTTCATGAAGTAATAACAAATGTAAACATGTTTATTATTTATAAGAGCAAAAATTAGAAACCACCTACATATTCCATAGGAGGGGAATGGTTAATAAATGTTGATACTTATAATGAAACAACAAAAATATTTTTGAAGTTTTAGTTACAAGAGAAAACTTCTGACAATACAATATTAAATTAAAAAGGCAGGATACACTTTAGAGAGGGTGATTACACATATGTCAAAAAATTAAAAATAAAAAATGAAGGAAATACACAAAAATGATAAATAGGGTTTTTTCTGGGTAATGAGATTATAGGTGATTTAAGACAATTTTTGAATCCTTTTTTTCGTATTTCTAAAACTTTTGACAAAGAGCTTATATTATTCTCAATCAGAAAACTACAAGAAGATAACAGCTTAAAAATGAAATGTAATCTAAAGTTGCATGAAAAAATATACTGTATCTTGCTCGGTTTGTCCAAACATATTCTTGAAAGTGTCTACTTGCTCTTTAGTCTTTCCAAACATAAACATGTAAGGTAGAATGTAGAATGACCAAAAATTAGATGCTTCATTCTAGAAATACTGAAAGGTATTTGACTGACTTTAGGTATGTTTAAAACAAACATACACTTTTTCACTAAATCTTTTGATTTTAACAAAACAGGAAGACACAATTGGGGAAAAGTCAAGATAAAGCCTTACATTATTTATTTGTATAGTAAGCATATGGCCTCTGGTAGCCCAAGAAATAGCACAGACTCCCTCTGGGATGATGTGGGCGGGTCATCCTCTTCAAGAGAGTGGTCTGGGGTGAGGGACATAAATGGAATGGCAAGCAGAGAGAGCAGGGAAGGGTCTGCCCTGGCAATCAAGTCAGCCAAGCCCACCCTGGCTCTTAGTGGGTTGGCAGATGGCACAGCCAGATTGTCCCACCAGCCTGGAGCAACTCACTAAAACAATTACATTCAAGAGAGGATAAATCCATGCTACAATCAGATTCTTAATATTAACTGGGGATGATGGGGTCATGTCCTAATTGGTTTAAGTTGTGAGCAAATAACTCTGATAAGAGATGCACAGAGAAAGTCACACGCTGGCTTCTTTAGGAACACAAGCCATCAACGCTCTGAGAAAATCAAGTTAACACCCCTCACCACTCTGCCATCCCCCCAGCCCTACCATTTGATACCATTTGAGAAGTGTTTTTACCTTTACTCATGTCTGTTTCCTTGAAATCAGAGAAAGCAACTGTGGGGACCTTGGGTACATAGAGTCTAGAAAAACAGACATAGTTTTGATGGGCTCATGCTGTGTTTCAAGAAAATTGAAAGTGTGAATGAGTTGCCAACAGTTAAAAATTGAGAGGTTTGGTGTAATCAGGATTTGAGGCTTTTAGAAAAATTACATCTAGCAAGAGTGAACTGTCATTGTCACATGGCAACAATCAGCTAGAGATGAGTGACAGATAAGCCCTGTAGACGGCACAGACCCTACCAATGTGCCACAGTCCTCACTCAGCCCATTTGCTCATTTGGATTTCCATGCCTGGTCCCTGTATGTATTCTTGACTGTGATCAATAGAATTGCTCTTACCAGTCAGAAGCTTTCAGGGCTCAGAGTGATTCACAGAGCTGATCTAGCCTTGAGCTGCCTAGGATAAAAAGCCTCCATTGACACAAAAACTCATTCACAACAACACTTCCTGTAAGTCAGTCTGATAAAGACAGACCTGATTAAGTACTATAAACATTCTCAAAGACATGTTGGGAGAGTAGAGAGACATGTCCCTCTGGAAGTCAGGGGTGCCACAGGCAGATAGCTAGACGGGGGGGCCTTGGAAGATTGGGATATCCTATGGGAAACTCTCAGCCTAGTGCTGGGAACTTAGTAGGAGGTTAATACATATTTCTTTCTATCTTCCTAAGAGCAGATGCGAAGCACAGCAAGGAGGAAATGCAGCCAGAACAGTATAATGCAATGCAACGCACACAGGCACAGCAGGCCAAGAGAGAAGGAAGGAGGTAATGGTAGCCTAGAGAGCAGAAGCAGCAACAGAGGAGGCCTAGAGAAGCTAGGGTGACAGAGGCAGGCATCATCGTAATCGTGACGGCGCAACTGCAGAATGATTCTGACAGATCTTTGATAGTCATACAATCTATGTGGTAAGTAGATGCACAGAGTACATGAAGACAACATTAATCCAGCAGAAATTTGAAAGAAATTTACATCAACACTGGGGAGGAGACATGATTTATCCCTTTAGTGAAGGAGTGCTGGTTAAAACTGTAACAGATTTTTTATTACATATAAAAAATATAGAGAATACGTAATATATGCAGAATAACTAATATTCATTTGAAATACAGAATTTCTATAGTTAGCTGAAATAAGTTAACTGTTTAATAAAGTTTATTTTTGGCTTACCAGTGGTGTGGCTTTAGTTACTTTGGAATAATTTATTTCTAAAACCTCAATTAAAAAAATCAGTTCCTAACTGAAGTAAAATTATCAGAAACATCATGTCACTACCGTAATAACCTGTCAGAGAATGTTACACAAGGGGTGCAGCACAGCGGAATGGAAGGTTACAGATGCAATTATTATTTTTTCTAGCCCTTTGCTTCGGGTCATAGCCAACCAGTCACTATACACAGGGTAGCTTCTGCAGTATTTATTTCTTTAAATATTTAACAGTGTTGAGAGGCAATGACTCGCAATAATATGTAGAGTTTCTAGCACATTATGAGTGCTTAATAAATGTTAGAACAATAAAATCCTGTATGATGAAAAACAGCAGTCAGTAAAACTATACAGTCTACGATATTTTAAAGCCATAGCAATAACTAGTTTAAAAAGAATAGAAAGCAAACAGTGCATTGATTAAATCACGGTCATAAAGGAACATTTACGTTCACTAAAAAGTCCACCCAGGTAATTTCCCCTTGTATGTATTAGGGGATGGAAAGAAGGCACAGGAAAAGTGGATAAAGTATGGATTAAAAAACAACTCTTCCCCCATCCCCCCGCCACCCCCCAAAAGCCAGGTGGAGCTCTATTGACCACAAGCCGGGGTAGCTACATCCAGTGCAACGGTGGGGTGCTCCAAGCGCCTTCGAAACGTCCTCTACGCCAGCACCAACTGGCAAAACCTTCTAATTTTCTAGACGCCTTTCTGCTTGGTTTTGGAAGGGGAGGCACCCAAGTGGGTGTGTGCGACACCTCTAGTTGTAAGCCGGGACACAGTGACGTCGAGAGAGCGCTATTCTACTCGGAGAGGAAGTTAATCCCATCGAACTCCAGCCAGGAAAACGTGGGCTTGGGAACCGCGGCCGCTCGTTTCCAGGATCTCCCGCGGGCCTTCGCGGCTGAAGAACCAGGCGGCGAGGGCTGAGGACCCCGCGCTCTAAGTTTGGGGAAGGAAGTGAGGAAAAAAAACAGAGCTGCTCCTTTAAGAACTTCCTTTCCCTTTTACTCTATGTTTACATAACACAGGGGCCGAGCCTCCGCCGGGCCGAGGGGGGCGGGGAGTGGGCGCGGACGGCCCCACGCGCCGGGGGAGGGGGCGCCCCGCGGGCCGGGGGCGGGCGCCTGGCTCTGCGTGGGGCGGGGCGGCTCCCACCTGCCCGCGCGCTGGCCCCCGCCTCCCCCGCGCGGCCCCAGCCTCTCGTGCGCCCGCTCCCTCCTCCTTCCCTCCCTCCCGCGGGGCTTCGGCGGCGGCGCTCAGCGCAGGCAGGTCCCCCTGCTGCCGGGTCCCATTTGTTGCCGGCTCTGACTCGGGGCGGCCGCGGCGCGCGGAGCTCCGGGGAGTCAGGCGGAGCAGCCGCGCAGCCACGACGGAGCAGCAGCGGGACTGGCCGCCCCGCGCCCCCTTCGCCGCCGTGCCCTTCCCCGGCGCGCTCACCCCGTTCTCGGGATGGGATTGTAGCGGCGGCGCGGACTCGGCGGGGATCGCGGCGGAGGCGGCGGCGTCGGCGGCGGCGTCGGCGGCCGAGCGGGGCTCCATGTTTTCCCCTGGCCAGGAGGAACACTGCGCCCCCAATAAGGAGCCAGTGAAATACGGGGAGCTGGTGGTGCTCGGGTGAGTCCTGGGGTCCCTGGTCCCGGGCAGCGGCGCGGGCGGGGAGCGCCCGCATCCTGGAGCGGGGCTGGCGGGGTGGCTCGGTGCTCTTTGGGGACCGCCGGGGCGCTCGGGGCGGCAGGAGAGGCTCTCAGGGCCCGGACGGCGGCGCGGGGGCGGGATGCGCCCCATCGGCGCGCGCTCGGGGTGCTGCGGCGGACGCCGGGCTGCGCTGTCCGCGCGGAGGACGCGGCGGAGGAAGTGGCCAGAACTCGGGCGACCCAGCGGGGGCAGCGCCGGGCACCGGGTCCGCGGCCGTATCGTGGGGGCGGGGGCAGGGGCTCCACTTCCCGCGCGCCGCGTCCGGGCCGGGGAGGGCGGGCAGGGACTCCATGTGAGGCGCCGCGGTCGCGGGCGCTTCGCGGGGTCGCTTCCCGAAGCTGAGAGGCCGGCCGGCGCGGAGCCCCGTCTTCCCACCTCCCTCGCGGACCGTGGTACCCGCGCCCCCGAACTCCGAGCGCGGCGCCGTGAGCTTGGGCCGCCGCGGGCTGTGGGATCCCCGGCTGCGCTTTGCAAATTGTTCCGATGACCGCCGCGGGCCGCCGCAGCCCGAGAGCAGTGAACTGTGTGTGACCCGGGCCGGCCGGCCCTCCGCTTCTCCCCGCTTGGAGTGCTCTGGAGGGGAGGGACAGGATGCGGCTGCTCGGGGCCTGGCACCGGGGCGCGGGCCGTATCCCCCCGGTCCCGGCCTCGCTGATGCCCTCCCGGCTGCGGGGAGCTCGCCAGCCTCGCCCGCCTCGGCTCCCTCTCTGCTGGTGAAAGCCGCATCTTGAAGATAGTAATTATGTACAATCGTTAAACGGCAGCAATTAGAGACTTCATCTACTTCCTGAGTTTCCTTGTGACATTTCTATTGTTTACCCTTAATAAGCCAGGAGAGAGGCTTTGCGGGCTTAAAACTGGATATAGTGGGCAGTGAAAGGGGAGGGGGAAGGGGGAAGTGCAGGAAACTGGGGGGAAGGAACAACTTGGGTTTAGTGTTGAAGAAAGGATTATTTTTTCCTTTGGATGTGTCGCTCTGGGAACCCGCGCTTTTGTCCTTCTGCGTTGAAAGACCTGTATTCAGAACATCCTCGGCGCTGATAGGTAGGCTTAGCACACATATGAGGAGTCATGGCTGTGGGAAGACTCAGGGAACTTTGCAAAACGTGTTTTGATAAGTGAGTGCCTTGAAGTAAGTGCTGACTTAAAAATAATTTAAAGAGAGGAGTTTTTGAGGGAAGCTTCCAGACACCGCACAACTCAAAGCTTCCCAGTCTTCCTGACTTTGTTGCTAGTGCATTAAGTGGGGGTGGTATTGGAAATCTCATTACCTATTTTGAAGCTGTTTGCAGATAAGTGTTTTTCTCACCTACATCTTAATTGCACTTCAAAGACAAATATCAGGGTTCACAGGAAGGCGGGAGGAATGACAGGAGAAAAGCCGCAGTTTAGTCTGTCTTATGTAACTTCAGCCCAACCTAATCTTGTGGAGTTTGGTTTTGTTTGTGTGGCTGGCTTCAGTGTGTTTAACACTGTGAACTTGACGCGGAAGATTAACGTATGCCAGAACTTTATTTCATTATTTCCTTTTGAGGAAATCATTGTTGAGATGTTTCAGAAAAGCAGCGAGTGGGCCTGGAGAGGTTTTGTGTTCATAGCTGGAAGTGCAGGGCATTCCGAAGCCACGGAAAGGATTGAAACCCTGGATTGTCCTAGTATCATAGTCTCACTCCACAGGAGCCCGGGATATAACGTTGCAGTTGCATATGGTCTGCCCTTTGCTAATGCTTTTCCAGGAGACCAAAGTATGACATAGTTGGCACTTAGGGGGCGAGACACTCAACCGTCGTTTGTGTACCTACTCTGTGCCTGTGCTGTTTAGGCATTGCTGATGCAGTGAGAACAGGGAACTTTCCTTTTAGAGTGGAGTGACAGGCATAAACAGAAAGAAACATGCAAATAGAGGAGTAATAAGTGACAATTTCAGGTGCAGCCAAGTTCTGAAGAGGAGTTGATAAACTTGGAGAGTGACTGCTTAGGTGGGTATTGGTTTCTTCGGCTGGAAGGTGAGGGAAGTTCTCTCTGAGGAGGTGAAATGTGAGTAGAGGATGCTAGTCTGGTTTTTGAATACTTGAATTGTGGTATTTTTCTTTTTTCGAGGGTAGGTTTCTGACTGTTTACCAATGTTGAACACATTGAAGAGTGCAGGTGAAAGAGTGACTAGGTAGGAAGATTTTTAGAGAGAACCTTATTCATATTCCACCCTTAGGATTTGAGACAGTGTACTTCATCTTAAAACAACAATAACATTCACATAGAATTAATATCATCTTTATGATATTATCTTTATGTCCTCTGGGGTATAAATATTGGAAAACAGAAAATTTCAAGTAGATTTTCTGAATAATGAGATGATTCCTGAGATCTAAAAATGCCTAATATTTGGTATTGATAGAAGCTTTGCTTGTCAAATTCAGTGCTTTTTTTTTTTTTAATGGTTATGTGACTGTCCTTTTTGCTCACTTTCGAATGTCATAGTGAAACATTACTAGGAAATCCTGGAGAGCAGAATGAAGAGCTGATAGATGTCTATATCCATATCTAAATACTTCTATATCTTTTTGTGTGTTACACAGTATTATTAAGAGATTCCACATAGCTAGGATTTTAGTGAGCTCATCACTTTCTGGGCTGATTAGTGGAATTTAATTATTTCATGATTCCAGCCAGTTAATGTATCATAGCCACAACTCTTTGTTGTGTCCACTACTTAACTGAAGGTAGAGAAAAATGACTGGTCTAACCAGCAGGTCTTTTTGCTATAATTTTAAACTTACGTTTTAAGGTTAGGGAAGTGGCTCAGGATTTGAGAGGCAGTTTGGTATAGTGGGAAGAACATGCATTTACAGGTGGGTGACCTGAATAAGCCCTTCTCTCTTGCTGACTGGCTCTGTGACTTTGGCTTAATTCCTCCTCCTCCTCTCTGTTTCTTTATCAATTTGCAAAATATGATTGGATTAGGTAGGCTTCAAGAGCCCTTCCTGGTCTGTGCTCAGTAATTCTGTTCATTGGCGCAAATGTAGAAACTATTTAGTTACATATTCTAAGTTCCCTGACAGTTGTTTTAATAGCAGAAAAGATCAATGCTGTGGTTGTTTTTTATGAAGATGTGCGTAAAAACAGAATGTTTAAAAAAGTTGTAATGATATACATCTGTTTGACTCATTGGTGTTAGGTTACCCATGGGAGCATTTAAATTGTGTAAAACTTTATGTTCCAAGTTTAAGAAAGACAGTGATGTTTTGAAATTTAGCTAAATAGACTGAAATAACCAGCATAAAGAGGAGATGATCTCATGATAAAAATTTAGAACTGAATAGCATTAGGGGAAATTCCTAATGTAGATGATGGGTTGATGGGTGCAGCAAACCACTATGGCACGTATGTACCTATGTAACAAACCTGCACATTCTGCACATGTATTCCAGCCTTAAAGTATAATAAAAAAAAATTAGGACTGGAAGGGGGCCTAATGGTCATGGTATATGTTTAGCCCTTATATTTTATTCTTGAGGACACAGGCTCCCAGAACAAGAGAGGTTCAAGTTCATAGTTGATCTGGGCTGAGCTGGGTGGCTGTACTCCCCTACTCTACCCTTTCCTCACTTTAAGACAGATTCCAGCAGCGCTGTCAGTTCCTCAAAGCATCCTTTCTGGATTCAATTTGAAGCATGTGGCTCTCTTGCTGACTAATGGCCCATGGTGGTTTTTGGAAAAATATTGCTTACTCTCTTAGTTCCTCTCACCTCACAGTTGAATGGATAATGCATTTTGCAAGACTTTTTTTTTTTCTTTTGATGCTTCACAAAATGTATTTTTATTGGCTCTCTCAACCAAGGGTTCTTAACCTAGGGTCCACAGATGGAGTTCGGGACATTCTTGAACTTAGATGGGGGAAAAACATGTCTTGATTTTCATGATATTCAAACTGCAGTTTAGCATTTTCATTCACTTATGAGTGTAGGCAACAAAAAGACTTGCTGCTAGATTTTGTTATTTAATGCATTATTACAGAAGTGCACATGTGTATAGCAATTTAAGACTTTTGATATTTAAGTATAAGTGATTCCAATTGTAATCCTTTGTATTTTATTTTGTATGTTTAAAAACATTAGTCTGAGAAGGGCTCATTACATGTCATCAAACTGCCAAAGGGATTCTTGGCACAAAAAGAGGGTAAGAACCTCTACAAATGAAAATTTATAAATATGACTAAATATGACTGAAAAATGAAGTATTTTAGTAGAAATTGATAAGCTCTACAAAAGGAGGTAGATACCTGCCTCATTTCCTTTGGATGATTCAGTGTTTTGTTAGGTAAGACAAAGAGGGGTATAGTAGCTTGTAGAGTTTATGGTCTTTTTTTTTTTTTTAAAAGCAGGTCCCACTTTCTGTATGCTTTTTGTTGTTGCTGTAACCTCAGCACTTTGCCTTGACTACTCCACCCTTTGGTGGCAATAAGAAACCTTCAAATATACCCTAACACTTTTCCTTTTCTCATCCTCCACTCTAATTTGGGCCCAAAGACATCAAACATTAGTATCTTTTATAGACTAAAAGGTCTTTGAACTTTAAAAAAATTTATAAAACAAAATCTTTACTGTAGCTCAGCATGTGGGGTGATCTGAAGAGCTCAGATCTGTTTGTGTGGATGGAGTGTCTAATTCTGTGGGCTATTAAGGGTTACGGTGTTACTGGCTTTGAGTTGCTATATTTTCCTTTACTAACTTTAGCCTTGTTTGGAATATGTGGCTGTCTGTGTTGCTGTGTGGTTTCTGGTCTGGCTTTCTCAGATTTATTTATTTCTCTCTTTAACACACCAAGACTGAAAGCTTCATTAGGTCTTTTCATTTCTGGTTGTGTTTCATCCTGTGATCAATATTTGGGGATGCTGTGTATAAATGAAAGTAAAACAGGCTTGATTCAGGTTCAGTAATTTTACCAAACATTTTATCGAAAAGATAAAATACTTATGCACAAAGGACCAAAACAAAACAAAATAGCCGTTGCTATATTTGAGGAAGACCAATATTGTCACATTGGAGCACTGGTTTTATATCTGCTGTGCAGGGCTTGCAGTGTGGCCTTCCTGAAAGTAGGTATATGGGGTTGTAGGTTGGCTTTTGAATGGAGACAACAGCAACTTGGTAGACCTCATTGGTATGGGAGAAAAATAACTGTGAAAAGGAATTTATAATGTCTTTTGATTTAATTAAACGTTTCTCCTGGGGTGTGCAGAAATCTATTTTATAAAAAGAAAAGTAAAGGTTAGAATAATTCAGTTATTAGTTCTTACTGAGCTTATTGTCACCTTCATCTTCTGGAAAATAAAATAATAAGAGCAGAAAGTGCTTCATATTTCTTAGCTTTGTCTAAATCACCTGTTCTCAACCACTGTCTCAAGTACCTCATATGTGATGATCAGTCTTGAGGGTATGTGGCCAGTAATTTATGACAAGTAATAAAGTGTGGATCTTTCAAATGATTCAGATATGTCATGTTAATAATGTCATTTTTCACCCTTTTGCATTCTGATGTGTTTTCTCAAGTGGGAGAGAAAGGGGTGGAGTTACATCAGGCAAGCCAGGAATGTATGCATTCAGCAAATATTTATTGGCTGTCTACTCTTCCAGGCATGAGGAATACAGCTAGGACAAGGCAGACACATTCCTTTTCCTGGTGAACTGCTCTCTTATTTTTGTCCCAGCCTCTTTGTGAATAACCGTTACTGATACATGGTTCATTTATTTATTCCCCAAATATTTGAGCATCTGCCACTTGTCAGATGCTGTGGATTGCACTAAGGGATACGCAGATGAACAAGACAGTCATGGTCCCTGCTGCTGCAGCACTGACAGCCTAGCTGGAAGACCTGAAGGCTGGGATGGTGGATGTGTTAGCAGGGTCCCCTAGCCATGTGCCAGGATGAGATGGGGATGACCACGATGGAGATAAGAGGGAAGGAGTGCTTTCCGAAGAAGGTTTGGAGTATTCTGCAACCTAGAGATGAAAACGTGCAGCTACTTTGAGGAACAGAGAAACACTCTTTATGGCTAGGAAAGAATGATTGAATGAAACATTGTGAGGGATGATGATGGGGGGATATCATGAAGGGCTTATAAGATATTGGAAGGGGTTTGGACTTTACCCTAAGAGCACAGGAGACTGTCTCAGGGTTTTGCTAGTATGAGATGGGAGTGAAGAAAGCCCTCTGCTCTTTGCAGAGTGGAGTTGGAAGGCACAGTGGAGTTGGAAGGAGAAACTGAGGCTGCAGCCCAACAAGGCAGAGAGAGAATGGAGTGTGAGCTAGAGGGCAGCTGTCTTGCTTCTAGTTCCTGGTTCGGGTACCTCCTGAGACCTAGTTTCGTGTGATTGACCATTCATTCAGTGACTCAAGATACTGACTGAGGACCAGCACTGCTCCCAGCCCTGGGCTACACCAGCAAACAAGACAGACAGCTGCCCTTCCTGCCTGCTTGGAGCTTACCTTTTTTTGAGAGAGGTGAGCAAGCAAAGGAGTAGATAAAAAATGGAACTTCAGAGACTGCTGGGAGGAAACTAAAGCAGGATAAGGAGGAAGAGAGTTATTGGGTGGGCAGGGGGGGGGTGAATTGGCAGGGTGAAATGCTAGGGATAAGGTAGTGGGGGATCCTTTTGGACAAAATAATCAGGAAAAGCTTTTCCGAGAAAATAGTCCTGTGTCCTTTGAGAGTCCCCACTTCTTTCGGTTTTTACTTACTTTTTTTTCTGTTTAAGCCACCTTGAGTGGGTTCTGCTCTTTCAATCAGAAGATTCCAAGTATCCCGTTAAGAGGCAACGTATATAAGCAATTTACTGAAGGGAAAAATAGAAGTGTAAACAAATACAAGGGCAGATAGTTAAGTATCCCTGGACAAAAACGTGGTTCTGCCCTCTGTGCTGCTTGCCATGTGCCCAGAGTGGCCATTGAATTCCACCAGAGCGTATTGCCCCTTGAGGGTAGGAACCTTGACTTCCCCCCTCCTTGGAATGCTGGGCTTCCCTTTCTGGTGCATGTTAGGTACTCACTGAGCCTCTTGGAGAAATGGATTTCTGTGGCACACCCTAGTTTGCCACCCCACATGGAGATGTGGCCAGGGCTTAGTGAATGTTTCTGGACTTGGAAGGAGCACTCTGCTTCTGTAGCACAACTGCAGTTTTGTAAACAATCCTACCAACCTTTAGGGCCCAAGTCAAAGTTTCCCTGAGAAACTAAACATGTGCTTTACTGACATCAGATATTCCAGTTTCAACTTTTGTTTGTTTTTCTTTTTGTCAGTCACCTAGCAGTCATGTTGTCACCTGCAGAAAGTCCTGCCTTGAAGGGAAGCAGGCCATCTGTTCTGATTCCACCAGCTGCTCGGAGCTGCATTGCAGTGCGCCACAGTGGCGTTGAAAGGCTGTGGTCATTAATGCCTATTAATGATGGCTGGAAATACTGTGGCATACAAGCCTCTTGGATGACAGACCTAATAAATATGCATCAGGGGGCATTTTCAGCAGCAGGTTTAAGGCTATTGCGAGTCATTCTCGATTGAGGTTTTCTTTCTAGCCATCCGCATAATGCTTCTCACTCTCAAACACTTCACTCTGCTTATCCCTGCTTTTCTGCTCATGCAGAATCTGTTTTTAGGATAAGAAATCATTGTTTCAAGCTTTGTACTTCCATTCTTATTAGTACTGGTTTAACAGAATTTAACCAGAGCGAGCAGTTGTGTGTTTGGCTTCTAGGCTATTGGTATAAAACGGCTGATCGTGATTACCAAGTGCCTCGGAGGACCTCGGTGGCCCCCCTCCTTTCCCATCTTGTGCTTCCTGCTCCATGATTATAGAACACTAATTATAATCAGAACTGGTGATGGGTGAGCAATTAGGCTTTTCTGGACTGATGATTGATTGATGGATTGATTGATTGATTGCGTTGGGGAAAGGCCCTTCCTGCGGAAGGATTGTAGACACAAAGGAGTGTGCTTTCACACCAGATCCCAGAAAATTATGCTGACTAGATCCTTGATGTAGTACATAAGATTACATTATGGTTTGGGTACTTTCATCACATGCTGTGGATAGAATTCAAAATGCAACCTGACAAGACTGATAGGAAATAAATTCATTAAGTTTTTATTGAGTTGTTTTTTGTCTCCTCGGGTTGTTGATCATTCTAGTGAGCACAATTTCAGCCTTTTTGATGAGTTATTCCAAACATTAAGTACTGTACGGTTTGAAAATCTTAGCTAACAAAAGCATTTTTGGAGTGGCTTTATAATTTATAAGTCATCTGCAAGTCTTTTTGCATTTGTTAATCTCCAATATTATCTGAAATTTGTTGAGAGCGTGGCAGTTGAAGAATAGCCTAGCTTACTGAGAACCATGCTTCTGGCAGACTGGAACATAAGCAGCTTTCACCCAGGAGAGCTAATGCATGACACAGATTTTCAAGCTTTTAAAGGTCACCTGACATGAAATAACAGAACTAACAGAGATTCGAGTAGGTGGGGTAATCTATACAAGCATCCTGCAGGTACAGGATGGTGGAAGGACCAGAAGAATGTTTTAACACTGCATTTGGGTGGTTAAAGGACAGGATGAAGAGCTCATTTATATTGGTTGTACCTGTCTGTGACTGTCGGCAGTAAGAAGGTAGTACAGTTCCTGAAATACTTTATGTCTCCTCCACACCATGGAGAACAGTTCTGTGTTGGTGAGAAGCAAGCCAAGGCAGAAGATGGCTCTTGTGTGGTGCAGTTTACAAAAGAGAGACAAAATTTGATAGCAGCCACTGCTGCCAGCCACCTGCACAGCACTCAGGGTTGGGAGAGCTACAGGCCTAGAATCCACTGGTTACTGCCTCCAGATTGAACACTTTGCCATAGAAAGAAAATGAAAACATTCCTCTAGTAGCTAAAGTGAACGTAACTTCTGAAATTTCCCCAGATTCTGTTTGGGGAATTTTAGCATTTTTCATTTCTAATGAGAGGGACTAAAAGATGTGAAATCAAAACTTTTGCATTCAAAATTGATCAACTGAGTGTAAAAGAAATTTAAATAATTGAACTTCCAGATGATGTTAAGTCTGTTGCTTTTATAATTTTGTTGTTTTTAAAGCTTAAAATTACACTAAGAATTTTGAGATGCATGTGTGTATGTATATATTTTATTGCATGTGTGTTCTGCATGGGTATATTAAAAATGGGATTCATTGATCCTGCACATGGACCCCTGAACTTTAAGATGAAGAAAAAAAAATGGGATTGCCTGTACATACTAGGAATTAAGCACTATCTAAACATACACACTAAACACTGATCATTCAGTTTGTGTTAGGTGATGCTGTTGTTGCTGTTTTACGAGGCTGATTTCACTTCAGAGGACTAGGGGTGGTGGAGCCTACATAAGGAAATGCCCCCCAGGGGTACACAGTCTAAGGGCAAGACAGATGACTTAGCAACAAATCATTAATTAGGGTGTAGCGGGATGGTGGGCGAGAGCTCTGGGCATACTATATGCCAGGTTCCGTTAGGTGGTTTACATTATCCTTTCCAGGAGTTCAAATTTATTATCTGGGCAATGAGGCTCCAGCTTAATGACTTGTCCAAGCTCACTCCCCTAGTTAGTGGGAATCTGATTAGAAGGTAGGTCCTTGTGGCTCTCTTGCTTGATTATTTCCACCAGGGTGAAGGTGAGAGGCATGTGTATTGCTGGGAGATTGGGAAAGATTTCCTGGGGCAGTTGGCCTTTAGCAGAGCCTTGAGAGGTGACCTGGGTTTTTTATAGAGCAGTGGTAGTAAAAGCATGGCGATTTTGGAACCTTGAGGGGTATGGCTGGAGGCTGAAGTACTTGGGGAGGGAGGTGAAGTTGGAAAGTCAGGTTGGGGTATTGTTGGGGTATTGAAATATTTGGGCTAGGGTTATAGTAGGTAATCTCAGAGTGGTCCCTGCCTTCATGGAGCTTACAGTCCATCAAGAAGGAAGCCCTTTAAGCAAACCTGGCAAGGTGCTGCCAAGGAGAAGTACAGGGTTTCGTGTACAGTAGGGGACAAAATTTGTTTTTGGGGGAGGGCAGGTTTTTGTGGGGAGGGAGGGAATTCTATGTCAGCAGAGGTAGAAAGGGTGAGTTAGCTAAGGGTTAGCAAGGGGAAAGCAGAGTACCTGAAGGCACATCGAGAGGTTGAGGGGCTGAGAGGCTGAGGGATATCCAGTGCCTTTGGAATTGAAGGGGTGAGAGGGCCTTTGTGATGAGAGAGACTTGAAAGGAAGGACCTGGGCCCAGTAAAGGCTGTGGCCTCTGGGAGGGGGAAGCCCTGCTAATAACATTTCAAGGCATTATTGCAGACTCTAGGTAGCAGGCAGTGTCAGCCTTCTGAGTAGGTTAGTGAACTAATCCTTAGGACCCAGTCTTGCTTGAAATCTCCAAATAGGCTTGTTTTCCCTTTTGTAATTCATTTCCCTCCTACCTTTGTCTCTCTTCCCCTGCCAAAGAACAGTTGCTCACAATGGGCGTAGCCCCCTTCTGTGCGATGGCAAGGGTGAGGTGAGATAACGTGATCCATTTAATTATTTGGGCACTCAGTGGTTTGATTTTGAAACTTGTGCTGGAACCAGTGAATGTTTTGGGGTTAAACTCCACTGGCAGAGCAGTTAGTGATCCAAGAACTCTTTCCTGTTACCCATTCAGACAACTGTGCCTCTGGAGCCTTGCTTTCCCTGGAGGCCCAAGGGATGGGGTCCTGAGTGCTTTGTCCCCCAAGAAACGAGGAGAAGGACCCATAGCCCTGTGCTCTTTCCTGCATGGGAGGATGCACAGTGTGCCCACCAGCTAGGGGATCGCCCTCAGGAGGCAGAATGGGCTGCTTTTCCTCCAGGCTGTTGTTTCAAGCAGGGATGGACTTGTCCCTCTGCCTTGGGGTCTTGGCTGTCTCTTGCTGAGCTATGGCAGCAATAGTGTGGAGCAGGTGAGGACTGGCATTTAGCCCCCAGACCAGCCCCTCTGAGGGTGTAATTGATCCCATTGCTGGAGAAAAGAGCAGAGCAGATTTCTGGCCTTGCAGTGTTTGCTGCAGGTGGTGGTCTTGGATCACTGAGGGGCTGCCCTGCTTGGCCTGGTCGTGTTCCCATCTCAACTTCTGCCATTTCTTCAGGGTGCTCCTTTTGAATTGAAGTGGAGGTCCCTGGCCAGAACCTGCAGTTAAAAATGATCCTTAAAGAGGAAGCATCGAGATCTGAGTTTTTTTTTTTCTTTTCCTGAGGAGATGAGGAAATTCTGGCTAGACTCTTGCTGCTTAGTGGGTTGGTTCTTCCTGCTCCTTGGGGGAGGTCCCCAGAGGGCTGGCTCCTGAGCCCTGATGGTATCTGTCCTTTATTGAGTGCTGATTCTTAGCTGGGTTCTTTGTAAAGTGCTATTCGTGTGTGGCCTCTTTAAATGTTTAGCAAGGGAGGTAGGTACCATCACTCATCATTTTATGCATGAAACTGAGTCGTGATGCTTGAGAAGCTTGTTCAGGGCCACATGTGACAGAGTGCTGATTCGAACCTAGGTCTTTCTGACTCCAAGTTGTTCAATCCTGCCTTTACTGTGTGTGTTCCAAAGCAGTTTTGTATGTTTTTATTTTGTTTTTTTTTAACCAAACCCTTGCCATACTGGGTATTCTCATTAAACATAGTGGTGTAAAACTTCACTCATTCAAAGAAGTTACCAGTAAGGTGAAATGTTTTTTCCTTGGGTTTACAACTTATATTAACTTTTTTGGGAAGTTGCCCACATATGCGCTTTGCCCACATAAGTATTGTGCTCCTAGTATGTTTTCAGAAAATTAAATGTCTGTTTTTGAGGAAATAAAAATGAATCCTTATATCTTCCCTATTTACCTGAATATATTATATATAATTATATATCATATTGAATTGATGCATCAATATGATTTGGATGTTGGATAAAGGCAGGAAAAGCTGCCTTTGTCATCCAAAGTAATAAGTTCATTTCTCTAGTTTTCAAGATGATCCATTTTGTTCCTCCTTCCAGAAAAGCTGTCTAACCTTATTAGCTGTGGCATGTACCCTTGAAATCTTTCTTCTTGCTTTTGTTGCTGTCGTTGGTAATTTAGGCTAGCATTTGTATTTCGTTTATAGTTTGGAAAAGGGGCTTCAAGTACTTTTCCTCTCTAATAAAGGTCTATCTTTGCCTGGGACTAACGTCGCTGTTATGTTGATTTTTCCTTTCTTGTCTTTTAATCTTCCTGTTAGTATTGATTAAGGGAAAAGTCCATATAGCTCCTATCTCCTCACTAACAGTACTTGGTATAACTTGTTCCAGCAGTGGCACTTGGTTTAGCTAATCCAAAAAGCATAGTCCAACAGCAGTCCAGGAAAAGTGCCTTTTATTTGCTTATTGTATTAGCTTAGACCAGGTGCCAGCTCTAAGGCTTTGATGAAACTCAGTTGATTTAGACCCTTCTGAGAGCTGGCATAGCTTTACACTGTATAGTTTGAACCTTCCTGTGAGAGCAGTTAAGCCTTTTTGGTTACATAGGTGGTGAGGTACATATGACCCAGAGTTTCTGAAAAACATTCTGAGCAAACAGGCATCTTGAGATATCAGTTGGTAAAATACCAAAGGACAAATACAGCATCTTCATAAGCAGTATTAGATGTTATATGGGAAAAACCAGAGACCTGGAAGCACTGCAGGGAAGTAATTCAATCAGCAGGTTCTGCTAATGTAATAAGCGACACAAGGGTGAAACCTGAGTAGTTTACATGTACCAGAAATGCCCTTCAGTTGAATTATTGTCTTATCATGGTTGCCTGCCTGTGCACTACTGTTATGAATATTAAAAGACAGCACAGCTCACTTTTTCCCCAGATGGAAAAGGCCCAAATCTTCATCACCTTAGTAATTTGTTTCCTCCTCTTCCCACTCCTTACCGCCTTTAGTCAAAGCTCATGCTTTGGGTTTATTACTTAGAAATCTTGTCCGGGATAATAAAGCATACAGACTTGGTGTTGTATAAAAACTACCACACTCCAGCCTGGGCGACACAGTGAAACCCTGTCTCAAAAAAATGAAATAAAACTGCTCTTTAATCGTGCCGAGTTCAGGAGAGAGTTGCTTCTCTCTTTGCGGTAGTGAGGAGGGCTGGGCGGAGGGGATTTCCCCCTCACTGAATTTTCCTTGCTCCTGTGCAATTTACTAATTATAAATTAGTAAATTGAACTGCAAGTCTCTTGCCCAGTGTGAGAGGCTTATAAAGGGGCCCAGGCTCCTGCCACATGCCATATGCTCCTTTACAGCAGCCCTGGAGGAGGAGATGCCATCCCATTGAACAAATGAGGAAATGCTGATGCCCAGACACTGAGTGACTCGTGTGACTCTGCACAGTCAGTAAAGGATTTTGAAGTTCAGGAATTTGAATCCAGGTCTCAGATTCTAAAGCTCAAGTGTATTCCACTTCTCAAAGCCTGTGTATACATCTTATGTTTGTATCAGGACTTTACAAGACTGGAGGCACTTCCCTAAGGCTGTATCATCGTCCATAATAACTTTTGATAGAGACCAGGAGGATGTAACTTAATGTTTTACATTAAGGTCCGAAGTTGTGATGATAACAGTGGAAATGCTGGAGAGTTCCCTGTGGGACTCCTGTCGTGGGGTGGATAGCTGTGTAGGCGGACAGCCCTGCTGGAGTCACCCCCGCCCTGCTGCTTGATGGCTTGGCCTGCTTATGTTCGTGTTCTGTTCTTCCCTCCCAGACCCACGGAAAGGGTCAGAGGGTGCCTGCCCCTGTTTTTCCTGTTACCTCCATTCAGATCAAATCCAGACAATAGAGCTCATCTCCCTCAGGAGAAGGGCTTTCTGTAGCCCTTTCAGCTCAGTTTAAGTGACTGTTTCTCTGATCTAATTGGGTCTTTTTATCTACTTGAACACTCACCATGTTGGTTACCATAAATCACGCCCTCTTTGATTTTGCTTGTGAAATTAATTCACCCCAGTTTTCCCTAGGTTAAGCCAGTTTTAAGTTATCTCTCATTGATTCCTACAACTTTCAGATGTGAACACTAATCATTAACACAGATCATTTAGCTTTCTTCGCTAAAAAATTTGTAAATGGGATTTTTTTCTTAAGGCAGGCCATTTATATTTAGGTAATATTGTATTAATTTAAAAGGCTGTATACTAAATGGTATATTAATGAAAATTTTGGAAGAAAAATTTTTCCAAATTTTGGAAAAATCCTCATTTTTCTTTAATCCATGATGCTAATATTATTTTCGTTTTTTTCACTTTCACTTCTAGTTATTGTCCATATACATATTTTCATACACCTCATTTTAAACATAATATATGTGCTTCTTTTTAAAGTGTTAGCCAACTGACTTTCATTTTTAGAGAATTTAATTAATGCTAAAAATCATTTAAAATAAGCCAAATATATTTTTTCTTGATCAGAGTGAGGTATATGTTAATAGGTGAATACAAGTCTGCTTTTTTTCGGCAAGTTGAGGGGGCAGCATCAGGAATTGCCATGTGATTTCTAAGGTCTCTGTATGTTTTAACAGGATATATGGGAGAAGGAGAAACAGGGTGCTGTCCTCTGAGAGCTTTAGAAGATCTCTGAAAGACTCAGTATGTATGCACAGGGCATGGCTTCTGAAAATAAGTCTATTAGGTACTTAGAGGAAAGGACACTACATTTTACACATGTCCTGCCCAGGCAAGCTCGGGATCCAGTTTTCTGCCCTTGGGGCCTTTCCCCCACCCCCGTTACATGTTCATGTAACTTTCTTCTTTTTCTTCATCTTTTGTGCTTTGGCACATGCAACTCCCTCTGCCTGCTACAACCTGCTCAACTGATAGGATTTAGCCCAGGTGTCACTTCCAGCGTGATGCCCTTCCTGAATCCTCCCCCTTTTCCCTCCAGTCAGGAGCAAGGATCTCTAGTGAGCTTTCTGTGCCCTGTAAATGTCCCCTCCTTCAAGCACCACGACAGGGCAGGATCTGGGGCTCATTCAGCTGCCATCTGTCCCAGTACCTGGTGTACCTGGCACTACATGGAGGGTCAGAATGGATTGGAAATATGAACATTCTTATAAGGATGTCTTCTTCCTTCTTTTTGCTGTACCCTGCTGTAGTTTTTAAGAATGTATTATTTACTTTAAAATAGGTACTTAGCTTATTTATATTTCTTTATAAAGAATGCTTAGTTTATTTATATTTCTTTATAAAGAATGTGTCTTCCAAGGTAAGGTAGATTGTAAAATTCTTCAGCACATAAATATAGTAAGTACTCATTGACAATTGACTGTCTGGTTATAAAGTGAGATGGTGATAAATTTTAAAGTTTCCTTTTAAACTTTAAGAAAGAGAAGGGGTTACAGTCATGAGTACAGAGATGTGGCCTGAAGCTGACAGTAATTTCAGCTTTTTGCCTTAAATGATCTTTCTTAGTATGTAGTATTAAAGTCTCCCCAGAAAAATCAACAAACTGAAACATATTTTGACAGTGATAAAGCTTTATTTTTACTCAAAATTAGTTGCTCTGGTTTCTTATCTTTTCACTCTGAAGTCACAGATAAATACTGTATTATTTTTTCCTGATAGTTATCCATCTGGCTTTTGTATTTATATGCTTGTATTTATGTTTTCACTCTGAATCTTTTGCTTTTCAACTCCTTTCCTTTGATTCTTAGAGAACTTTGTGCTTATAATCTATATGTGATATTTGCTGTTCAGCCAATTTTGATGTATTCTTTTTTCATGTCCCTACAAAAATACTTGCTATTTGTTGACTTTTTTGCCTCCACTCTGCTCCTATGTTGAGTGCAGCTTGTTGTATTTGAAGCAAGACTGCTGGAGTGATAACCGTGAAAGCCAACTTCAGTTTATTTTTTTCTCTCTTTTTTAAAAAAAATCATTATGAGGAACCAGTAATCTTGTCAGTAAACTATTTTTTTTTTTTTTTGCTGGAGAGAGTTGAATATAGCAGGAAAATATAAACCATCTTTTTTGTGTTTTTCTTTTATTACACCATCCCCCAATCCAATTTCCCAACCTGACTTCAGTTCGTAGAATTCTCAAATGAATATTCATCTCCTTTCTCCATTTCTAATCTAGTTTTTATAGGGACCATAATGGATAATGAAATTTCTAAAATTCAACTTACTGATAGGATTTATAACAAATAAAAAGGGAAATGTAATATTTTTAAAAATTACGTGTATAGTGGAGAGCAGTGTGGTGGCATAAATTATTCTGCATTAAAGTTCTTGGTCTTAATGGTGTCTCTGCAACCCCAGAGCTGTAGTATAACTGTGAAAGCTACACAGACACAAATCTGGTTCTGTGAGCATGTGTGCTGCCGCGTGAGGGCCCCGTGAGTAGAAGGGTGAGGTCTGCTGCTCAGTGTGTGTGCACACACCTTGGGAGTAAGCCACAATCCAAATGATTTGTGAATTGTGGCTTTGGGAAGTGGCTTAATGAATTTGTTCATTTAGTTTTGATTGGATTATAATAAGAGACTGTCTTATGGTGAGTATCTGGCCGATTATTTTTTGCCTTGTAGATTTTCTTAATGGTGTGTAATGGGCGCATGCTCTCAATAAAAAATGATGCAGAAATTGCAGATATTTTCTCTGATAAATAATCCTCAAGGATGGTAGCTCAGAGATTTTGAGGGCATGTTGGTGGTTGATGAATCAGTTTATTATTGAAGATCTCTCAAGTGAGATTTCTTCAAGAGGTGACATCTTTTGGCTTTCTGTTACAAATGTATCAGCTACACATGGTGACTATTATTAAATTGAAAACAGCCTTTATTTTTCTGATAGACTATTTTTCAAAATCTGGAACTGTTGTTTCTTCTGGACCAAAAGTAACTTGGTGAAAAAAAGACCAAGACTAACAGTGTAATATGCTGTATGTTTTGCTTGCTAAGAAAACTTGAGTGGTTAACAACCTTGGCTTTATGTAGTAAAGACCTCTGTTAACTGGAATGCTTCAGAAGAGGCATGCTTTTGGACTGTGGAAGTTTTAGGTTAACTGATGATTAAGCAGAAATCTTTGTAGAGGATTTTTTTTAAAATTAGAGTTTGTGATTCTGCTTTTTCTAACACATCATATGGAGTCTGCTTGCATCTTTCTTTGATGGATGAGGCTTACCTCGTTGATCTTTCTGAACATTAGTGATTGTTGAATAACACTGTAAATTTAAAAGATGTAGAAAACTGGGACCCAACAGAATTCTCTGAAAATCCCATTTATACATGTTATTCTTATAGATAAAATTAAAACTTAAAAATCAAGTGTTAAAGGATGTTTAGCTCTCTGTAAGGACAGATTGTAGGGAAGGCATTTCTGTTATCCAGGGTTCCACTGGTTCACTTAGATTCTGCGTATTTGAGTTTTTGAGTATTTTCAAGGGGGTGTGGTGGAATGTTGAGGTCCACAGTGTCTCTGGTCACACCCGGAGGTTCTGGATTTAGATAGCATGGCAACAAAATAAATATGTTTACTTGGTGCATCTGCGGTGCTTATAATTTAGAAGCATCACTGCTGTCAGATTATATTTTTAACCTTTTAAACTGGCATTTCCTTGTAATGCATTGGGCTGTTGAAAATGAGATTAAATCAGGGTTTCAACTGAGGAGAATTGGGACCAGAAAGCAAAGCTGGAGATGTCATATGTGATATATCATTCTTCAGAGCTGTTTAGTTAGAGGGCTGCCTTTTGTTTAAATAAGAATAAAAATAATAATTGGCTACCTCAGCCCACTGACCTTGGAAATTGTTACATCCTCTGATGTAATTTATTAGTGTAACTTAGTGAGTGTCAGGGGTTTTAATTGATGCATAAAGCGCAGAATTTATGTGGGACTCCTGCCATGGGTCTCACTCTAAAGTTGAATGTGTCTTTCTTTTCCTCTTTTTCTCCTCTTTCTCCTTCCCTTTCACCATCCCTCCTCTTCCTCTCCCTTCTCCACTTCTTCTCTTTGTAATTGTGCACTCTGAGATCATTACTTTCCAGGTAGACCTTGGCAGTTTGTCTTTGGCAGTTTCTTCTAGGATACATGTGGAGAAAAACCCACCAATATAGAATTAGTGTGTTTCTCAGCTTCTTGAAAAACTGCTTCACACTTCCTTGCCTTCTAGTTAGAGGTGACAGTGTTATGCCTGGCTAGTGTCTAGTCTTATGTTGACTGGACAGGTTTGCTTGGGTGTTACTGAAACAAAATGAGTTTTCACCTACCCAGTAGAAACCTGTACTGCATAAGAGGTAACAGTGTCAAGTTTACAGCTAGGAGTTAAAGATGGGATTTGTAACCTCTTTCAGAAAGTTTTATGTCTCATCATTAACACAAGCCCATAGTAACCTTTTTTTTTTGTCTTAGAAGAGAAAGGCTGTTGAGTGTGTATAGTAAGATGAATTTTTCATGTGAAATTTGAGAAGTGTCTTTCTCAGTCATTGGAATGGGTAACAGAGAAAAAAATGAGCTTTTTGGACCACATAGCATGTCATTGCTCTGCCTCTGGATTAAAGTGGAGGAAAAGAATGAAACCCTATGCTACCTAGAGCTTAGCGGGTCATTGGATCCTGTCCCATTGCCAAAACAGCAGACTTTTTTCCAGGTTCCCTTGACGGTACTCTGACCCTGGTTCCTTATCACCTCCAGAATGTTGCTGATTTGAATGTCTTAAGTTTGATTCTTCTGCTGGAGATCAGGCTCATGCATATAGAAAGGAGCAATGTAGAAAAGTGCGTCGTTTCCCCTTCTAGGGGAAATTGCTTCATAACTGAGCAATATAGTTATGAAAAAACACTCACATTCGTGTGTGGAGCTCTAATTTGACCATCAGTTGTTTAAAAAGCAAGATTGTGCGATCACATTTGAGGCTGATGGATTTAAGATGTTAAATTGTTCTGAGTTTATTTAAATTGCTGATGTGCTTTAGGGAGTCGAAAACATTGATCGTTGCAGAGAGTTCAGAAACCTTTAAGAGTAGTGCTTGGATCATTCTCGTAGAGCTATTAGTTGATGTCACATATTTCAGTTTGAGGTTGGGATGAGCTTGCTTGCTCTGGGCTGTGGTTCCTTGCCTGACATCACTTCTTTACCTGAGAAGTTATGGGAAGCTCCCAGGTGCACATTTCCCTTGGGCTGTCTTGTGGCTGCTGTCTTTGCTGCCTCTGTATCCGTGGAGGAGGGTGCTTTGTGTGCTCGATACTCCGCGATGTGGGTCAGCCAGGCTGCATGCCTTACCTCTCCCCAGCCCGCTCTCGCTGCACCGGCTTGCCACTGATGCCTGCGTCTGTTAGGTGCTCACCAGAGCGTTACAGGGCTCAGAAAATGGCTTTCTCTAAGAAATGGCTGTTTTTGTTTAAAGTAGTCATTTTCCATGAGGAGGTAAAAGTAACTTCAGGAATATTCTTTGAAAATTGTACATGTATTTGGCAAAAAGTGCCACATCTCAAAACAGATAGTGCATTTCTACATAGATTTTGACACAAATTTCCATACACTTGGAGTTAGAGTCTGATTGTGGAATTAGAAAACACATTTTCCAGGATTTGAGCATTTCCTCTCTTAGGTGTCCCCTGCAACTTTTTAATCAAAGTACAGGTGATTCTGTGGTTCTTTTTTTTTTTTAAAGACTGAAAAGTATTCATGAATTATGTTCTACAGTATCTACCTTTATTAGACTATGAAACGACAGCTGCTTAATAGGAATATTATCGTTTTGACTTTTGTAACTTCGTAAAATGTCCTGTTTAGTACACTTAAGAAAAAGTCAGATCTACGATTAGTGACGTGTGAATAATAATGGAATATTAAAATTTTAGAGGTTTCATCCACCAAGCCTGTCTTAGCATTTATTCCATTTCAGACTATAACTGACTTATGGCATAACTAAAATATATAGTAAGCACATTGTTTTCGCATATTGTCAGTCTAGTAATGTCTGTCATTCATTCACTCAGCTTGTGTGAAGTCTCAATAGTGTGATTATGGAAACGCTCAGTTCAGGTTGAAACAATGATTTCTCCTGTGTTGTTGATTTGTTTCTTTTCTCAGGTGCCTTTTCACAGCCTGACTTTTACTTCTTTCCTGCTGACAAAGTTGATGAACATGTGGGAAGGCAATGGGAAAAAATGGGGATTACATGTGATTCAAGCTGTTCCAGCCTGACAGGGTACTGGAGGGATTTTCAGAATTGTGGAGACAGCTGGGTTGAGGGGGACTCACTGAATAAGCCACAGAATCCTTAATTATCTAACAATGTGCCTTGCTTCTCGCACACCCTAAATGATAGGGCATTACATACCCAATCACTTTCCTTGGTTTGGTGCTGGCTGGAGGTGGAGATAGAACGGGAGGAAGGAAAGGAAGACAGATGGGCCAAGGAAGGTGGAGGAGGAGGGAGAGGATGGGGGAGGAGAGAGACCTTGTGGGCTGCTGAATACAGTGGGATTGAAAAATAGTGGGTTTTCTTTGTGCTTGGTAGTTCTGTGATTTAATTGTCTTAGACTAGTTATGAAACTATGAAAATTGATTGATTTTTATATATTTGCTATGAGATTGCTTATTTTCTAAGGAAAGTACCCTGAAGTTTTTTGTTGCGCTATGACAGTTCATTTCTTATTGAACTGACTTCTTTCCCCCGTTTGTTGCTGCTTATTATTGTTTACTTTTCCTTTTCATTCTTCTTCTTTGGGTACGTTTTACATTATGGTTCATTAAAAAATTTTAGATTTACTTTTGTTAAGTACCTGAAGGTCTTTTTAAAAAAATTCTTACTGCCTTCTATGTTTGCAGCTTGTTCCCCCACCACACACACCTTTTTCTGTTTTTCTATGTTGCAAACTTTATTTTTTAAAGATAATTTTCTAAAAATATGATTCTGCTATCCAGTGAGACTCTACTAGCACAGATGAAAGAAAAACTGGGCCAGAAGTCCTCACAGTAATCATGTCACACACCACTCCCAATTCGGCAGTCTTTATAGCTGGTAAAATTCAGCTCCTTTCTTTGGAAGGGGTGATGCAAACCAGCTTCTTTACTAAAAAAAAAAGGTGAGATTTTAGTATTTGAAGTTCGTCATTTGTAGGGCAGCTCATTGCTGTTAAAATTTCTGGCTTTTCTGGCTTTCATCAGAAATGAATGATTAATTTATTCTGAAAATGGACCTTTCCTCCTTCCCCCTTCTCTTTTTCCTGCCTTGTTAACGTCTTAGCACATGTCTGAATGAAATGGAAGTATAGCTCTGTTGATTATAGCTAAATCACCCGTCATGCCTCAAACATGTATAATTTAGAGCTGGGTGCTTCAATTGAGTGCTGTTACATCTGAAAGGTTTATAATTTTACAGAATTGATGCACACTTCTCATGAATGTCGTCAGGACTTGTAAAGAATAGTTAATAACAGCCTCCTCCTCCCAAAACACAAGCAAATTCCTTCTACCCCATTGTACTTATTCATTTAAAATGAATTACAACCATATCTATGGTCACTTTAAATGAAAGCCATTTGAATATATTCTTGTTAGGTGCAAATTAATCTAATTTCTTCAAAAGTAGTCAAAGCAACAGTAGATACAACAATAATGTCTCCTTAAGTTCTATTTTGCCTTCACAGTGAGGTCTAAAAAGAAAAGGACATTAAATTTAAGCAAACCTTTGAAAACAACTCCTGTTTTGAAAACAAGTTTTTGAAAGTTTCTAAGTCAAGACTACCTACATTAAAGAGTTATATGCAGATGCCATACAATCCTCAGTAGGATCATATGCCTCTTTAAGAGGATGTTTGTCAACTTCTCCTTATGGAATAACGGCAGGGAAGAAGAATATTGAAGACTTAAAAGTACTTTTAGTTTTTAACTTTATCCCAAGGACTTAATAGTGTTTTCAATTTGAAATTTTGGTTTAACCACAAGATGGAAAAATTAATGATGCAAGAACTGGTGCCCACAGGATCTAATGGGCAAGTTGGGGGGTGACTTGGTATTATGGGAGCTTTGCTGTTCATCCTGAGGTACAGGAGGGAAGGCCAAGAGAATGGGAAAGATGCATGAAGCTGGCAGGTTTGCTGGCCTGGGCATGGGGTTGCTGACATAGCAGCTGAACATTGATTTCTATCCTTTTTCCCCTCGTACTCTATTGTTTAGTTGTCCTGTCTGCTGAGGAAAGCATTAGTTCAGGAGTATAAAAATAGTCGTTTTGTCTGGTTTGGTGAGAACCCAAAGGCTATGGCAAGGCTTGGACCATCAGGGAGGGATGGCTGTTCATAGTACTGAACAGTTTCCTGGGAAGTCTGGGATTCCGTTGCATAGATGAAACTAAAACTTGTTTCATTCAACTTAAGACAAAGTTTCCATTTGATTCATAATGAAAATGCTTAACATTTTCCAGGCATTATTCTGTTTACTGTGTGTATGGGTCCGGGAAAATTAAATGTAGGAAGAGACGACATCAGACCAGAATGTTGTATGTGCGCCCCTGTGCCCTCAGGGCTTTTGTCAGGACGGACGTTAGGACTGGCAAGGCAAGATTGGCTGGCACGAGAATGGCCAGTTGGGCAACTAAACATCTTTTCGTCTTTGGTCTGTTAGGTTTTTTCTGAGGTGGAATTTGCCTCACAGTTTTTAGGAGATAACTTATTTCATAGACCAGGTGTTAGCCCATTCTCATGTGGCTATGAAGAAATACCTGAGACTGTGTAATTTATAAAGAAAAGAGGTTTAATTGACTCACAGTTCGGCATGGCTGGGGAGGCCTCAGGATACTTACAATCATGGCAGAAGGCACCTCTTCACAGGTCAGCGGGAGAGAGAGTGAGGCAAGCAGGGAAAATGCCAGATGCTTGTAAAACCATCAGATCTCATGATGCTCACTCACTGTCATGAGAACAGCATGGGGGAAACCACCCCCAAGATTCAGTTATCTCCACCTGGTCCAGCCCTTGACACGTGGGGTTTATTACGGTTCAAGGTGAGATTTGGTTGGGGACACTGAGCCAAACCGTATCAGACCCTATTCCTGGATTTGAATTATAAACATTTCATGACAAGGAAAATTCCTTGTAGCGTTGTACAAAGGCCTTGATAAACTTAAACAAATGCAAAGGGTGTTGCTTGTGGCTATTCAGTACCATATCAGTGTAGTTCTGATCTTTTCCAGCTCTAGAGAGTTCTTTTATTGGCAGTGGTCTCTAAGTTACTGTGATTTGAGTCTGCCTATCCCCCTTGGAAATAAGACGTCACTGTGGGCTCATAACTTCAGATAGCGACACTGATCTCTGCTTCATCTGTAAAATTTTGGCTCACCCTTTAAAGTTAAAACAAACTCAAGGTTTCAAGTAAATAGGCAACAAATATATTACTCATTTAGAAATCTGTTGGATAGAATCAAGACATGCCACTTCTTGAATGCTATTATCTCTAAGTGGAGGCTTGCTCCTACCCACTGCACTGTCTGAGAATATGGTGGGCTTGCGAGAGGAAACTCCCACCGAGCCATTAGGCTCCCATTTACCAGTAACTGGGTGCCTCACAGTTGCTAAATTGTCAGAGTTAGGAATTTAATACTTAGAAGTGGTGGTGAGCTCCCTGCGTGGGGACAACATAGTAGTATCCCTAACCTAGAACCTGGCAGAGGTCTAGAATATTGTGGGGGCTTAGTAGAAATGTACTAAACAAGGAATGAATGAATCAGTCTTCCACACCCTTCTCTTTGCATACGCATTTACACATAATTACATATACATTTGTCCTTTACAAAATTCTCAAGTTTGATTTTTTTCCTTCCAGGCCAGTTTAGTTCCTTTTCATTGTAAATAAATAGGATGAGGTTATGGCATAATTTTTTTTAAACACTAAAGATTGCTATTTATAATACTTATTTTTAATAAAAATAGGAGTACATAGCCTTCATGTTTCAAATAAAAAAGATGAAAAAAACTACTGCCCTATTTTTTTTAAGATTAAAAAATTATAGGACCAGATTTAGATCTTTTTAAACTACAGCTTTTTTTCTTTGCTTTTCATTTTGATCTTATGTAAAAATTGTTCAACTATACAGAGAGTTCCCATATATCCTTCATGCTTCTTCTAATATCAGTTTTCATATTCATGGAAAAATTATGGAACCTGGAAATTAGCAGTGGTACAATATTATTGCTGAAACTACGGATCTTCTATGAATTTCACCAGTTTTTCCCCAATCCTTTTTTTTTGGTTCCACAATCCAGTCTAGTATCTCACATTGCATTGGTTGTCATGTCTCCTTACTCCCTTCTAATCTGTGACAGTTCCTCAGTCTTTCATGACCATGACTCTTTTGTTGAGTACTGGTCGGTTATTTTGTAGACTGCCTCTCAATTTGGGTTAGTCAGTGTGTTCTTGTGGTTAGGCTGAGGCTATCCAGTTTTGTCTAGAAGTCCACAGAAGTAATGTGTTCTTAGTGTATCACAGCAGGATACACTGCATACAAATGATGATGAAATGTCTTACCTTGATCACTTAGTGAAGGTGATGTCTGCTTAATTCTTCTCTGTAGTTATTATTGTTCCCTTGTAATTGATAAATATCTTGGGGGAGACACGTTGAGATGAATTTTCATGTTTTCCCTTAGACTTTCACCAGCTGATTTTAGCATCCATCAGTAGATCTTGCCTGCAAGTTATTTCTGTGATGTTTGCCTAATGGTGATTTTGTATTTCCTTTATTTCTTTTTTTCTTTATTGGAATTCTTCCGTAAGGACGGTCTGTCCCTTCTCCTTCATTTAAATATTTATTCAGTTTTTTATATCAAAATGGAGTTTGGGATATTTATTTTGTCCTATGATTGTAATTCAAAGAAGTAAATTGTTATTTACTTTTTTGCTCAGACTGTTTCAGCTTTGGCCATTGTTGAGTTTCAGCATGTTGGCTCCTGTGTCCTTTTGACATGCCCCATTGGGCACTTCCTTGATTTTTAGCAGCATATGATGTTTTAGGCTCACCTTGTATTTTCCCTGTCTCAGCCTGCAATCAACCACTTTTTCACAGAGCCTCATTTCCTTTTATTGGAAGATGATATTTAGAAGTCAGGATCTGGGTGCTAATTGAACTCATTGCTACTGGATTATCATTGCTTCCAGACTATCTTGGTGGAGAGCTAGGAAAAACATGCATGTATACTAGCATATGCTTGTATATACATCTATATTTATTTCTATATACATGTATTTGTGTGTGTGCATGTGTATACTCATACTGTACTACCGCTGATTCCAGTCTAACACCCTAAGAATCATTCTAGCCTTCTCTTTTCCCTTACTTGTAACTTCTTTCGTAGACAGTGAGAAACTTGGTTCTCATTACTACAGCATATTTACTACCTTGTTCAATCCTATTGTATCATTGAGGATTCAACCAGAGAAACAGAACTAGCAAGAGATATATTAAAAAGATTTCTTGCAAGGAATTGGCTTATGTGATTATGGGGCTGGCTAGGTGAGTCCAAAATCCATAGAGCAGTCTGCCAGGAAAGACAGACTAGAACTCTTGGGCATGAGCCAAAGCTGATGTCCACAGGTGGGATTCTTCAGGGAAGCCAGAGTTCTGCTCCTAAGCCTTTTCATCTGATTCAGTTAGGTCCCCACAGGCTATCTAGGAGAATCTCCTTTATGTAAATATAACTGATTATGGACTTTAATAACATCTACAAGATACCTTCATGGCAGCATGCAGATTAGTGTTCGAATAACTAGGGACAATAGCCTGGCTGAATTGACACATAAAACTGGCCATCACACCTAATATATGCATAATATAGTTACAAAATTGCTAATATGATAGATATGATTATAAAATTTTGTAAAGATGATGTATAAAATTTTGTAAAGATGATTATAAAATTTTGTAAAGACATGATGAATGTAAAATAGCACTGTTCAGAATCTCTAATTATGCATTTTATTTATGATCTTGTTGGGCCTCTTGCCCTGTAACTCCAGCCCTGTCTTACCCTGTAATCTCAGCACTTAGTATGGGGCCTTGTACAGGAATAAAAGGAATAAGGATTTCCATCCTACTATTTCTTTATTACTGACTTTACTCTTTGCCGGTGTTTCCATTACAGGAGAAGAGGGATGTGGAAGACCCAGTTTGGAAGGGGTTAGAAAAAGACCAAAAGGTGGGTGTTAGGTTAAGTCCTGGCTTCTAGGTGTATTGCTATGAAGAACTTCCTGAGACTAGGTTCTTTATAAAGAAAAGAGGCTTAATTGGCTAACAGTTCTGCAGGCTGTGCAGGTAGTGTGGCTGGGGAGGCCTCAGGAAACTTTCAGTCATGGCAGAAAGCAAAAGGCAGGCACATCTTCACATGGCAGAGCAGGAGAGAGAGTGAAGGGGAAGGTGCCGTATACTTTTAAACAACCAGATCTCGTGAGAACTCTATCAATCATGAAACAGTGCTGGGGGATGGTGCTAAACCATTAGAAACCACCCCCATGATCCAGTCACCTCCCACCAGGCCCCACCTCCAACACTGGGGATTACAATTCAGCATGAGATTTGGGTTGGGACACAGCCAGACCGTATCTCTAGGAAAATGTTTCATAAATGTTCTTTTTGCCTCTGGTTAATTTTGAAATAGTTCAGTGAATGACAGATCTGTTTCAGTCACAGAATGCCTGCTTTCCCTCCCTTCCCCACACCTTCTTTCCACTCCTTCTACAAGTTCTGCTTAGTTAGGTTTTATACCTTTGAGAGCAGGATAACTCCCCATAGTTTAAAGCTCCAAAATAGATTAGCCGAGGGCATTATCAGACAGTAGCAGTTCACATTTTTTTCATTTGGAGTAGCAGCAGAATGCAAACTATCATTTATTCAACCATATTTTATGAGAGTTTTTCCTATGCCATGCATTTGGGCTACAGAAAGGAAAAGATACGGCCTCTGCTATGAAAGGGTATATATTCTAGTGTACTGTTTCTCTAATTTGAGTAACATATGGTTCTGTTTCAAAGGGAAAACAATTATCTGAACTCCCAATGTTGACTTACATTACTTTTGTTATAATATTACTGAAGTATGTAGAAACCTGTAACTAGGAGTAAGCACTTTATGCTTACATATTTTTTACAGCTATAAACCAAAGCCAGTTTGTAATGAAATATAAAACTATAAAGTCATTGAAATCCAAATTGACTGTATTAATGTGACAGATGACATTGTTTTGCTAAAACAGAAGGACTGTTTGCAATACAAAATATTGTATTGACTCATCCCGGCAGAGGTTTTTAAGTTCAGACTACCTCTCCTGCGTGGGATGACTCAGTGTTCCTAGTTCTGTGTCGGAAATGCTGAAGTCCTGGTTCTTGTGGAGTGCAGTATGATTTCATTTGGTCTCCTGTTGCCCCAAATGCATCATCTGTGTGGTAGGTCTGCCTCTTGGTTTTTTGTTAGTGACAGACAATGGAAATGGTAATAGTTTGCCCCATCATGACTCTAAATGCAGTACAAACTGGGACATTGAGAAAGAAGATTTAAAAATAGTCTTCTTTACATATTGTGGACCCCTAAGAATAGGTCCATGAATCTCCCTTGGCGATGCATTGGTTCAGTGGAGAGAGAGGTGCAAACATACTTTCACCATATGATGTGCTCATTACTGTACTGGAAGTTCGTATAAGATACAGTCTGATGGTAGGAGAAGGTGTGAACATTAGGTTGAAACTTGAAGGATGAGAAGGATTTTGCCAGGTTGACATGTAAAGGAGAGCATTTCCAGCAGGACTAACAGAATGTACACAGTCATAGGGTCTTGGAGGAATGGGTGGTTCTGTACTATTGGAATATAGTACAAACTTGTGAAGTTGAAAGTAACATTCTAGCACAGTCTTCATTACGGAATTATTAGGTTTGCATGATGAGAGATCAATTTTACTTGTGTTATAACATTATAAGATAAAGGTCTTCTTTTTTTTTTTCTTCTTTACTGAGGTGTTCTTTATATGCCATACCTCACCTACTTCAGTACAGTTCAGTGGTTTAGTAAATTGATACATTACTTTATATGTTCATCACCACAGTCCAGTTCAGAATACTTTCATCACCATACATTGTTCCCTCCTGCCAGTCTGTGGTTAATTCCTGTGCCCGTCTCAGCTCTAGGCAACCACTGATCTGTGCTTTGTCTCTATAATTTTGCCTTTTCTAGAAATTTCATAACGTAGGATCACACAGGATTTAGTCTTTTGAGTCTGGTTTCTTCCACTTAACATAATGTTTTCATTAGTCATCCATGTTGTAGCATGTATCAGTACTTCTTTTTATGACCAAGTGATATTCCATTGTATATCAATGGCCATGCCACATTTTGTTTATGTATTGATCAGTTAATGGACAGTTGGATTGTCTTCAAGTTTTGGCTATTATGAATGATGCTGTTATGAACATTTGCTTGCAACTCTTTGCATGGATGTATATTTTTCTTTGGTAGGTACTTAGTAGTGGAATTGCTAGGTCTTGTGATGAGATGCTGTACCATCTTACTGAGTTTATTGTATTACTGGCAACAAGCCATAGTGTTGTCATTTGCATTTATGGGGAACAGCAGCACATGTACATGGGGAAGAGGGAATGAGAAGATATGAAAATCACTGGTGGGATGGCTTCTTTCTTTGTCTCTTACTTAACATTCTGAATTCCTACACCAGCACCAAATTGCATAGAATGGCATTTTGAGGATATAACATTTTTCTTCCTGAAGTTTAATGTTTATATTAATTCTTTTTATGAGCTCTGGTTTTATGTGAACTATTTGTTGATCCATGAAATCTGGGAAAATACCCCTATAGTGATCCCCAACTGGGCTAAAACAACATCGTTATAATTCTCTGTCTTGTGATGGAATTCTCTGGCCCTAGCCTTTTAGAAAGTTAGGGGAGAGCTATAAATATGTAGGAGGAAGAGAAGATATTTTGAGGTGTGTGGTTTGGGTGTGTGTTAAAAAGGAAAACTAGAGTACTGTTATGTTATTACCCATGTGGCGTTTTGACCACAGGATTATTAGTCTGACAGGTTGTCTTGGAATCAGATTTGGTACAAGACTGCATAGTCTATGTAACTGAACCTGGGAACAGTTCAGTTTAGGTTTGGTGCTTTAATAGCATTAGATGAGAAATGTAGATTACTGAATACTTTTGGGTCATAATGTAAAGTTCAGCACCAGATCGTTATCTTTCCCTGGTAAATCCACTTCCTTGCACTGGATTCTGTCTCAGGGCAGCTGGCACTATAAGCTGTGCAAACCAGAACCTAGAGGTCAGCCTGGATCCTTCCCTTGCCCTTCATATCACATAAATCACTGAGCTTTTTTTACTTCCTTATGTCCAATCTGACTTCTCTTTTCTATCCCAGGCTTGCCTGTAGCCTCCTTATTCCTTTTCATCTTTTCTCCATTCCAGTCCATCCTTCACAGTGCTAACCACAGAGATCTAGTAACAATGAAAAGAGATGTGACCCTGTTAAGATTTATGTAAAAATGTATGCGCATGTGTGTGTTGGCTCTAGGATAAAGTGCAAATGTTCCATGGTGTAAAAGGACCTTCACAGTACAGGCCCTGCCTGCATCAGTTCCCTCTGTGTTCTCATGTACAGCCTGCAGCCTATTCTTGGGGCTTCTCAGGTGGCCCATGTGCTCTTGCTTCCAGGCCTTTGCAGATCTTGCTCTGGCTGTCTGGGACACCCTGTCCTCCCCAGCCCTTGTCTGCTCCGAACATATACATTCAGCCTTTCAAGACTCAGTGTAGGTGCCTCAGCTGCCTGAAACCTTCCCACACACCTTTTCCCTCCTCTCCTCCTTTCTTCTGTGTTCTCTGAGCACTTTTGCAAACCTTCCTATTGTCCTTTGTCCCTAGGGACTGTAGCAGTGTGTTTGCTTCTGCTCCCCTGCTGAACTGTGTTCTCCTGGTAGCAGGGACTTTTCTTACATGTTTGTGATCCTGGTATCTAGTCCTGTGCTTGGCAAGAGTGAACACTCCACAAGGATTTTCAGATGAAGAGGGAAGAGGAGTCAGGGAAAATGGGGGATGGGAGCAGCAGATACTTGTGAGAAGTGAGAGGCAGCCCATGAATATCGGAGGAGGAAGTGTGTGGGTAACTGTGTCTTTCAGGAAGGTTGAGACCCAAACCCATTCACTGATTGAAAGAGCTTCAGGAGAGAGGTCACCTCCTTAGCTTACTTGTTTCAGTAATCCAAGCTCTCATGCTAAGAAAATGTAGAATGACATTTTACCCAAATCCTTTCAACTAGGGTTTAAATCTTTTTGGCTTTAGTATGTATGGATCCTTCTGTGAAGGCAGATAAAACATTCTAACCAGGGTTTTAATAAAATTGAAACGAGTTGTGAAGTTAGATGCTAAAATGGGTGAACTTACTACATAAGCTTTAAACCTCATATCCATGGTTATTGAAAAGTGAGGGCTTTGCAAACAGTGTGCTTTTCCCTGTTTAACTTTCTTCTTATGCATCGTTCTGCTTTATGTATTCTGGTAAGATATTCCGCACACTGCAGCTCGTTCTCTGTCCTTTTTTATTTCTACAACTTGCCAAGTTTAATCACATGTGGAATTATGCCTTACAAAATAAGAATGCCTGCCTCAAGGAGCATGGGAGTCTAGGAAGAAAATGCTATGAGAAAAGAAATGTAAGAATATATCTTATCACCAAGTATTTCTCCATTTGGCTCATGGTTCAGTTTCCTTGGAGATTGGAGCCCACCTTTTACTTTTTTTTTTTCTTTTTTAAAACTACATCACAGTGTGAAATCTTTTTTGTTGCTCTGGTAGATTAATTTTTACCTGACCTTCAGGAGTTGTGTTGCCTCAGTTCATTTCCAGATTATCTCACTTTGCAGCATCTCTGAAAAATATCTTAAAATCTCTAAAATATTGTGTATGTTATATTTTTATTCTTGATCTAAAAGCTCAAGTATCTTTTAGGGATTAATACAAACATTTTGTGTTTTACTTTCGTTAAGGACGTTTAATGTCTTTCCTCCCATGTATATAGAACATGCATTTTTCCTGCCTTCTTCCTTTTTTGGTACTGTTCGGAGATTTAACAGGTCTTGCTTCCCTCTAACTCTCTATGCTAGCTCCAGCTACCTAGTGGATGGGATTAATGGTTTTTCTAGACATCTATGTTATAGACATTAGTAATACTATTATTAAGAGGAAAACGTTAATAACTTTAGTTATGCTTGCTACCTTCCCTCTCAGGCGCTTGAGATATAAGGAAAAATAAGGTAAAGTGCTTTGATCTCTTCAAAAGCAAAATAGTTTGAAGAGGAAATACTGTGGGGATTAAGTCCCTGGCAGCAAGCACGGCGTAACTGTCAAGTGTGTCTGGTGGTTAACATTAAGATGCAGTGTTAACTGCCAGCATGCCAGCTTGAAGGAAACCATTTCCCCACGTATAAGCCAAAATAAAGAAATTCATTTAGACAGAGTTTAAGAATGAAGATGTATTTTAATGAATGCTATGTATGTTAATTGGTCCAATGTAATCTCGTAACTGATCCCATTTTCTATTAGCCATATGTTTGGTTTTTTGAAAAATTATTTTTAAGTATACTCAGTAGTCACTTTAAGATAAGTGATTTTTTTTTTCAGGCTAGCCTATATCTGACACACTGCTGAGTAGTAGAGTATTTATTTATTAATGAGTTTTGGAAGTAGGTAATTAACATAACTAAGAATGTTTAAGTATCTGTTTATATATTTTTGAGGTATTTATAGTACTTGGAAAATATCTTATAACCTCTATTTCCAAGATTCTAAATATTTGAAGGGCTGTCAGCTAGAAAAGTGGCAGATTTATTTGCATTGGTTGAGAAGGCTTGATATGGACACTGAGTAAAAACGACAAAGAAGCCAAGTTTAACATAATATACAGAAAACCTTTACTAGGGATGTGAGCTGGCCTTCTGTGGCTGTGCTCCATCCACTTGGGACAGCTGGTCGGGCAACCCTTTGTCTCAGAGCTAGCAGAGTGGATTCTTGGCAGCATGGAGTGGCTGGACCAGGTGATGCACAGGATTCCTTCATCCTTGACCCTGAGAAATCTGAAGTAACTTTATGGATAAGAAGACTGAAGTTTAAGGGAATGAAATGATTTTGTCTTTTGCATGTTAAGAACTATGAAAATGAAAGATTCAGGCACCCTTGTCATCTTTGTGGCTGGAACTTAGAAATAAAAAGTGAAAAATGAGATTGAAGTAGGTGCTTCTGACCCGTGTTCTGACAGTGTTGCCTGCCCATTCCTGCCCACAGCACCCCGTGTGGCCTCTTTGCAGCATCTTTGGTGACTTGGAGCAGTTGCAGGGGTTTAATGCCACGTGGCCTTTGCCTATACCATTCTCTTATTGCTCCCTCCCTCGGCCCCCATTTACCTGGTGAATTTTTACTTCTAGCCAGTGCATTGTTGTGCAGTTATCACCTCTGTGAACTCATTTTTGATCCTCACTTATCTTTACCCCATGCTTACTGCTCATCCTTGCTGGCCCCAGGTACTTCAACTGTGATGCTTCCTTGCTATTTTACACAGACCTGTTCTAGAACAACATTACTTATTGTAAGTGTTGCAGATTTCTCAAGGGGCTGAACTTCTTCAATGCATTGTGTGACCTTAATAATACCTCAACCATTAGAATGTAGTTGTTCAGCTAGGACCTGATGTCACAGTGTTTGTTCATCCCAGCTCTGCTGCTGCGTAGCTCCGTGGTGGTGAACAAATTACTTAACCCGTGCCTGAGGTTCTCTTCTCTTAGATGAGGATATTAACAGGGCCTCCCCTATAAGTTTGAGATTAACTGAGTTATTATATGTAAAGTGCTTAGAACAGTATCAAGTAAGCATTTAGTAAGTTATAGTTACTATCTGGACTAAAGCTGAGAAACAAGTTTTATTAAGAAACAAATTATTAGTAGTTTATTTAAGAAGACAAAGTTCTGGGCCAAAAGAAAATGAGATTAAGCTGCTCTTAACAAAGATACCCCAATGACACCTAAGTCTTATAGTTGAAATTTAGTAGATGTTTCCTTTCTCATCAAATAGCCCAAAGTTGAGCAGTCCAAGGCTGCTGTAGTCCACAGGATCATTCAGGGACCCAGCTTCCATTCATGCTGTTACTCCCAGGTAGTTGGTCCCACTCACATAGTAGAAGCTGCCCTGTCTCCAGTCTGTGTTCCAGCATTCAGGGAAGAGAAAGGCCAGGGAATGTGCTTTCAACTTTAAGGAGAAGAGCCAGAAGTTGTACTTATGGTCACATCCCTTTGTCCCAAACCATTACGTGGCCACATCTAGCTGCAAGGGAAACTGAGGGAGTTTCCTTCAGATGGACAGGTTAGATTCCCAGTTCTGCCACTTAAGGCTGTAAGACTTTGGGAAAGCTTTTTAACCTCTTTGTATATCCTTTCTTATTCATAAAATGGGGGTAATAGGAGTACCTACTTCACGGGGTTATAGGGGAGGACACATGAAGGATTCTGGACAGGGCTTGACACAAAGGAAGCATTATATAGATGTTAGAAGTTGTAATTATTCTACTAAAAGGAAGATGGGAGGATGAGTATTGAGGGACAATTAACAGTCTGTTTATGAGAGGAAAACCAGAGACTGGAGCTCTGCAGCCTGCCTCATTATTTGAGGTTTCTGGGTGGCCACCAACTTACTATAATTATTGAAGGTCCCAGGAACTTTTAAGCTCTAAGTCTGTCCTGCACAGGTCTTGTTTAGACCTCCCTTGGGTCAGTCTGAGGAAGGTTTATTATCTTGTGTTTATGGTTTTGATCTCTTAATTTTTCATATATATTCTTCCTTCACTATAGCTTGTCATTAATATACCAAGGAAGTAAACATTCTATTTATAACCAAATTAGTTTATAATTAGAATGTTAATTCTTATAGTAGATATATTTGTAAAAAGATGGCTGTAAAATGAAGTTTTCACATACTGAAATTCATTTCCAGTTGATGTCAGTTAGAAAATATGGATTAGTGGGAATGTAGGCAATATGCATTCTAGTTATTTCTCACTCCTTTTTCTGCAAGACATCATCCCATGTCTTCGTCTGGTGAGGTGGGCTTTGTGGTACTGTATGTATACACACCTACCTCTGCAGTTCCAAAATTAGCTGCTTAGAGCACTATTCCAGAAATGATTCTGTGTGCCATGATAGTAGGATAGTGGGTTAAGTACACTCGGGAAATATTGCATGTTGTTTCTTCCACCTGGAGATTCATAACTCTTTGAATCTCATTACATTAGCATTTTAAAAAAAGCATGAGAAAGATCATAAGGAAAATCCTGTTTAATTTTTTTTAGATCTCTTCACAAACTCATTTGAAGATGAACTTTTTTGGCTTATTGGTTTGTTATTGGCTATAGCCATTTGGAAAAACGGGGTTTTTGTATATAATGATTTTGGCAGTATGAGAGATCCCGATCTATCTCTGAGTTGCCTGTGGTTCCTGCTCTTAATTGTCATTAGAGTCAAACTTAAAGATAAAGCTTACTACCCTGTTCAGCTAGAGAGAAAGTAGCAAGAAGATGGTCACTGGTGAGAGAAAAGGGTTTGACATTGCCTGATTCATGGTGCTGACAACTCTATTCTTTTAGGCATTGATCCAAGACAAACTTTTCAGACTGAAATGTTTTCAAAAGAGTGTCCTTAGGCCCTAGAAACCAATTTTGTATGCTAATGATAAATTACATGAGTTAAAAATTTGACTAATATTCTATATAAAAGAATTAAATATATCCATGTGAGGAATCTCTGTGGAAAAAGCAGAAAACTTGAGATTTAATTTTAAAAATAAAGTATAAGAATGATAGGTACATAGAGTTTTTTTGTAAACAGCTTCCCCAACTGTTTTGTATATTTAAAATGGAGGTCATCACCATGCATCCTGAAAAACCGAGTTCTTTTCTTGTGCTAGAGATAATGTGTGGATTAGTGGTGTTTGTGAATGTAGGTATTTAACAATTTGGGTGCATGGTAGCCTTCTACTGAGTATAAATTTAAACCCTCTTCTTATGGTAAGGGTTGATTTTGTTTCTGGCTATTGTTTCAAATCTAAATTGAGTAATACTGTACCATTAGAAATTAAAACAATGAAGACAACTTATTTAACAAAATATACACTTTAAATTCTGATTTAAATATACTCAATATAGACATTTAGAAGATAGAGAAAAATATAAATAATTAAATTACCCATTTCTAATGGCTAGCAACCACTGTTAATATTTTGGTGTGTTTATTTAGTTTTTCTTATGCATATTAAAAAGTTTCAACATGTTTAAGAGATGATGCTATATGTACATTTGTATATTTTGGTTTACATAATTTTTTCATTGGTATTAAGAATTTGTAGTAAATATAATTTCATCATGTAGAATTACACAGTCTACTTGATTCATTGTTATTTGAACATTGATGTGGTTTGGCTCTGTGTCTCCACCCAAATCTCATCTGAAATTGTAATCTCCAGGTGCTGAGGGAGGGACCTGGTGGGAGATGATTGTATTATGGGGTGGTTTCACCTATGCCTTTCCCTGATAGTGAGTGAGCTCTCACGAGATCTGTTGGTTTTATAAGTGGCAGCTCCCCCCATTCTCTCTCCTGCTGCCATGTGAAGAAGGTCCTTGCTTCCCTTTTGCCTTCAGCAACGATCGTTAGTTTCCTGAGGCCTCCTAGCCATGCGGAACTGAGTCAGTTAAACCTTTTTCCCTTATAAATTGCCCAGTCTCAGGGAAGTTCTTTATAGCGGTTTGAAAATGGACTAATACAGACATTCATGTTTACATTTTTTCCCCTTATAAACAGTGACATAATTAACATCTTTGTACATAAAACTTGACTTACATTTCAAATTTGTGTCCTTAGGATAGACCCTTCAAATTAGAATTATTAGCTCAAAGTACGTGAATACTTTTATAAGGGTGTTGATGATTGTTGCTAAATTACTTTGTGGAGAGATTGTACTAAGTAACATTCTTAACGGTAGTATGTTAGAGCACTGTGTCATTTGATCAGAGTTTGGTGATTTGATTGGCAAATAATGAAACCTTGCTTTAATTTGTGTTTTTTTGATTACTAATTGGATTTATATGTTAAAAAATGTTTGTTAGCCATTGTTATATTTTTTCTGTGGATTGTCTATTCATGTTCTTTGCCAGTTTTTCTCTTGTGTCTATGAAGATATCTGTGTCTTCCCTTTATTTGTAAAAATGTTTATTAAAGACACGAGGCTTTTGTCATGTTATTGCCAGTATTTTTTCTAGTTTTGTTGGATGTGTAATTTTATAATTTTTGATATGCAGAAGTTTCAGATTTTTATGTATTCAAGCATATCAATCTGTTGGGTTTTTTTTTTTGGTTAATTTTTCATTGCTTTTATGTTAGGAACATTATTCCTGATTCAGGGATAAGATGAATAATTAACTGTTATTTTATTTTATGACTGTTCAGATCGATCTTTTGAGTATTTTAGAATTTATTTTGTGGTGGAATGTAAGATACAGCTTGAAACAATTCTTTTCTTTCAAAGTAGCTTCAGTTTCCCTAGCACAATCGATTAGATGATCCAACTTCTTTCTCATTGGTGGTCCTCTCTTCATCATACATTACTTTTAATATATCAACAGTCTATTTCTGAAGTGTTTCTTCTGTTCTACTGGCTTTTGGTTTTTGTTCTCAAGTAATACATTTTTTTTTTTTTTTTTGAGACGGAGTCTCGCTCTGTCACCCAGGCTGGAGTGCAGTGGCGCGATCTCGGCTCACTGCAACCTCCGCCTCCCGGGTTCGCCCCATTCTCCTGCCTCAGCTTCCTGAGTAGCTGGCACTACAGGCGCTCGCCACCACGCCCGGCTAATTTTTTTTATATTTTTAGTAGAGACGGGGTTTCATCATGTTAGCCAGAATGGTCTTGATCTCTTGACCTCGTGATCCGCCCCCCCTCAGCCTCCTAAAGTGCTGGGATTACAGGCGTGAGCCACTGTGCCTGGCTTCAGGTAATACATTGTTTTAATTATTGTAGCAACAGTGTTAGTTTTCTGCCTTCTTTTTCAGCAATTAGTACCCCTTATTTCCGTTTCAATTTTATTGATTAAGCTAAAACTTTTATAACAATATTTAGGAAAATGATAATAGTGGACATCCGTGTTTTGTTTCTGATTTTTAATTTAAGTACATCTACTGTTTTATCTTTAATTACGTGAAATAAATATTGTTTTATTCTTGGTTCTTAAAAACAGTAATCTGGAATAATAAAGAATTTATCAAATGTCTTCTCAGTATCTGTAGTAAGTCTGAATTTGGAAGTTGTTTATAGATTGAGTTTTTATAGGTGAATCATACTTTGTGAGTAACTTATATTGCAAATTCCAAAATGTGTCCCTAGAAAAAATGCTTCAACCCCAAGCAAAATATATTTTTTGATGCTGAAATGTTTCCTTTCCCTTAAAAGGCAGTAGGACATTTTCTTAATTACCAGTTAGAGAGAAAAACATCTTCAAGCAGAGAGAGAGAGAGAGTTTGAGAATGTCTTCCAGCCCTCCTGGCATTATTCCAACAAACTATTTTAGAAACATAATGTCCAAAAACTGTTAAATTCTAGAAATCCTGAGGACAGAATTGAACTAGCATTCACGGTTCTTCTGCTGATTGGCTGTGTGACCTTGAGGATGCTTCACTTGACATGATTGAAAATCTATACCAGCACTGTCCAGTGTAACTTTCTGCAATGTTGGAAGTATTACATGTCTTACCTGTCCAGTATGGTAGCCACTGGCCACATGTAGCTGTTGAGCACTTGAAGTATGGCTAGTATGGAGAGCTAGATTTTAAATTTTATATAACTGCAATTAATTCAAATTAAAATTTAAATGGCTGCATATGGCTAGTGGCTACTATGTTGGACAATACGGATCTATACAATGAATCATTATACCTATAAGGTCATTTGTAGCTCTCAAACTGTGCCTCTCTGTGTAAGGCTGCAAATTACCCAAGAATCTTCTTACATTTCACGAATTTGTAAACTGGGAGATTTTGGAGAAAACTGCTGTTGTGTTCTGATTCTTGGATTTTTGATCATGTATTTATTCCCTGTATTCAGATTATGTACATGGCTGTTGACTGACTCCTAGCATCCATGTAAAATATAACATGCTATTTGTGATAATTGCCAAGTTATTGTATTCATGTATTTTCGTGGCGTACATGAAGGGCTTCCCTCTTTGCAGCCAGTGGGTTAATGTGTCAAACTAAAATTAACTTCTAGGTAATATACTTTTGTAACACTGGAGAGTTGGTTGTGGCAAACATCATTTACTACAGAGAGGCTCAGAGGTACTTTTGAGTAATTGACCTGATTCACTTACTACTTTGCAGTTAGTAAGAAAATGTACTTCTAGAGAGTGCTTCGATTTCTTAAAATAAGCTTGAATTTGTATACATTTTATTTCTAATATTTTCTAATCTCATGGTTCAGCTATTAGTTATATGTAGATATTCTAGAAATAGAAGAATCTTCTTTAGAAAAGTCTTATGAAGGGGATGAATCCATGTAGCATCAATATACACAATGTAAAGCTGTGAATGGCTTTATGCTTTGTAGCTCATTAAAAAGTGTTTATATTTCACATAAAATCACTCCCCCCCAAAAAAAATCTCTCAGGGGTAATTGAACAAAGCCAAAATGATTTGTAAAAATTATCATTTTGAGAATTTGTTTCTGTACAATAGCAATTAAGTATCTCCTTAGTAAGTAATTTGTTTGGCTGTTGTCCATTAATGTTCAAAGTTGGATTTACTCGATCTGGCATGTATGTATTTCCAGGAATTTTGAAAAATTCTCTAAGCATATTCAAAAAGTTTAAAGTAAATATATATTAGCATGATTCTTAGGAGTAGTAAGAAAGGCATGCCATGAAATGTTAAAAGGAAAAGACACTGGAAGTAATTATTTTAGTAGTTAGGTATGATACAGAGGATTCCAATGCTAGTTTCAATTTCCGGCTTTAATACCTAGTCTCAAACTTAGGGCAATAATCAGATTTCTGTGTACCATCAAGTTTCTTTATTTGAAATGTTAGATGATAGGGCCAATGTTACTATGTTACTGTTTCATTTATAGGTAGCCTTTGAGATTCTTCTTCTTCTTATTTTGAGATGTAGTCTCACTCTGTTGCCCAGGCTGGAGTGCAGTGGTGCAATCTCGGCTCACTGCAACCTCCACCTCCCAGGTTCAAGTGATTCTCCTGCCTCAGCCATCTTCCAAGTAGGGATTATAGATGTGCATCACCACGCCTGGCTAATTTTTGTATTTTTAGTAGAGACGGGGTTTCATGGTGTTGGCCAGGCTGGTCTCGAACACCTGACCTCCGGTGATTTGCCTGCCTCAGCCTCCCAAAGTGCTAGGATTACAGGTGTGAGCTGCCGTGCCTGCCCAAGATTCTTATTTTAATTTAATTTAATTTTTCGAGACAGGGTCTCACTGTGTCACCTAGGCTGGAGTGCAGTGGTATGATCTCGGCTCCCTGCAACCTTGACCTCCTGGGCTCCAGTGGTCCTCTCACCTCAGCCTCCCGAGTAACTGGGACTACAAGTGCATGCCACCACACCTGGCTAATTTTTATATTTTATTTATTTACTTTTTGTAGAGGTGGGGTTTCACCATGTTGCCTAGGCTGGTCTTGAACTCCTGGGTTCAAGCTGTCCACCTGCCTTGACCTCCCAATGTGCTGGGACTACAGGTGTGAGCCACCACACCTGGCCGAGATTATTTTTTAAGAGACTTCTTACTATAGTAGAAGTTGTATATAAACAGATTTAAAAGAGTCAGTGTTTTGCCAAATAATTAAAAATTTTCCTAATTATTTTGTATCTAAAATTGATCATTAGAGATTAAGATATTTGTGCACACACATTATTTGGCTTATTTGAGGGACCACAGATTTTAAAAGACATAGTGATTTATTGGAAAGAAAAATAAAAGACATACAATTTAATATTACCATCTGTCTTCTTTAATATATACTCATTTTTAAAAAGAATCTGATTTTCTTACAACTGATATTAAAAGGGAGACATTTGAAGTTATCCTTAATTTTAGACTTCTTTCTGAAAGAGTATTCTTTATATATAAAACGTTCAGAGGGTATATATTTGGTATTTTATGTGTATTTAGCTCACAGTCTTTAGATACAGAGGAAGCTGCTTAAGTTAATTTGCATGTGAAACACAGAGTATCAGCTAATTATTGCCATATGATGCTGTGTAACAAATCATCCCGAAACTCAGTGACTTAAAACAATTGTTTGCTCTCTCGACTCCGTGGGCTGGTTGAGGAGGCACTGCTTTAGGCTGTGGTGGAGTGGCTTTGCGCCTGCTGTGTGGATGTGGTCTGGGTCTTCTCCAAGTGTCTCTCATTCTCCTTGGCATGGCAGGCTAGCTGGACATGTTCTTCCTGTGGCCATGGCAGAGATGCCAGAGTATAATACCAACTGCCAGGCACATTTCATGCCAAAGCAAGTCACATGGTCTAACCCCAAAATTATTAATTGGTAAAATATGTAAAGTATGGAGTATAAAAATGGCTCTCATTCAGGAATAAGATATAATAACAAACCTTTACCTGGTGGTTCTTGCATTATACAAATAAGTACTATACTGATCTATTTGTTGCTACACTTTGTTTTTTTCTCTTGGTGTGATATTTTCTCTTCTTTTGGGAATCAAAAATTACTGCAGGGCAATACTTAAAAAATAATTTTTACCCATAGGGTAAAAAAAATTATTTGACATAAAGAACTAATGTTATATTAATATATACTTAAGTGGCGATATTTTGGATTGTTAGAGCCAACAGCAGCATACAAGAAACAGTCTTTAAGAGTAACATAAATAGCCTTCCTGATTCCCAGTACTTTGCCCACCTTCAAGTTGGTCAGTGAAAAGTGCTCTGCTGTTGACCCTCCAGCAATGCTCAGAAGTCAGATTCAGAACAATAAAAACATCTTGTATGATTCAATAACAGTACCTATTTGAGATGAAAAAGAAGAGGAGAAGGACTTCAAAAAGGCAAGCAGCTAAATATTAGATAATATAGTTCTTTTCATAAACAGTTTCTTTGTTTTTTTTTTTTTTAGGTAGACTGGATTTGTTTTGCATGTTCTTTTTGTGTGTGGCCTGGTTGGAGGAAGAAGTAGGGAAATTTGGCTTTCAAGAATTAATAGGGATTGGAATAAATGCAGGAAGTAACAGAGTGCTTGCCCAGGGATTAGTGTTAAGTGTGGTACTAATGAGGCTGGGGTTGGGAGTCAGTCGAGGCCTCCTGTGAGCTAGTTAACTCTGCCCTTACCTCCCCACACCACACTGTCCCAGAACCAAAACCATATGGTGTTATGCTTTTCTACTTTATGAGGCAGGAAACAGACTCTGAGAAGTTAAGGGATATGTGCAAAGTCACATTTGGCATTGGAGGCAGAGCCAGGACACAGTCCTCCTCTTCCCTTTGCACCAGGTCTTTTACTTCGGGTGAGGGTAGGGGGCTGATGAATGATGGTGTGTGGGTACATAAATACAGGAAGAACAGGTTAAAACTTAATGAACATGGGAGTGGTACTGTGTTTCTGATATTAAGAACTTTTTAATAGCCTTGGGAAGCATTTTGGCATGGGGAAGCTGGAAAACTTCAAGATAAGAAAAAGGTTACCTGAAAGTTAACTGCCACATCTCAATTGCTATAAAGATTTGGGGGTCTTCTGTAAACTGCAGCAACATATCAAAGCCAGTAGTTAACCTAGCAATGACAGCCTCCACCTTTCTTAGACGGGATGCCAGTATTTTAGTTGGATGAAACGCCTCCTGTATTGATACTGAATTGAAATGTTTGAAAGAATTTTGGGATCTTTTAAAAACTGAATTTGTAACTGTGTTACTATCTGTGTAGCTGAGGGAACTGGGGCCCATCTTAGTTATGGTTTAGGTAAGTTCACAGCATCAGCTAGGAAAAGAGGTAGAGCTGGAATCCCTCTCTCATGATCCTTAGACCCCTGCCGTTATTTTCACACAAATGTGGTGACTTTTATTGGGCCCCTCCTCTGTTTTAAGGTTCCCTGTAGAGGTAAAGGGGATTATGCAAAGAAATATGAAACCTCTCAACAGCCAGTAGAGATGTGTAAGATAATGGAAGATGAACTTACGTTGTCACACAGGTCTGGCATAGAAGACTGTTATTAAGGTTCCATGACTAGAATCACACGTGTAAGACATGCCAGGAAATAGCCCCTCAAAGACATCAGAGTAGCATCCCAATTCAAAGCTTACTATTCTGCTTTCATTTATTTCTTTTTTTCCTGTTGTGCTTTCTAAGTCCTTTTTATTAGCATTTGTCAGGGGTCTTTCATCTGTTCATCTGTTTTTTTTTTTTTGGTGGTGGTTGTTTTTGAAACAGTCTAGCTTTGGTGCCAGGCTGGAGTGCAGTGGCGTGATCTCAGCTCACTGCAAACTCCACCTCCCAAGTAGCTGGGACTACAGGTACGCGCCACCACACCCAGCTAAGTTTTGTATTTTTAGTAGAGATGGAGTTTCACCATGTTGGTCAGGATGGTCTCGATCTCTTGACCTCGCGATCCATCCGCCTTGGCCTCCCAAAGTGCTGGGATTACAGGCGTGAGCCACAGCGCCTGGCTGGGTCTTTCATATCTGTTACCTTGACTATCTTGCCTACCTGGCTGAGTCTGTCAAAAGACAGGGTGTCTTTTTGTTTCCTAAGCCCCTTAACATCCAGCCCTGGGACTAACATGCCCCATGCACATTATTTGATGCATTTTGAATGAATACATATATATATATTTTTTTTCAGTTATATCTTAAGCAGCTACTTGGAGCAAAGACCATTTCCAGCTAGGAATGGGGACTTGAATCTATTGTAAGGCCAAGCCAGGGAACATATTCTGAATGAACTGATGTTTACAAAGCTGCTGCAGGTTATCTCTAAAAAGTCTGTTGTGGCACTACCATATTAGTTCTCTGGCCAGAAATCAAACCTACGTACTTTGTAAGACTTTCCCATATGCAACATTTCTTTTTTTTCCTTTTTAAAAAAATTTTGGTGGGTGCACAGTAGGTGTATATATTTAGGGGTACATGAGATGTTTTGATACAGGCATGCAATGTGAAATAACCACATTATGGAGAACAGGGTATCCATCCCCTCAAGCATGTGAGTTACACACAATCCGATTACATTCTGTAAATTATTTTAAAATGTACAACTAAGTTATTATTGACTGTAGCCACCTTATTGTGCTATTAAATAGTAGGTCTTACTCATTTTTCTATTTTTTTTTTTAAATACCCGTTAACCATCCCTACCTTCCTCTTGGCCTTCCCAGCCACTGGTGACCATCTTTCTACTCTCTATGTCCGTGAGTTCAGTTGTTTTGGTTTTTAGATCTTACAAATAAGTGAGAACATGTGATGTTTGTTTTTCTGTGCCTGGCCCATTTCACTTAACATAGTGACTTCCAGTTCCATCCACATTGTTGCAAATAACTGGATCTTATTTCCTTTTATGGCTGAATAGTACTCCATTGCGTATATGTACATTTTCTCTATCCATTCATCTGTTGATGGATACCTAGGTTGCTTCCAAATCTTAGCTCTTGTAAACAGTGCTGCAGCAAACATAGGAATGCAGATATCTCTTTGATGTACTGATTTCCTTTCTTTTTGGTATATACCCAGTAGTGAGATTGCTGAGTCATATGGTGCTCAATTTTTAGTTTTTTGAGGAACCTCCAAACTGTTCTTATAGTGGTTGTACTAATTTACATTCCCAACAACAATGTACAAGGGTTCCCTTTTCTCCATGTCCTTGCCAGCATTTATTATTGCCTGTCGTTTGGATAAAAGCCATTTGAACTGGGGTGAAATGATATCTCATTGTAGTTTTTATTTGCATTTCTCTGATGATCAGTTATGTTGAGCACCTGTTTGTCATTTGTATGTCTTTCTTTGAGAAATGTCTATTTAAATCTTTAGCCCATGTTTTGATGGGATTGTTAGATTTTTTTTTTGTTTGAGCTCCTTATATATTCTGGTTATTAATCCCTTGTCAAAGAATAGTTTTAAAATATTTTCTCCCATTCTGTGCGTTTTCTCTTTATTGATTGTATCCTTTGCTGTGCAGAAACTTTTTAACTTGATGTGACAAATGGCGCTTTGGTTGCCTGTGCTTGTGGAGTATTATTCAGGAAATTTTTGACTAGGCCAGTGTCCTGGAGATTTTCCCCAGTGTTTGCTTGTAGTAATTTCATAGTTTGAGGTCTTAGATTTAAATCTTTAATGCATTTTGATTTGATTTTTGTATATGGTGAGAGATAGTGGTCTAGTTTCATTTTTCTGCATATGGATATCCAGTTTTCCCAGCACCATTTATTGAAGAGACTTTTTCCCAGCGTATGTTCTTAGTACATTTGTCAAAAATGAGTTCACTGTGGGTGTGTGGATTTGTTTCAGGGTTCTCTATTCTGTTCCATTGGTCTATGTGTCTATTTTTATACCAGTACCATGCTGTTTTGGTTATTGTACCTCTGTAGTGTAATTTTAAGTCAGGTAATGTGATTTCTCCGGTTTCATTCTTTATACTTAGGACAGCTTTGGCTATTCTGGGTCTTTTGTTGCTCTGTATACTTTTTAGGATTTTTTTTTTCTATTTCTGTGGAGGATGTTACTGGTATTTCAATAGGGATTTCATTGAATCTGTAGATTGCTTTGGGTAGTATGGACATTTGAATAATATTTATTTTTCCAATCCATGAACATGGGATGTCTTTTCATTTTTTGGTGTCCTCTTCAGTGTTATGCAGTTTTCATTATAGAGATCTTTCACTTGACTCGTTAATTCCTAGGTATTTAATTTTATGTGTGGCTATTGTAAATGGGATTACGTTTAAAATTTCTTTTTCATGTTGTTCAGTATTGGCACATAGAAATGCTACTGACTTTTGTATGTTGATTTTGTATTCTGCAACTTTACTGAATTTGTTGATGAATTCTAATAGTTTTCTTGTAGTCTTTACAGTTTTCCAAATATAAGATTATATTATCTGCAAACAAGGATAATTTGACTTCCTACTTTCTGGTTTGGATGCCCTTTACATCTTATCTGATTACTGTAGCTAGGACCTCCAGTACTATGTTGAGTAATGGTGGCGACAGTGGGCATCGTTGTTATGTTCCAGATCTTAAAGGAAAGGCTTTTCCCCATTCCGTATGATACTAGCTGTGGGTCTGTCATATATAGCTCTTATTATGTTGAGGTATGTTCATTCTATGCCTAGTTTTTTGAGTGCTTTTATCATGAAGGGATGTTGAATTTTGTCAAATGCTTTTTAAGCATCAATTGAAGGATAAATCCATTTTATCCTTCATTGTGTTGATACAGTGTATCATATTGATTGATTTGCATATGTTGAACCATCCTTGCATCCCAGGAATAAATCCCACTTGGTCATGGTGAATGTTCTTTCTAATGTATTGTTGAATTAGGTTTGCTAGTATTTTGTTGTGGATTTTTGCATCATTATTCACCAGAGATATTAGCCTGTAGTTTTCTTTTTTTGATGTGTCTTCATGTGGTTTTGGTATCAGGGAAATATTGGCCTCATAGAATAAGTTTGGAAAGTATTCCCTCCTCTATTTTTTGGAATAGTTTGAGTAGGATTGGTATTAGTTCTTCTTTAAATGCTTGGTAGAATTCAGCAGTGAAGTCACCAGGTTCCGGGCTTTTCTTTACTGGGAGACTTCTTGTTACAGCTTTGATCTTACTTGTTATTGGTCTGTTCAGGTTTTGGATTTCTTCCTGGTTCAATCTTTGTAAGTTGTGTGTATCTAGGAATTTTTCCATTTCTTCTAGATTTTCTAATTTATTGGCATATAGTTGCTCATGATAGCCACTAATGATCATTTGGATTTCTGCAGTAGTATCAGTTGTAATGTCTTCTTTTTCATTTCTGGTTTTATTTATTTGGGTCTTGTCTCTTTTTTCTTAGTGTGGCTAAAGGTTTGTCAATTTTGTTGGTTTTTTTTTTTCAAAAAACCAACTTTTTGTTGTATTGATCTTTTGTATTGTTTCTTTCCTTTCAATTTCTGCTCTGATCTTTATTATTTCTTCTACTAATTTTGGGTTTGGTTTGCTCTTGCTTTTCTAGTCCTTTAAGATGCATCATTAGATTGTTCATTTGAAGTTTTTTCTCTTTTGATGTAGGCCATTAACAGCTATAAACTTCCCTGTTAGTACTACTTTTGCTGTATCTGATAGGTTTTGGTATGTTGTATTTCCATCATCATTTGTTTCAAGATATTTTTCAGTTTCCTTCTTAAGTTCTTCATTGACCCACTGGTCATTCAGTAGCATATTGTTTAATTTACATGTATTTGTATAGTTTCCAAAATTTCTCGTTATTAATTTCTACTTTTATTCCATTGTGATCAGATAAGATGTTTGATATTTCAAATTTTTTGAATGTTTTAAGACTTGTTTAACATTTGTTTTCAAATAGCCTGTCTTCAAGCGCATATGTGACCTAACACATATGACCTTGGACAGACCACATAATGTGGTCTATCCTTGAGAATGATCCATGTGCTGAGGAAAAGAATGTGTATTCTGCAGCTGCTGGATGAAATATTTCGTAAATACCTATTAGATTCATTTTTTCCATAGTGCAAATGAAGTGCAATGTTTCTTTGTTGATCTTCTGTTTGGAAGATCTGTTCAGTGTTGAAAGTGGGGTGTGAAGTCTCCAGTTATTATTGTATTGGGGCTTATCTGTCTATCTAAAGGGGCTGAGTTGGCCCCTTTATCGTTATATAGTGACCGTCTTTGTCTTTTCTTACAGTTTTTTTCTCGAAATCAATTTTGTCTGACATAAGTATAGCAACTCCTGCTCTTTTTTGGTTTCCATTGGCTGGAATAACTTTTTCTATCCCTTTATTTTCAGTCCATATGTGTCTTTATAGATGAAGCTTGTTTGTTGTAGGCAACAGATCAATGGGTCAGATCAATGGGTCTTTACATTAAATGTAAATAGACTAAACTCTCATTATTAATAAGGGTTTCTGCCATTTTGTTATTTATTTTGTGGTTGTTACATGGTCTTCTCTTCCTTCTTTTCTTCTTGTCTTCCTCTAGCGAAGGTGATTTTCTCTGGTGATATGACTTAGTTTCTTGCTTTTTGTATATCTGTTGTATGTTTTTTGATTTGAGGATAACATGAGGCTTGCAAATACTATCTTATAACCGGTTATTTTAACCCAATAACAACCACTATTTGCATAAACAAACAAAAAGAAAACTAAGAAAAATGCTATGCCTTAACTTTGCCACCCCTCCACCTGCTTTTTAACTTTTTGTTGTTCTGTTTATGTCTTATTGTACTGACTATGTCTTGAAATGTTGATATAGGTATATTTTTGATTGGTTCATCTTTCTACTTAGGATAAGAGTAGTTTACACACCATAGTTAGTGTTAATAATATTCTGTGTTTTTCTGTGTACTTACTGTTAGTTGTGAATTTTGTACCTTCAGGTGATTATCTATTGCTCATTAATGTCCTTTTCTTTCTGATTGAAGTACTCCATTTAGCATTTCTTGTAGGAGGGGTCTGGTATTGATGAAATTTCTCAGCTTTTGTTTGTCTGGGAAAGTCTTTATTTCTTCTTCATCTTTGAAGGATTTTTTTTCTAAATATACTATTCTAGGGTAAAGTTTTTTTCCTTCAGCACTTTATGTCATGCTACTCTTCTCTGGCCTCTGAGGTTTCCACTGAAAAGTCTGCTGCCAGACATATTGGAGTTCCATTGTATGTGATTTGTTTGTTGATTGGTTTTTTTTTCTTTCTTTTTTTTTATTTCTTGAGACGGAGTCTCGCTCTGTCTCCCAGGATGGAGTGCAGTGGCACGATCTCAGCGCACTGCAAGCTCCATCTCCTGGGTTCACGCCATTCCCCTGCCTCAGCCTCCTGAGTAGCTAGGACTACAGGCGCCTGCCACCACGCCTGACTATTTTTTGTGTGTTTTTTAGTAGAGACAGCATTTCACCATGTTAGCCAGGATGGTCTTGATCTCCTGACCTCATGATCCGCCCGCCTCAGCCTCCCAAAATGCTGGGATTACAGGCGTGAGCCACCGCGCCTGGCCTAGGATCCTTTCTTTGTTCTTGACCTTTGGGAGTTTGATTATTAAATACCTTGAGGTATTCTTCTTTGGATTAAATCTGCTTAGTGTTCTATAATCTTCTTGTAGTTGGATATTGCTATCTTTCTTTAGATTTGGGGAGTACTCTGTTATTATCCCTTTGAATAAACTTTCTATTCCTATCTCTTTCTGTACCTTCTCTTTAAGACCAATAATTCTTAGATTTGCCCCTTTGAGGCTATTTCCAAGATCTTGTAGGCATGCTTTTTTTGTTTTTTATTCTTCTTTCTTTTGTCTCCTCTGTATATTTTCAAATATCCTGTCTTCAGGCTAACAAATTCTTCAGCTTGATCCACACTGCTATTAAAGGACTCTGATGCATTCTTCAGTACACCAATTGCACTTTTTCAGCTCCAGAATTTCTGCTAGATTTTTAATTATTTCAGTCTGTTTGTTAAATTTATCTGGTAGAATTCTGAATTCCTTCTCTGTGTTATCTTGAATTTCTTCGAGTTTCCTCATAAACAGCTATTTTGCATTCTCTGTGTGAAAGGTCACATATATTTGTTTCTCTATGTTTGGTCCCTGGTGCCTTATTTAGTTCATTTGGTGAGGTCATGTTTTCCTGGATCGTGTTGATGCTAGTAGATGTTCTTCAGTGTCTGGGCATTCAAAAATTAGGTACTTACTGTAGTCTTCACTTTCTGGGCTTATTTGTAGCCCTCCTTTTTGGGATGGCTTGCTGGATATTTGAAAGGACTTAGGTGTTGTGATCTAAGCTATATCGGCTTTAGGGGGCACTTCAGGCCCAGTAACACTGTGGTTCTTGGAGACTCAGAGAGAAACTGCCTTGATGGTGTTGCACAAAATCCAGGAGAATTCTCTGGATTGCCAGGCAGAGACTCTTTTTCTCTTCTCTTACTTTCTCCCAGCCATACAGAGTCTCTTTCTCTTCTGAGCCACCTAACGCTGGGGGTGGAGTGACACAAGCACCCCTGTGGCCAGCACCACTGTGACTGCACTGGATCAGACCTGGAGCCAGCACAGCATTGGGTCTTGCCCAAGGCCTGCTGTAACTATTCCCTGGCTACTGCCTATGTTCACTCAAGGCTCTGGGGCTCTGTAATCAGCAGGTGGCAAAACCAGCCAGGCTGTGTCCTTCCCTTCTGAGCAGCGTGCCCCCCCCCAGACCCTGGGTGGGTCCAAAAGTGCTGCCCTGATGTCAGGGACTAGAGTCAAAAACCTTAGAAGTCTACCTGGTGTTCTATTTTATTGTGGCTGAGTTGGCCCTCAAACTAGAAGGTGCAGTTCTTCCTGTTCTTGCCTTCCATTTCCAAAGGCAGAGAAGCCTTACCCCTTAGCCACTGCCACCCTAGGCCATGAGGAGTACTGCCAGACTACTGCCAATGTTCCCTTACGGCCTAGAGTCTCTTAAGTCAGCTTGTTGTGAATGCTGCCTGGCCTGGGACTCACCCTCAGGGCAGTGGGGTCCCCTTTGGTCCAGGGAAGGACCAGAAATGCCATCCAAGAGTCAAGTCCTAGAATCAGGGACCCCAAGATTCTGCTTGGTGCTCTACCCCCCTGTGGCCGTGCTGGTACGTAAGGTGCAAGACAAAGTGCCCTTTGCTTTTCCCTCTGCCTTTGTCAAGCAGAAGGAGTTTTGCCCCATAGCTACCACAGCTGGGAATGTGCTGAGTCTCAACAGAAGCCAGCAAGTCTCACCAGAAGCCACCAAGGCCCTTGATGTAGTACCTGGGTATCACTGCTGGTTATTCAGGGTTCAAGGGCTCTTCAGTTAACAGGTGATGAATTCTGGCAGGACTGGGTCCTTCCCTTCAAGGCAGTGGGTTCCCTTCTTGCCCAGGTTGTATCTAGAAATGTCATCTGGGAGTTAGGGCCTGGAATGGGGACCTCATGACTCTGACTGGTGCCCTATCCTGCTGCGGCTCAGCTGTTATCCAAGATGCAAGACAAAGTCCTCCCCACTCTACCGTCTCCTCTCTTCAGTTGGACAGAAGGAAAGGGTCTCTTTTGGAGCCACAAGCTGTGCAGCCTGAGGTTAGGGGAGGGGTGATGCCAACACTCCCTGGGCTGTTCCAGCTGGTGTCTAAGTATGTCATGTGTCCCTCCTCTCCCTGCCGCCAAGCCCACGGTCTCTGGGCCTAGCTCATCACTAGGACTCACCTAAGAGATGCAGTCCTTCTGGCCTCGACTGCCCTCCAAGTTTACATGGAGACACAGAGCACTGTATCCCTTGGTGGTGAGGTTTGCGGGGACTCAAGTTCAGACCACTGGATAGGCGATTGGCCAGGGCTGGTTTAAATGCTCCCTCCGTGGTTGGGCGTCAGCTGAGTTGGTCTGGTGTTCCTTTTGCTCTAACAGAACAGCACTTAGTTCAATGCCTCACCATTACTGTGCTCTCCCTCCTCAGCTCCCAGAGAAGCTCTTAGCACTAGGCTTGTTGCTGCTGCGTGGGGTGTGGAAGGGATGGTGTCAGTGATTCAGGACTGTTTCTTCTGTCTCTTCTAGAGCCTCTTTCAGTGATAATGAAGTTAAAACCAGGTATTATCAGTGCTTACTTGATTTTTGGTTCTCATGAAGGTGTTTTTTCTGTGTAGATAGTTGTTAACTTGGTGTCCTTGTGAGGTGGGACAATGGGTGGAGCCTTTAATTCTGCCATATTGCTCCGCCTCCTCCTATATGCAGCATTTCTTAAGCAAAGAGAAATAAACGTTGTTGCGTTTCTGGGCTTTATAGTCCATTGGGTCAGGGGAAGTCCATGCATATATGATAGGTTAAATAATAAGAGGGTTGGGACTATAATTTCATAAAACCAATGTTAGGCGCTTATTGGCATATGGGCATTTCCTTAAACGCGGTTGGAATAGTGCATTTATACAGTGAGTTAGGGTGAGCTACCTCAAGACTGGTGCCAGATTGCAGGGTTTTCTCAGAGACTGTGTGCCCTGCCTTTGAGTCTGTCTGTCTCTAGTGTCACGTCCTGTTCATCTGCAGTGTACAGTCTACTTTGATCATAGTAGTTGCTTGTGATTTGTTGGTGCAAGTGACAGAGCAGTTGCTTTGGAAGGAAGGCGGAGTCTTCAGCCTGTAATGAAGAGCTGACCACCTCTGGAATGTGATCCTGTGATGCTGATGCAACCTCCACTTCTGGAGCCCACATCGCTTCCATTCCATGTGGATGTCGCTGTAAGAGTTCAGGCTAGTTAAGATAAACCGTGACGTCTCCAAAATGTGACTGGGAGCACCTAGCATCCCCCTTCTTGCTCTGGTTTCCCTTAGAAAATTCTTATTGACAAATACATTTTTAGGTGGCAGACATCTTTTTAAGACTCCATCTTTGCACTGTATGCCAAAAAATGTCTTGAATTTAAAAACTGTCAGTGTTGTCTACTGGAAAGAGTATGAAATTTGGAGTCAGACAGAACTGATGTAGCTTTAGGTTCTGCCTGACATTTCCTAACTGTGTAAGTTCGTGTGTGATCAGCCATTCTGAGCCTTTTATCTGTCCACTAGGAGTAATAATGTCTCCTTCACAGGGTTTCTTGGCACATAGTAAGTGTACAGCAAATGTTATTAATTCCCATTAATATGTGAATTAATATATGAACTCTAAACTATAAAACAGAAAAACCCTTTATTACTTGGTTAAGTTTCTTACACAGCATTTTCATTATTCTTTGCAGCTCCCAAATACCCTTACTGTAAAGACCAACTGTTTGCTCTGCATATATGAAGAGTTAAATTTTCATCACACATTTATTAAATAACTGTTTTTAAGTCTCCAGAATAAAAAAGAAAGTTAAGCCTGAAAGGCTCTTATGGGCTCGAATTGAAACACCCCTGTTGCAGCAGCTGAAACAGGTGTGGCAGCAGCACTCGGACATTTTATTTCTACAAACTTACTGGCTGAAAAGCGTGCCAGCCCAGGGAACGTTCTGACCTTCTTTCATGGGACAGTAACTTTTTGCCTTTGTAAGCAGAATTTTGTCTTTATGACTGGGCTCTATTCTACTATACAAAAGATGGTTGCTATGGTTTGAATGTGCCCCTCAAAGTTCATGTGTTGGAAACTTAATCCCCAATGCAACAGTGTTGAGAGGCGGGACCTATAAGAGGTGATTAGGTCATGACGGCTCCACCCTTGTAAATGATTAATGGTGTTATATCAGGAATGGGTTCCTGATAAAAGGATGAGTTCAATTTCTTGCTCTCTCTGGTACACATGCTCTCTTACCCTTCCACCATGGGATGAAACATCTAGGGAGGCCAAGCAGGCCTCTCCAGATGCAGGCTCTCTGACCTTGGACGTCCCAGTCTTTAGAACTGTAAGAAAGAAATCTCTGTTCTTTATAAATTACTGAGTCTCAGGTATTCTGTTATAGCAGCACAAAACATACTAAGATAATGGTCCTCTCATCAGCCAGCCAGCTTGTAGGTTTTCATTGCCTACCGTGTGTCCCTGTTACACTGTGCCAGGTGCCAGAGATACAGAAGGCCTCACTTTTTTAGAACTCACATTCCCTAGGAGGCAGATGGGCCAGATGGGGGGTGTGAATAGGCAGGGGAAGATTTGGTGATAGTTTTCAGGAGGAGGTGACAGTGTTCCACTTAAAATAGATTGGGGACCAGCTGGGCACAGTGGCTCATGCCTGTAATCCCAGCACTTTGGGAGGCTGAGGTGGGCGGATCACTTGAGGTCAGGAGTTCGAAACCAGCCTGGCCAATATGGCGAAACCCTGTCTCTGCTAAAAATACCCAAAATAGCTGGGCATGGTGGTGTGCACCTGTCGTCCCTGTTACTCGGGAGGCTGAGGCATGAGGATCACTTGAACTCGAGAGGCGGAGGTTGTCGTGAGCCAGGATCATGCCACTGCACTCCAGCCTGGGTGACAGAGGAGACTCCATCTCAAAAAAAAAGAAAAAGAAAAAAAGATTGGCAGGGAGAGGATGACTGTGGGAAGGGTTTGGGGCTTCCTGTTCCAGGAATCTATTACTGTGTAACCACCTACCCCAAACTTAGTGGCTTAAAACATGTTACTTAATGCACAATTCTGTGGGTCAGGAGTTTGGGCAGTTCTGCCCCATATGGTATCAGCTGAGGTTACCTGGTGGTCATCAGCTGGTCTGGAGTGTCCATGATGGCTTCACTCATGTCTGCTGCCTTAGCGGGGTGGCTGGAAGGGTGGGCTCTGCTGGGACCGCTGAGCAGAGTGCCTACATGTGGCCTGCCCAGCATGGTGGTCCCAGGGTAGTCGGCTTTTCACACTGGCCTTTGGAAGTCTCAGAACATCACTTCCTTTGCATGTTGTTAGTAAGCAAACCACTAGAGCCAGCCCAGATTTAGGGAGAGGGGAGTTAGACTCCACCTCTTAGTGGGAGAAGAAGCCCTCTTTAATCTGCCACACTGGGTTCCTTGATAGGAGAGCGGCTGGGAGACTCTTAAGGAGGGGAGGTTGGTTGGTGTGCCGGCTGTATGATGAATGATCAAATGTACTTTTGGATCTGGGGGCAAAGATTGAATGATAGTGGACTGAAAAGCCAGCAAGTATTGGAAGCAGAATAATGGGTGTGGGTACTTTTCAAGATTCTTGGCTTTGTGAGGAGACAATGGAAATCAGAGTGGAGGCTCATAGTGAAGCTTAGGGTTGGAGGCATTTGCTTGTTTTTGCTTTGTTTTGAAGATGGGTGAGATCACCAATGACTCATTCTTTTCCAAATCGTGGTTGTGCATTTTCTTTCTCTTAACTGACCTCTTAACTGATTAGACACTGTTGAAATTCTTTGGTCTTTGGCGATATAACTTTTTCCTGGTCCTGGTCCTTATGCTTGTGACAAAGAAAGGGCTGTTTCCTTAAATAGTTGAATTTCCCAGGCTCTGTCCCAGCTTTCCTTGCCTCCTTATTCTGCACCTTTTTCTTGAGTAGCCTATATTATTCTCATGACTTTAACTGCCCCTGCATGGTGAAGGCCCCAGGGTTATAATTTCTCTGGAGCTCCAGACCTAACTTCAGTTGCCTCCTCCATGCCTCCCCCCGGATGTCCCTGTAATTCCTGTTCCTAACAATGCTGTCACTCTGGCCAGGCCAGAAGGCTGTATGTTGTTCCCTTTATCCCTCACCCTGTGCATCCAAACGGGTTACCAGTTACTGTGAATTTTGTCTTTAAAACCAGGGTTCTTACCTGTGGCTGCATCACTTGGGGAGCTTTGCAAAAATGCAGACCTGGAGCCTCATCTCAGGCTTATTGAACCAGACTCTCTTGGGTTTTAGGCATTCATATTTTTGTAAGGTTTTTTTTTTTCCAGGTGATTCTGATGTTCACTTTGTATTGAAAACAACTCTAAAATTTTTCTCTAATCCTCCAGTTCATCTCCACCATCGCTGCTTTGGTTCAGGCTTTTATAGTTTCCTGTGGCTGCCATAACACATTACCACAAACTTGGTAACAACAACAGATGTTCATTCTCTTACAGTTCTAGAGGCCACAAGTCTGAAATCAAGGTGTCGGCAGGGCCCTGCTGCCCCTGAAGGCTCTTAAGGGGAGAATCTTTCCTTGCCTCTTCCAGCTTCTGGGGCTCCAAATGTTCCTTGGCTTGTGGTTGCATCACCCCAGTCTCTGCCTCCATCACATGGTCGTCTCCTCTCTATCCCTGTGTACCTCCTACAAAATCACTTGCCATTGGATTTAGGACCTATCGACCTAACAGTAATCGAGGATGATCTCATCTTGAGATCCTGGGCTTAATTACATCTGCAAACACCGCTTTTCCAAAAGGTCACATTCACAAGTGACATGGATGTATCTTTTTCTTTTGAGACTGAGTCTTGCTCTGTCGCCCAGGCTGGAGTACAGTGGTACGATCTCGGCCCACTGAAACCTCTGCTTCCTGGGTTCAAGTGATTCTCCTGCCTCAGCCTCTCAAGTAGCTGGGATTACAGGCATGTGCTATCATGCCCAGCTAATTTTTTGTATTTTAAGTAGAGACAGGGTTTCACCACGTTGGCCAGGCTGGTTTCGAACTCCTGACCTCAAGTGATCCACCCGCCTCGGCCTCCCAAAGTGCCGGGATTACAGGCATGAGCCATCATGCCCAGCCTTGGATTTATCTTTTTAAGGCCACCATTCAATCCACTGTACATAGATCCCCATGGCTATGGTGCTGCTGCTGTCTGATCATCTTGCCTCTAATCTGGTCTGGTCTTGCCTCTAATTTCTTCCAGTTCCTCCTGCACTGTGCCACCCTATGTGATTACTTTATATTTCCAGTCATGTTAGCCATTTGCTTAAATCTTACCAGACTTTTCATTCCCCTTAGGGTAAAAAGCCATAACCCTTAGGGAGTACCAGTGATAGGGTTTAGCTCTGTGTCCCCACCCAAATCTCATCTTGAATTGTGATTCCTGTGTGTCAGAGGAGGGGCCTGGCAGGAGGCGATTGGATGGCGGGGTGGGGGTTGGATTTCCCCCTTGCTGTTCTCGTGATAGTGAATGAGTTCTCACAAGATCTGATGGTTTAAAAGTGTGTGTCACTTTCCCCTTCTCGAGCTTTCTCTCTCCTGTTGCCGTGAGAAGAAGGTGATTGTTTCCCCTTTGGCTTCTGTCATGATTGTAAGTTTCTTGAGGCTTCCCAGTCGAGCTTCTTGTTAAGCCTGTGGAACTTTTGAGTCAGTTAAACCTCTTTTCTTCACAGGTAGTTCTTTACAGCAGTGTGAGAATGGACTAATACAACCAGGACGTTACAGTCGGGCTCCTGCCTACCTTTTACCCTCCTTTCCCACTACTCTCTCCACTTGAACTTCATACTCTCCACAGTGCTGAACTGTGTAGTCCTCCTTGCCTTGCACATTATATCACCCCTTCATTCTCCATTTAGACTTCTTACTTAGATTTCTTTTTCTTTCTTTTCTTTTTTGACAGTCTTGCTTTGTCACCCAGGCTGGAGTACAGTGGCATGATCTTGGCTCACTGTAGTCTCCACTTTCCTGGCTCAAGTGATCTTCCCACCTCAGCCGCCCGAGTAGCCGTGACTACAGGTGCATGCCACCACACCAGGCTAATTTTCGTATTTTTTGTAGAGGTGGGGTTTTGACACATTGCCCAGGCTGGTCTCGAACTCCTGGGCTCAAGCTGTCTACCTGCCTCGGCCTCCCAAAGTGCTGGAATTACAGGCATGAGCCAACGTGCCTGGCCAAGATTTCGACAGTTCAAGCAGTGCTTCCACCATGAAGCCTTCTCTAATGCGTCCTGCCATGTGCCTTGTGCTATAAGTGCATCTTGTTACATGTGTATTTATCATATTTGTTATTGTGCCTTTCTCTCCTTCTGAGCAGAGAGCTCTGTGAAGGCAGGGAAGCTGATATACACCATTGTAGCTCTAGTACTTGGCATTATGAATATTGAATGAATGACCATGTAGCTTAACCTAATTAGAAACTTGTCTCATGGTGACACTGGTTTTTCCAGTGCTACTTTAATTATTTCCAATAGGATTTTTCATCTAGATGTATTAAGTAAGTAGGCAGTCTGTAAGTAGGCTGGCTTATTATTTGCTTAACCTGCAATATCTGTGCCTCTATGCTTAGGCAATTTAAATTAAAATGTTTCTGCATGTGTTAAGGTTGACACTTCTGGTTTTTTTCCCTCCCTTTATATTAGATATGACTTTTGGGTTGTAACTCGTGGAAATCAAATTGAGTTAGCTGAAGCTGAAGGAATTTTGTCAAGAATGGCTGGAGTACATCTGGGCCAATAGAAACCCTTAAGGATCCTCTTTCCATTGCTTTTTGTGCTTGTCTCTGTTCTGCTTCCTTCTTCACTTTGTCTGCTTTTTCAGCCATATAACACTTTATGACATCCCCACAGCTCCTGTGTTTACATTTTACAGCTCTAGCCAGCAACTGAGAATGGATGACTATCTCTCTGTCCCAATTTTGTATTTTCCAAAACTAGAATGTTATTGGCCAGGTTGAGTCAGATGTCAGCCTCTGGCCAGTCAGCCCCAGAGTGGTGGGGAAGATGTTGGCATGGCCATTTCATTCAAACGTGGTGCTGGGGTTCAACTTTTGGAGTTAAGGAATAGATGCCAGAGAAGGAGGTATAGTTGTGATCAGATAGCCAAACAAGCGTCTGCTGCACTCTTACGAGGCTGAGGCCTATTGACCTGGAGTCTATAGTTGAGGCAAGAAAGATGCAGCGCAGAGTTGTGCCAAACCCCTCTCAACTCCAGTGGGGATGGCACCAGATTCAAGAGGCTGAAGAAGAGACTCAGAGCCAGCAGATGAGACATGGAGTTTTGTTGGTGGCTTACATACAGGGGAGAAAGCCAGTGGCGGTGGGTTGAGCGGGAGAACCACAACTGCATATAAAAGGCATGCAGTTAACATAGCATTTTCATTTAACATGCTCCCCCTAACTGCCACCTGCGAACCTTCACTTGACCAAAGCAAAGGGCCGTGATATCCTGGAGAGCCTGCGTTCCATGGGACTGGATGGGCACTCAGATGTTCCTCATAGATAAGGAATGACTCTCTGGTTTGGCCACTCTTGGATACCGTAGCTTGGAACTCTGAACACACATTCAAGTGCATCTACCATACAGGGTCATTCTCAATCACATTATTGCTGTCAAGTGCACCTGCCATACACACAGAGCTGGGTAGAAGTGAAGGGCATACATAGCAAGCCTTGCCAGATCTTGTACTAATTGTGTGTAGGCTACAGTAGTGAAAATGTTCCTCTAAGTTGTTTACAATCCTGGCTGTAATTGGTTCACATATGCTTCCTTTAATATAGAGTGTTCATCTTGATTTAAGTGACATGGAAATATATTAAAACAAAACGGGTTTGTAATGGTTGTTGACTCATGGATACTTTATAGTAGTCATCACAAACACGTTTAAGAAAATAGTGTACATGATTCTGATCTGCCTGAGAAAAACTAGAGGAATAAGACTTGAAATAAATTATCTTTTTATTCTGGAGACATTTTTATATAGCTGACATTCCTTTGTGCTGGAAATGGAAACATTAAAAAGACAATGGGAATAACTTACAGTGATAATTTGAAACCATTGTCAGACTGTGACGCTGACTTGACTGGTGAAACAAACACACAAAGCCCCTTTCTTCCAACTTCTGTTTCCCAGTGGGCTTCACAAGTTCTTGCTTCCCCTGTCCGGCCACTCCCTTCTGGGTGTAGCTGGAAAAGTGGAGAAGGCCCAGGGATCTGTGGGACAGGAACAAGCCACCAGGCCTGCTGTCTCCTAACCTTGGTGTTCTGGGGGAGCCTTGGAGCTGTCATACATACCTCTGTAAATTTTAAATGTTCCTTGTTTTAGTTTTTTATTTTTTTTCTTGAAAAGAACTTCCGCCAAGGTGGAAGCAGAGAATAGTTGTGTTAATGTAGCAATATGGGTCATCAGTAAGAACATACAAGGGCCGATTAATCCAGAGTTAGAAAATACAACTGAAAATTGAAATGCTAACTGTGATCCTGCATGTCTTTTAAGCACTGGTATTAGCTAAATACAGGAAACCTGCTTAAGGACATTATATGTTTTCCAGATGACTTCTAAGTTATTTGACAATTTGTGGACTAAAACTCATGTGTATATTTTTGCAAGCTAATTTTTGCTAACAAAAATATATTTAATTTCTGCAAGCTGTCTTTTGCTAATCTGACAGCGTAGGGTTCAAACAGAAATGAGAGTGAATGTGGAGGATTCTGAACTTTTAAGAAAGCAAGTAACTAAATTGGTTGTCTTACAAATAAAGATCCTGCAGACAACATTAACATGGTTTGAAAGTGAGAGATGAGGTTTAATTAGTATGCTATTTTCTAACTAGTTCATTTAAAAATATTTCTCAAGTGTATCTCTGGGGTCTATTAGAATGGTGCTAGTTGAATTGAGCCAGCCCTAATACAGCCTCTGCAGAATACTCATTTGCTTATTTATACTCTGCCTCTTTCCAAAAAGATTTGAAGACTCTGACTTTATAAAATAGGAAACCTATAATTACTTGTACATCACTCTTAAATTAAGTTCCTAGAAGTGATTTGAATTTCATTACAGCTGAAGTCTGTATTGCAACCCTTTCCTTTTGTGGAGTGTTTAGTGGGCAATTCTTTTATGACCATTCCTGTCTTTTCCCTTATTCAATACCTCTAACTTTTATGTTTAAAGCTTGAAAAATCTGCAGATAGATGAACTCTTTCCTCTCTGTTTCTAGGTACAATGGTGCTTTACCCAATGGAGATAGAGGACGGAGGAAAAGTAGATTTGCCCTCTACAAGCGGCCCAAGGCAAATGGTGTCAAACCCAGCACCGTCCATGTGATATCCACGCCCCAGGCATCCAAGGTAGGTGGGTCTGTCAAGAGTTGGGAGGGTGCTGGCAAACAGTGACTCACAGATACTCCTTGTCCGCTGCTCTCTTTCCTTTCGTCTTTTCATGTAGGACAGTCTCTCAGACCATTTGAGGCTGGATAATGCTTTGTTGTGAGGGGCTGTGCTGTGCATTGTAGGGTGTTTAGCAGCTTCCCTGGCCTTCACCCGCTAAGTGCCAGTAGCACCCCCGCATTCTTGCTCCCCACAGTTGTTAATCACTAAAAATGTCTCAAGACATTGCAGCCCGTCTCCTGGGGAGGGCTGGGCAGGTAAAATCTGTCCTATTAGGAAGCACTGCTTTAGTATACCAAAGCAGCTAGCATTTATTGATTTGGAATAGATGTAGTTGAAATGTGATGTTCTTTATCCTAAAGAGTTTTTGTTTTAAATCTGGGTATAAACCTCATGATTTATTTTCCTTCTGTTAATTGAGTGTAGTAGGTGGTTTTACATAATCTGTATGTACATGGAATTGAATTTGTGTGGCTCATAGAAGGATGAAAAGTATACACGACCAAGTGATAAAAGAGGCCGACTATACATATTTTTTTCTCATAATTTTGAAGTGAATAAAATGCTAATTAAAAAAAACTGGTTATTTGTTTTCTGATCTATAAGTCGAGGAAAAAATCTGAGTTTTTATTCCAATTGATATATGTTACATAGTCGATTTATTACAGTGTTTCTTTAATTAAATAAATTCCTTAATATATAGTCTTATTTTCTATAAAATATATTTACATGAAGCATTTCATACGGGGCTACTGGCTGTACCTGTTGATCATGAGTTTGGACCACCTGGCATATAAATGAGAGTCTTGATTTCCATTTTTCCTGAAAACCCACTTTTGGAAGAAAAAGGAATGGCTTCATGGAAGCATGTGTGATATTTATATGCAATGTAAACATAGATCACCTTTGTTAATGTTTTTATTTTTAAAAAGCTCCTATTTCTGAAGCAGTGCCATTGAAAGAATTTGTTAGGAGGTGCCAATTGAAGCGATCTTGTATTAATGAGGGATGAGTAGATAAGAAAATATCAAACACCACGGAAACAAGAAAGATTAATATTTAGTAGATAAGCCAAAGCTAGAAAAAGAGAAATAAACTAAACATTTTTAGGTGGAAAGAACATTTTATGAGGAAAACAAAGGAAATCCAACTTTACGAAGATTCTGAGGAAAGGAAGAGGTAAAATAACAACAGAATCTTAAGAGGTCAAGGAAGTAGGAGAAACATTTTATACTCCAAAAATATGTGGTGAAGAACGATACCAAAACAGATGTTTTTAAGCATGTGATGAGCACCAGAAATGTTCTGGTATTTAGATGTGGTCCTTATAATTTTGTCTATTTGTTGACATTTCTTTTGTTTCCTTCCTCTTTTTTAAAATCTTGGGTTCGTGTTAATACAATGGCTGACATTTTAAAAAATGTATAGAAATATTGCTTTGATTACTCATGCTTCATGTTGTGATAGAATGAAAATTTGCAACTGTTGAGAGAAAAGTATCTCTTCTTTAATCTTTAGCCACTGCCATCTCCTCCCATTTTAGCCTTTTATGTTTTACTTTTATACCTAGATTTTACTTCCAAGTTATTTAGATTATTAATCTTTTGATAATTGTCATCTAAGTCTGTGTTTAAAAATATTACCCACAGTACTAAAAGTAGGGCAGATTGGGTTTAGGTCTTGACCCTCTGTATTTTATAATCTGGGAAAAATATATTCTCAGGGCCTCAGTTTACTCATTAGAAACTGAGTAAATTGGCTTCAAGCAGGAGCTCTGTTGAATTAGAAAATATACTTTGTTCATAACAATAGAAATTATTCTGGCTAAGATAAAACAGACAAAAGTAAGATAAATTATTATAGGCTAGCCCTCAGAATCAGAGAAAAGTTGAGTAACCAGGTTTTGAGAGAGAGGAGAACTGGAGTATCAACAACAGTGCACATGGATATTTTTTCAAGAGTGTTAGATAGTGACTTTCCTCCAACCAACTTCTATCTCTTTTAAAGGTTTACATTTTCAAGAGAGAGACTCTGATAGGTCTCCCCTGGGTCACCGAACTATGACCAAGGGAGATGGGCAAACTAAGAGCAGACATATTTATTGTGAGCAGATCAACCACACCATGTTGCCTTTCAGACTCTCAAACTCTCGTCCCGGCCAGCTGTACCCGGCCACTCCTGCTGCTTGGTTTGCTCTGTTGGCACCTTCTACCTTGGCGCCCCCCATCTACCTCTTCCGCCCCTTACTCCTGCTCCCTCTCAAACTCTCATCCCTGCCAGCTGTGCCAGGCCACTGCTGCTGCTGGGTCTGCTCTGTTGGCACCTTCTACCTTGGAGCTCCAGCCAGTTGTGAACTCAGCCCTTTACATATTTAACCTTTTCTTCAGATACCCCTCCCACTTCCTGGCTTTAACTGAATCTGATTTTCAATGAATGCACTCTTTTGTTATTTTTTCCATCTTATGTTTGTGGAACATATTTCAGTGACTCGGTACCTACCCCCGAGTCTCTTTCTCCCTGACTCCGTAGCATCTATAGCTTGTAGTACTTTAACTCTTTCAGTTTCTTTGCCACTTTTCCCACTGATATGGTGCTCCTTACAGCCCATTTTCACTTGGAAATGAGAATTATCTCCAGTTCATTCTATTTTTGGATATACTTCCTTATCTCTTATCAAGATATCCAACCCATTAGCCTGTCTCTGTTTGCCACGGTTATTGGCCCACTTGGCCTCTCCAGGTATATCTTAATTCCACTCCAGATTCTCTTTCTCTGGGCTCTATGGATATCCTTCTTCCTGTGTCTCTGGCTCTGGGCCCTTCCTGACCCTGGTGGACTTTTTTTTTTTTTTTTTTTTTTGGTCTTTATTACTCACCCCATGCCCCTTAAGAATGCCAGTAAATGTCATGGTACTTGGCAGACACTGGCCTGAAATGACAGTGGTTTGTGTACCCTGAGATTTTTGATGCTGCAGTATTGGTAATGAAAGTTCATCTTTGATTGTAGTTGGGAAAGTGGGACCTAGAAGGGTAGGTGTGGTTATTCATTGCTAGGATTTAAGCTCTTTGCCTTTTGGCTGTCTTGTTTCTTCCCTCCACCACAACAATCATTCTCTCTGCCCACATTCTGGGGGCAGAACAGGGATATCCCTTTGCTGGTGGTCGTGGCAGCTGGGAAACAGGACCTCTTAGTTTTCCATGCATGTCTATATCCAGGCTAAGTCAAATGAGGATGGCAAGTGCGTGCTACTGTTGTGTAATCTCTATTTGTGTAGTGTTTATTCATGTATGTATTTGCTCTTAGAATAATACTCAGAGGTATTTCTCTGATTATGTAATGTGTGTGTGTGTGTGTGTGTGTGTGTGTGTGTTTTTAAATTAAAAGTCCTGTTTTACTTCTGGCCATTCTGTTGCATAGGCATAGGGCTTTTAGCAATTTATTCACCCATCCATTTATTCAACAAATATTTATTCAGCACCTTCCATGGCCAGGCATCATGCCAGGTATTGGATATTCTGCTGTGAACAAACACATCCACATGGAGCTAAATGTCTAGTGAGTAGGCAAACGAGAAAGAATCATGGGATATACATTCAACTGCGCATTGTGGAAAGTGCTAAGAGGAAGGGGGCACAGAGTTTAGACAAGGTACAAGGAAGGACCTCTAAAAAAGTGGTGCGAGAGCTGTGAGCTGGAGAGGAGAGAGGAGTTGACCAAAAAAGCAGAGATCCAGGGGTCTTGTGGGTCTGGCTGGAAAATTTGGATTTTTAAATAAGGGGAAATATTGAAGGGTGTGAAGCAGAGGGAGTGACATGATGTGACTGAGAAATCAAGTCAGTTTATGTGTTCGTTTACTTTTTTATGATATGGGACAACTATTTTGCTCTTACTTAACCAGTAAATAGTATGATGGTGGTGGTGGTGACGGTGTGGATACTGGTGCCTAATAGGAAATATTTTGTTAGCTGCATGTTTTAAATTTAGCAACATTACTATGGAAAACTCTTCATGATGGTTTTCCCTTCTCAGATTATGCTTTATTGAAATGTCCTTTTTTGGATATTTTACTTTTAAAAAGTAACTGAAAATCACTTTATTCCAGCTGGCCTATTTCCGAATGGAAAATATTAGTGGTCTTTGATAGTTTAGAGAAACATGAGGGCCATTTAATGTCATTGCTACAACCAGGCTGCTCTTCACCGTGTTTGGGCTGCTGTGGCTCTACTGGTTGATAAAATATTGAAACACTTTCTTATCAGTTGATGAATAATACAACAGTAACCGTGAGAAGTGGTAAAACTAACAATATAATTTTCAACATAAACTCATTCACCCTAGCTGATTTTGTAGGATGTGCTGGGGTCCACTTTGGAAGCGCTCACTGTCTGTCTGCCGAGCCTGTGTCTCATGGCAGTGAGTGGCGTTGATCTCCTGCACGTTCATGATGGAGCTGGGGCCTCGGTGCTTCGGGAGAGTCATCACCTTATCATCAGCCTCAGACTTTTGCATTGCTCCTGCTTTTAATAACTGAGTTTTAAATAGGTCTTTCTTTGGTTTCTTTCATTGTTACTGCATTATAACTCTTGGATTGGTCGTGTGTGGTGTTTCATACTTAGAAGTTCAATAATTAATTTGTTGAGTATTTTATTTTAAATAAAGAGGCAATGAAGTTTGGGAAGGTTTTCTTTTTTTAGATGTCATAAACATGAATATTCTGAATCTCTGAGAGAAGAAAAAAATAACAGTAATAAAACACAGTTAAGAATATCTTTAATACTGTGCAGGAATATAAACCTGAAACAAATGATTTGTAGGTCTAGAATCAAGAACAATTTGATTATTTCAACAAAAAATAATAAACATAAATCATTTTCCAAAAAATTGAAATAACAACATCGAAAAACATTTTATCTGAGAGTTTTGACAAGGCAAAGGAAAAAAAATTTACGAAGTATCAATATAATATACTGTATAGTTTAAAATAATTTTCTGACATTAAGTATTTATTAGGACTTCAAGAATTGTTTTTATGTGAATGTAGCATGGAAGTTTGGGTTTATGGTCCTGATCGTTGCAAAACATATATCTACTGAGATGCAAAAATGCATTTTGGAGAACTTATAAATCAGGAAGGTAAAATTTCAGTCATTATTGACATGGCTCCAACAATTTCACATAGAAATGTTTTAATAATTTACTTAAAATGCAATATTCAAGACTTCAAAGACAGTGTGATGGTTTTTATTGATTTCATGAAGCTGGAAGGAACAACATCTGAAATATATTAAACTTTATTAGTCATACTCAAGAAAAATGGTTTCAATGAGAAATACTTACATGAAAACCTTGTGAATGTTTCACAGATGGTGCAAGTATAGTGTTAGGGAGAAAAAGTTGTCTTAGCTGAAATTCTAGAAAAACTTCTAGGTGTTTTCATTTGATGCTGTCTCACTTATATTTGGTTATCTCTGGATGATGCAATAGGAAGATAAGCCAAGTAAACCACTTAACTTTTTTTTTGGAAATTTTACATTTATCTTGTATCAAATAAATACTAGAGAATTAAATAACATATTTGAGACCTTGGAATTGAGATGACTGTTTGGACCTTTAACGGTCAGCCGAAGATGGGAATATTCATGTTAATGGACATTGTTAAAATAGCATTTGGACAATTTTTTTAGCAGTTTGGCTCTATTACATGATATACTAACCAATGTGAATTTTTCCATGGTTTTAGAAAAAAGAAAAATTTTAATTATTAAAATGGACAGATTTATTTGACAAATACTAAGTGATAGAATATATAAACCAAATACAGGAAACTGTGATGGAGAAGAAGGTATTAGAGGAACAAACAAATTTGAAATGAAACAAAATATTAATTCCAAGGGAAAAACTCTTACATTGCCTGGCAAATTAAAAGAAAATGCACTTATTTGGTGACAAATCTAAGGAATACAATTAAATTTTAATAACATCCTTTTAATTTATTGATTCTGAGAACTTGGCTAATTGTTGTTTTCAAAGCACCATAGATTGAAGGCAAACAAAATTTTGTATAATTAAGCCAGAAATGAAACAGAACAATCCAATAAATAAGGGATTTTCATAAGGCTTGGATGGTAATAGAAATAGTGAATATAAAATCTCAGTATTATTAGGGCTGAAAAAATAGAATTTAACTAATATTAGTTCAGTAGAAGGTAATGGAAGATTTACTATGAGCAGTATTATGTGATGGGAAAATCTGTATATATTAAGACTTGGTTTGCCCATTGTTTTAAATTAAATGGGGGAAATTATTGAAAGAATTTGGTTTCGTATATCAATCACAGCTCATATATTGCTTAGCTTGTGACAGATACATCAAATAAAAAGATCATACCAGTAATTTGTAACAATTAACAGATGACTTGGAAATGAGTCACATGATTTGATGAATGGTTGCTGTTAGAACTTACTTCACCTGGGATACGGTTTCATAAAATGTGTAATTCATATTATTTAGAGAACAAATGGAATATTTTACAATTTTTTATTTATATGGCTATTTTTTTATTAAAAGGCTGGTTGTTAAATAATATCACTCCTGACATGAATAACTTTAATAAGTATATCTGTGATTAGGTGATTATCCTATTATATGTTTTACATAGAGTGAGTTTTAGATCAAGAATTGGCTGTTACTAACCCTCTATTACATTTCCATTAATTTTGACTAATCAGTACTTTTCTGTAAAATTTGATTAATCAATACTTTTATGTTTTTATGTAGTTCTTTTGGTAATTCTGTCGTTGCAAATAATGTAAGTATAGTAATTTGTGAGCTGTTCTTTTTCCTTCTTATTTTTGGTTTAGTTTTTCACTTCTGTTACTCACAAAGCAAACATTAGGCTCTCTTATTTAAATACATTTTCTTTCAAACCACCTAAGTAAAATGTTGAGCTTTTTGCTGCTGTATTTAAGCCAGGCAGTGTTACTTTCACTGATTTAAGATCTGAAGCAGCATACCTACTTATCATCATTTCATTATACAGATTTGTGTAAGAGTGTTTAAAGTAGGTTTTAAGATACAGTATGTTTAAAATTAAAATTTGAGGTATGATTTGCAGTGTCCACTGAATACTTCAAGAAAGTAGAAGAGTTGCTTCATTATATCACAGTTTTGTTAGTTTCAGCAATTAATCTAGTTTGACATTAGCATTTTTGTTTTTCTGTAATCTTTTTTTTTCTAGCATATGTAGTTTCATCTTTTCAAGGACCAACAACTAATTTTGTGTGTATGTATTGATACTTAACATAAATTGCTGCTTTGCTGTGTGGTCTGGGTAGAATTATTCATTGTTTTCTAGCAAAAAGGGACATTTGTCTCTTTTTTCCTGCATGTATTATGTGGTTGGGAGAATAATTTCTGTCCCCATTCTCCCAAGATGCTCATACATTAATCACTGGAATCTGTGAATATATTACCTTACATGGCAAAAGGGATTTTGCAGGTGGAATTAAGGTCATGAGACTTAAAATAGGGAGATTATCCTGGATTATCTGGGTGGGCCCATTGTAATCACAAGCATCCTTAATAGTGAAAGGGGAATGGAGAAGACTCATGAGATGTGAGGGAAGAAGGAGCAGGAGAGATTTGGAGCATGAGAGGGACTCCACCTGCTGCTTCTGGATCTGAAGAAGAGGGGACTATGAGCCAAGGAGTGCAGGTGGCTTCTAGAAGCTGAGAACAGCCCTGGCAGCTGTCCAGCAAGGAAACAAGGGCTTCAGTCCTGTAATCACATGGAACTCAATCCTGCCAGGTCCCTGAATGTCCCTGAAAACAGATTATTCCCTAGAACCTCCATAGATGCTGCCCTGTCAGCCCCTTGATTTTGGCCTTGTAAGACTCAGGCAGAGAAATCAGCCAAGCCTGCTGAACTTCTGGCAAACAGATCTGTGACATAATACATTAGTGTTGTTTTTAGCTGCTAAGTTTTGTGGTAATTTGTTATAACCACAAGAGAAAACTTATACATACTATTTTATGGAAAATCAAATGCAAAATACCTCACATTACTGAGCAGCTCTTAATCTCGTGGTGGGGGAAATGAAAGGTTGGGGAAGAGATGAAAGAATTGAGAGGCAGGGAATGAGGTTTTTTGTTTCTTTTAAAATTCTTTTGGATGGAGCATTAGAGCAGGAAAGCTTGACTCTAGCACTCAGTAACTTAATTATCTGTGTAATTATCTGCATTACTGATATACAGTAATTACAATTTTGACTTGATGCATGTATTCGTTGGAAAAATAATTTAATTTGTGTTGTCCTTAAAGCATAATTTTATTAGAGTTGCTTTTAACATGTCAGTGCGGAAAGAATAGTTCTATCTGCATTTATAATTATGCTTCTACTCAAACTTATTTGAATTATGACCCTGATTCAGGCACTTGCAGCCCATCTTTTCATGGAGGAAAAGAATCTTCTGCTGCAAATTAAAAAAACAAACATGGAGCATTAAAGTTCGAAGGAACTTTATTCAAACTGACTGCTCATTCAACAAATGAAGGAGTTAAAAAGTTCAAGGAAGCTCAGTATGTTGACCTAAGTCACTAAGCCAGGTGCGCTACCCAGGACCCAAGAATGTTGGTCTGTTGCTGCAGATGGCAGGTAGAAAATATTCTGAAGGATAAGACCAAAGCTGGGTTCTGCTCCTCATTTTTCCACGTTTCTATACTGTGAATTGGGAAATTTATTCATCTCCAAACTAGAATGCTGCAACCCTAAAATAAGTGAATATGATATTTGCCAATAAAAATGGAAGTTGCCTTGTAGACCTACAAGGGACAAGTTTGTACATTATTTAAGTATCAGTGTTAGGATAAGCTGTCAGTCTAAAATCAGGTGCTCTGTAGAAAGAGCCTGTTCTACAAAAGCAAAAATAATGGAGGCTTGACTTTTAAGTAGTTTGGTTGTAGGGGTAGTTATGACCGCTTGTAGTAGAGAATATATCAGGATAAGTTCTGTATAGCTGAAAAGAAGTCACAGACTTCAAGGGAGGATCATTGAGGTACCAGTGGCTGACTTGGAATGGTTGTGGCCTGTTTTGTTACACCTTTTGCTTTTCACGTTAAAGTGCGTGATTGGCCTTAACTTTTCTGAAAAAGTACTTTATCCTCTTTGAAGTCCTCCCATTGCTGACTGATTCACAGAGATACCTATTTATAAGCTCTTTGTTGATCATAACCGTGTTCCAGGGGAGGCACGAATGAGTGGCTTCAGGAAGATTTGGTTTTGTTTTATTGAAGTTAGAGGTGATGGAGGGCAGCCTAGGTTTGGGAGCTCTCAGATAGGCAGCTCCCTTCTGGTTCACACTGTGCTCATTCTGCTGCCAGGTGAGCCCTGCAGGATCGCCGTGCTCTTCTCTGTGCTCCGCAGGTGGCCACGTTTTCTCTGGCCTGTGGACCTTCGCAGGGGGCGTTGTCGTTGCCCAGGATGATCTTCAGCCTGGTGTACTAGCCCTCAATATCAGTATTCGGAAAAGTTGGCCCAGCTGCCATTTCCTCCTTGGACGTCTCCCCTCACTCCCAGCCTCAGTGAGAAGTCTTTCTGTGAACTCCTAGAATGCCTCTTGTAAATCCCCACAAGTGCTCTGACGCTGCATTGGAATTGGCTGACTTCTCGTGTCTTCCTGGACGGCAGGCTCCTTGAAGGCAGATACTATCTTTCATTTCTGTACTCCCATTGCCAAGCACACTTTGTTGAATGAGTAACCAAATAGTGTGACCTGCTTTGGGACAGTCACTTGTTCTAATGGGTCAATAACTAATGGATTGGTATTCTGCAAACCCACAGGCACATGCATAGATAGTTTATGTATCAGGTGTGCTTGGTAAATTTTGTTCAGGTTAGTTCTGGAATCTTGGATTATACTATGAATATTGCTTTCTATCCTTTTTTCCGTCTCTTATGTTACGACATTTCCCTGTATCATAAAATGACCATTGAAAACTTGGTTTTTAGCCACTGCATAGTATTTCATTATGTTAATGTATTCAGTGTGTTAACATTAAAATTTAACCCTTCTATTGTCGTTTCTAAATTTTTCTATTATAAATAGCATCATGATAAGCAGCTTTGCATAAAAACTTGTGTGTATCTCTGGTCTTTTTTCCTTCTCATTTCAGGCATAGCATTTGTTTTTGAGAGTTTTAAGATGTAATGGTTGATTATATATTTTTTAAATTATGAAAAGCAGAACTGAGTGAAAGTGTGGGCTTTCAAATGTAGATTTTTTGAATGTTTAGTTTCCCTGTTTAATATCTGTAGGCTCTTGGGCAAAAGATGCCTTTTTGTGGCTCATCTTTCACTTTATAAAATAGGGATTTAGGCTGGTCGCAGTGGCTCATGTCTGTAATCCCAGCACTTTAGAAGGCTGAGACAGGTGGATCACCTGAGGTCAGGAGTTCGAGACCAGCCTGACCAATATGGTGAAACCCCGTCTCTACTAAAAATAGAAAAATCAGCCGGGTGTGGTGGCCTGTGCCTGTAGTCCCAGCTACTGGGGAGGCTGAGACAGGAGACAGCTTGATCCCGGGTTGTGGAGGTTGCAGTGAGTCAAGATCTCGCCACTGCACTCCAGCCTGGGTGACAGAACGAAACTCTGTCTCAAAGAAAATAAAATAAAACAGGGATTTATATCAGTCAGTTGAGACCAGGTTATTGTACAGTAACAACTCTGAAATCTCAGTGAGTTGACAGCAATAAAGCATGTTTACTACTCAGTTTTTGTCCATCATGGGTTAACTTGGGGGCTGTGTTCCTTGTGGAAATTCAGGAAGCCACACTGATGGAGGTTCCATCTTGATGTATACTTCAAAGATTATGTAGGACGAGGTAAGAGAGAGAACATAGCTCTTCAAGCTTCCGCCTGGAAGTGACATGCTTTTGTTGCACTGGCTAAAGCAACTTTCATGGCTCTCTGCCTGATTTCACAGGTTGGGAATGTATAATCCCTGCTGGTAGTAATAAAGTCTGCCTCCAGCTAGTGACTCAGGATGGGAAACACCTGGAACGCATCATATGCCTACTACGTGGTAGCAGTTGATTAATGTTAGCTAATATTAATGCTGGTTTCTCTGGGAAGTATTAATGACCTGTTATAAAAGTTATACATAGGTGTAGGATATGATGAAACCTAACATTTGTACTTACTTATTGGCAGTTTAATTATATTAAAAACTTAGCTAAAATGCATTGATAGATTAAAAATTAAAACTGCATCATCATAATTTGAATATAGATTTTCTCTATAAACTTTACAATTTAAATGTATCTTTGTTTTTGTTTTTAAATCACAGCAGTGAAGGTTTAACAATGAACAGTTTCTAAATTAGTTGAATATACTAACTTTGAAAGCCAGTGCCTTTCGTCACAGGAGAATGTACTTACCAATTACAACATTTTGATAAGGCATTCTTATGTGAAAATGCATCTGATCTAAATCAGTTTTGCATTCTCTGGTCTGCTAACATTAGTTTCATTTCTTGCATTTTGAACAAAGAGTTGTGTATTTTTTTCGAATTAGAGTTGGACCTCTAAATTGAGGTTTCATATGAATAGTTATATTTAAAAAAAATCTCTTCAAGTCATTCTGTAGTACTTGATTGAAATCATGAACATGACATACCACTTCATCAGCAGTTTTTCCCAGCATTAAATTATTTTATTATTTTACTCTAGTGTCACAAATCTAAGAATGTCATTTCTAAAAATTTCTAAAATAGCATTGATAATTAAGTCTTACAAGTTAGGTAGACTGAATGTTAAATTTGGTTCTCTTAAAATGCAGAAGAATGAGAATTCTGATAAGCAGATCTTACCCAGCATTTTTTATTTTAAGAAGATTTTCTTTAAAGTACACAAAACATACATGTAGAGTTTGATGAATTTTCATAAAGTGAACACATCCATTTCTACAGTACCCAAGTCAAGTAACAGGACATTATCAATACCCTCAAAGACCCCCTTGCTCCCAGTTACTCTCCCACCCCCAAGCAGTAACAGATAACCCCCATCCTGACCAAACACCACAGATTAGTTTTGGTACTTTGTACAGTTGGATCTATAGTATAGACTTTTTGTTGCTGACTACTTTCATGTATCATTATATTTGTGAGCGAAATAACCTCTGTTGGATATCATAATTGTTCATTGCTATATAATATTCCATTGTGTGAATATTCATTCTGTTAGCCAATATGCTTTAACATTTTGATAACACTAAGACCTGTTAAGTTTTTGCAAATTATTAAAGGTATTTTAACTTAGTTTAGGATGTAAAGTCAAAAAATATGGAAGTCAATAAAAGCTACCAGTGGTCACATTTATAACTTGCAGCAATTTGAATTGTAGTTATTTGTTGCATAAGTAAAAATGTGTCCTCACTTAGAAAATTGGTTAGTCTGCTAAAACAGTAATGATTTTACAGAATTGAATATTTGGAGGATGAACTCTATGGTAAACTCTGGATTTTATTCTGAAAGGTGAGTGACAGTCCCCGATGCCACCCCTTTTGTGAAATCTGTGGTGTTCTCTAGTGTGCCCTTTCCCTACCTTGCATTGGACTTGGTCCTGACAAGTCTCTGTTCCCAGCAGATTGTGAGGTCCTGGACAGCAGGACCCACTCTTATAGGCAGGTACCCAGAGAAGAAAGGCCACATAACTGATGGAATGAATGAGCAACACCCAGCTAGGACTCTTAGAATCTGTTGCTTTTTAGGTAATTTCATGAAGTGCAAAGCAGTTTAATAACTTTTGACCAGAGACAGATGGAAGTTTTTAGTGTTACAGTAAAATTGGTTGAAATATTTTCTTCTCATTTGTGAAAGTTCATCTTTACCTAACACTCGAGTAGAATCCTCAGGTGGGAAAATGCAGTGTGGCTGACTGGCAGCAGCAATGAACCACACAGTGATACCGGGTGGAGTCCAGGCCACAAAGACTGTAACTGCTGTGGAAGGGTTGCCTGCCTGGGCACCTCAAAAGGAGAAGGGCAGCAGGTTCAGATCAGGTTGTCTGCAGCCAGCTGCTGGAAGGGTATTTGCCCAAAGGGTGTTGCTAGTACCCATGAGGAACTCCTTCCATTCCTTGCCCACCTTCTGAGCCTGTGAGATTAGACAGAGGCAGTGTAAATTCCTCTAGTGAAGTTGCTGTGCCACTAGCAACTTCAAAATCTGGCAATCTAAACTATAATTTTGAGAACTTTGTACTTGAGCTATAATACAAAATCATTTTTAGTAAGTTTTGCTCTAGTTAACTACCTTTGTTTTTGTTTTTAAAGAAAAGATTTTATTTTTATTTTTGAGACAGAGTGTCGCTCTGTCACCCAGGCTGTACTCACACTGCACACCCAGGAGTGCAGTGGTGTGATCTCGGCTCACTGCAACCTCTGTCACCCAGGGTCAAGTGATTCTTCTGCCTCAGCCTCCCAAGTAGCTGGAATTACAGGCACATGCCACCACCCCCAGCCAATTTTTGTATTTTTAGTAGAGACCGGGTTTCGCCATGTTGGCCAGGCTGGTCTTGAACTGCTGACCTCAAGTGATCCACCTGCCTCGGCCTCCCAAAGTGCTGGGATTACAGGTGTGAGCCACCGCACTTGGCCAAGATTTTTATTTTTGATTAATGAGAAGTTACTGTTGTTTTTGAAAAATGGAATAAAGTTTTTAGCACCAATTTACTGAAATTTCTTGCATTTTGTCTTTTGTTACACTGATACCTTTCTAGTGTACATTCCCTGTTCATCATTTTCTAAAGTCGAGTCGTGTTAAACTGGGTTAAAGGAGGGAAACATGAAAAGGTTTAGGAATATTATTTCTAATTAAAGGTTGAGAGTTTCTCAACCTCAGCACCATTGGCAGTTTGGGCCAGATAATCTTTGTTGTGGGGCCCGTGCTGTGCCTTTTAGGATGTTTAGCAGCATCTATGGCCTTTACCCACTCGACACCAGTACCATCTCCTGTGCCCTCGTATGATTACCAAAAGATGTCTTCAGATGTTACTGGATGTCCCCTGGAGGGCTACTGATTTAGGCTATTAAGCTCTAATTAGTATGGAATCTGGTTAATAGTACAGGCTCTGAAGTCAAATTCCTTGGATTGAAATTCTAACTCTTCTTTGGCCAAGTGACAACCACTCTGACCCGCAGTTTTCTCATCGCTCACGTTGGGGACTATAATGTTACTCAACTCATAGATTAGAATGAATGAGTTAATACATGTAAATCTTTAAGAATGGCACCTGGTGTGTTGTAAATGCTCAACAAATGTTAACCAATATTACTGTTTTTATTTGTAAGAACATTGGGTATTATAGTACATCTTTTCTTCTTATTTTTCACCATGTCACAGAATGGAGACCTAAGGGGTAATAATAAGTGAGAAAATTTCTTAACAAATTATTCTTCATTTTAAAAAGCTGCATTGCTGTATCCTCTGGCAGGCAGTGTGGCAAAGTGAATGCATATCTGACTCTTCCGACAAGTTCCTTTGCCTTCAGTAACTCTGTGCTGCTTAGCAGAAACCATTGCTTTAAATCAGGCTTTGTGGAAATAGAGGGAGATGACTTACAAATTGACTTTCAATATGGGGTTAATCCATCTTTGTTCTGGATTAAGAAAGGCTGGTCTCAGTCCTCTGAGCCTCTGTCTTCCCAGAGTTGGAGGCACATTTCAAGACCGTCTGTCCCCAGCCCAAGACAGAGGGTAGTGAGATGCCCCCAGATGGGAGTATGGGCTGGAAGAAATGCTGATTTTCTCTATTACCTCGATCAGTTGAAGCTACCTCCTCCTTGAATTTAACCCATTATCTGATTTGACAAGAATTTATTTTGCTAAAACCCTGATTGTGGCCATGATTGCTAATTTCAAAGAATAAAAAAAATGCAGGGAAGTTGGGGAGGGAAGGGCCTACAGAAGGAATAGCAGAGATTGGACAGAAGGGAAATATTGTTTCCTAAAACCTGACAATGGGAAAGGAAAAAGAGAAGAAGCTGCAAGCAAATACTTAGTCATACATACCAAAATAGACTTGAAATAATTTAAATCAGCCAAATACCTCCACTAGTGATACATGCAACTGAATTACATTGACCAGTTTATAGGTTTAAAAAATCCATATGAGTTAATCTCAAATATGTTAATGACCAATATTTTAAAATTTTATCAAGTTTCTGACTTTTAAAACACGCTTCTGATAAAGAATTGGAATTTTTAATGTAGAAAAAATGTTTTAAGTTAATGTGAGATTTTTAAAGGGAAGTCAGCCTCCTTTTTTGCCAAAATAAAGGAGTATATAATTTGCCCCAGTTATGATGCCATTTTCCTAGAATGTTAGGAAGATTCTGATTCCTCCTGTTCACTTTTCCCAATGTGAAAACTGAGACCTAGAGTTACAGGACCTTTCTAGGATTGCTTAGCTAGCTTGAGCCTTGAGCTCTTGTTAATTTTTTCATTGTTGGGGGGTCTTAATTTGGCTTAAGAAGTTGATACAAGTCTTTTACAACGTTGTTCTTTTTTTAAATCTAGTAATTGTTTCTGAACTTTATGGACTTGTACGTCGTAGGAAGCACTGATAAAAATGCAGCTGAGTGTCAGATGCTTTTATTACCTGGAAGCTGGGGCCCTGACTATGAATACACAGTTTACTTCCCACTCGGGCAGCAAGTTTCCTGGCATGTGTCTGCCTCTCTCCCTGCAGGCTCAGGTGCCCCTGTTCCTGTCGTCAGCATCCGGCCCTGCACTGCTGTTGCCCTCTGAATCTCCTCTGTCTTTCCTGTCTTTGGCTGTGGTCTCTTCACTACCTACCCTGTCCAATCTAAGTGAGAAAGCTGCATCACGCTTAAGGTTTTCTTTCCTTAATACCAGGCCCCACTGCCCCAGTGAGTGCCCAGATCCTGCAGAATCTGCTTCTTCACCAGTCGCCATCCCTAGCATGGACATTTGCAGTGGACATTTGTGAATGGACTGATGGATGAGCCACTGATAGTGTTCCCTTCACTGCAGGCCTTAGTATATTCATGCCTGTTAGATGTGACACTTAAGTGCTAAATATACTTTGAAGGTAATGTGGAACCCTCTCTCCATCACATGAAGCATGTCTGCTCAGGGGCATCCCTTCACCCCGCTGAAAAGCTTGAATAATTCTCCATGGTAACTGGATAAGGCAGCCCTGGATAAGGCAGCCCCACGTCCAGAGACTGGCACATGAAGTCTTTCACAGAATGCCCCCCGCCCCGCCCATACCCTTCTAGCCTCCTTTCCACCAGTGCCCATTCCTCTGCCTCAAAATTCAGTCAATGGAGAATTGTAAAAGATTAGTACATTTAGGATCTTGTCTTTTATGTAAGTGAAAATAAGGACCGAGTGTTGATGCTTTGGATTCAAGAGCCAGCTGTGCAAAATTAAAGTATCCTATTATTCACTGTGTGTAATGATGACCCTAATGAATGTGGGATAATTCACTTCCCATTGATGAGAATTCAGTCTAAAACTGTAAACTAGATGCTCATTAATTTAATGCTTTTCCTTGACACATGTTTTGTTTCTACAGCTGTTAGTGAAATGTTTTTAGGCATCTGTGCAGGTGGAAGGATGCATGCAAGCTAAATAAGTCTAGAGGACGAAGAGAATCTCTTTGGTATTCCTTATAACCATCCTTCTAAAAGGGGATCCCCAACCCCCTTCAAAAGCATGCTTCTGGAAGTCTCTTGTGGCTCAGTCTCTACCCTGTTTACTTGTCATATTGTGTCTTTATGTCTGCTTCTCACCATTTTGCCATTCTCATTTTCTAGTAGGGACGTGGGCATGGAGAGACAAAACACCGGAACTGCCAGGAGAGAGCAGAGCTTCCCCTTCCTGTGAGCAGCCCTGGGTGGTCCTACCCCCTCCCCTCACAGCTGGTTTGAGGCTGAAGCAGCTTTCCACTGCATCTGTCCACCGAGGCAGTTCTGAAGCTAGTTGGGCCTTTTAATGGCCGTAAAACAGAATTGCTGTGTGGAAGGCCTTTCAGCAATTTAGCTAAAGGCTTTAGAGGCAGTGGAGATCTTTTCACTTACGAATAGTGGCACTAATGAAACAGGTGGGGATACCTTTCCTCTAAATGCTGCCATTCTCTGTGTTCAAACACTGCAAACCCCTCATCCGGAGAAACTTTCCCACCTTGGCTGTGTTAGTCCATATTAAACCGTTTGTTAAGTTTGGGAGCGGTTCTACAGAGATCTTCTGGTTGTTTAAATGTGAATCAGATGTCAAAAAGCCTAATCTGCCCAGCTGGCAGTTTGGGCCCCAGTCTCAGAGGCTGCACATGTGCGCAAGCCGTGATTGGCAGGTGTGGTTTCAGGCAGCATGTGACAGTGCTCCGGACAGGAGAGCATGGCCTCTGCAAGTGTATTCCCAGCTGGCAGGATGTGGCTTTTATTTAACTGCAAAATGTCAGTTTATCATTACTGGGCGTGGGTAGAGAAGGAGGGACTCTGTACAATTAAGTGTTTACTCAGCAGGTGACTACAATAAGTACAGAAATGGTTAAAATGTTATGACTGTGATTTTTAAGTACAATTTCTAGGATTGTGGAGGTTACATTGTATAAATAGGATTAATACCAAATGAATTTAAAGGCTACAGAGAAGAGATTCCCTAGGAGTAACTCCCCACCCCTCCTTAAAATAACGATGTCTGTTTCTTTCCAAAGCATGTTTTCGTTTTGTTTTTGTTTTGAGGGGTTTTTCGGTGAAATTGTGAACCCTGAAACTAGTGTGTCTGGCATTTATTTCTGGAGAAGGCCCTTCTAAGTCTGTGTTTACTAAGCAATTTGAGCCACAGAAAACTTTTAGTCTCTGATAATTTGATATCTGGTGATGAGACAGTAATTACATCACTATTTCTAGGTTGGTAATCTTTGCTTTGGAAAATGTGTAATCCTCTGCTTCAGACATACTCAGTGTGGATCCATCACAGATGTGGCTGAAAGAAAAAAATCTGCAACCTCTTGCTTTTGTACATTCTTTTCTCTTGCCAAAGCTGTCTTGCCCTCTGCACTGTGATTGTATTATACTGCCCATTTGAAAAATGGCCGATAGGATCATTTTAAAATCATAATCTTTAAAAAATATTTTTACTTTAGGAACGTTTGTCTTAATTTTTGCCGATATGGTGTGTTAAGATTAGAATCTGTTAATTTCCTGACATTTATTAACTACGTGATATTTAAATTCCTTGCCTATTTTTGAATTGTATTGTTTGACTTCTGTTTTTTAATTTGTAGAATCTGTTATATGTGTTGCATATATTTTGTTTATCTTTTAACTTTGTTCATGGTGTCTCATCTCATACTTGAGTTGGGTATAATCAAATCTGGAATTTTCTCACTTAAGCTTTATAAGTTTCTTGTTTTGCATAAGAAGTGCTTATCTATCTCAAGGTTTATGTAACATATTTTTTCAGATACTTTAAGTATTTTATTCTAGGTGTTTAGATTTTTCTTGCATTAGAATTTTTTGTTTATTTAATTAATATTAATTGAGCATCTGCTGTGTGCCAGGCCCTGGGCTCTGCATGGGATGAGTTAAGACAAACATGGTCCCTGCACAAATGGAGGTTGTAGGGTCAGAGGCAGGCAATAAATAAGAAATCAAACAAATAAATATATAATATTCATTGGTGCTCAGCACTGTCAAGGAAACAAACAGTGGAGAATACTGTGAGGGCCAGGGACACATATTTAAGTTTTGATGAGTTATGAAGGCATACATAGAGTTTAGTCTTGCAAACAGAGAGGGGCAGAAGTGTAACTGTCAGCATATTCTAAGACTCTGAGGCAGGCTTGAGGGCTGGTTAGTGGGGAGTTGGAGCTTGGGATGAGATGAGGGTACAGTCAAGTCTTGTTCATGGGCCTTGGCTTTAATCTGGTTGCAATAGGAAGCTGTTGGGTGTTTGGGGAGACATTTATGCATGAAGCGGGTGTTCTGGCTTTGATATGGAAGGAAAGGATGGAAGCACAGAGACCAGTTAGAGCCTGTTGCATTGGCTTAGACCAGAAATGAAGTGGCTTAGACTAGTGTAATGGTTAATTGTATGTGTTAACTTGGCTGGGCCATTGTGCCTAGATTTGTGGTCAGGTGTTATTCTCAATGTTTCTGTGAAGGTGTTTTTGGATGAGATTAACATTTAAATCTCTAGACTTTGAGTAAAGCACATCAGGTAAAAGCTTGCATAGAACGAAAAGATTAACCCAATCCAAGCAAGAGGGAATTATCAGCAGATGGCCTTCAGACTTGAACTGCAGTCTTGGTTCTTTCTGGGGTCTCCGGCCTGCCTGTGCACACACACACACATGCAGACACACACACCAGGAATGGTGACTGGTGAAGACACACACACACACACACACACACACACACACCAGGGATCATGACTGGTGAAGACACACACACACACACACACACACACACACACACACACACACACCCACCTCTTTGGTCCACTTCTCTAGAGAACCCTGACTAATACAACTAGGATGGTGGGAGTAGAAGTACAGAGAAGCGAATATATCTTTGAGGAAGAAGCAACGGGACTCTCTCAGAGGAATAATTAATTGATTGTAATGTATGGATGATGATGCCATTCAAGGCAAAAAAGAGGAGCCGGTTTAAGGAGAAACTCAAAGAGTTTGGTTTGGGTCTTGTGTAGTCTGAGATGCCAGTGAGATATGAGGGGAAGAGTTGAGGGCACAAATTGGATACATGAATCTGGAATTCAACCATGTAGAGAGGGGCAGAAGATTTAGGACTGAGCATTGGTGAATTCATCCTTTAGACAAAGGCTGAAAAGGAGTGACCAGGAAATAGGGAGGAGAACCCAGAGAGCGTGGCATCATGGAGCATGAGAGGAGTGTGCCTAAGGCAGACTGGAGTAGCTGACAACATCACATGCACTGAGTGAGTCCAGTGAGATGCGACTTAAAGGAAGGGACTTAGATTTGACCACTTGCAGGTTGGTGGCTATGGTGGCTAAGGCAAATCTGATGGAGCAGCGGGGACAGTGTCCAGCATGGAGTGGCTGAGCCATAAGCAGGAGATGAGCAAGTGCAGAGCCCACATGTGACAGCTCTTTGGAACAGATGTGCAGTGATGGGGAGTAGCAAAACTAGGGAGGGCTTGGGGGTCATGACTTTTTAATGATGGATGATAGGAGAGCATGCTTATATGCTGATGGAGATGACCCAGTATGGTGGGATATTGATGACAAGTAGAGAGAGGGTATAAATGGTTCTTGTTTTCTATCTATTCATTGGTCAATTTTGGTACTTTTATATTTTGTTAGAAAATCTTCCATCTACTCTGGATTTTTGACAAAGTGAATAATGTTCACTTTATTTTAATCATTAGTGTCTGTAATTATATCACCTTGTCTGTTCCTAATTTTGTATATTTTTTGTTCTTCTTTTCTTGCTTAAATAGCTTTTGTTTTACTCATATTTTCAAAGAGCCAGCTTATGACTTCACTTACTTTTTCTACTGTTATTTTCTTAAGTTTTATTAATTTTACCTTGTATCTTTCCCCCTTCCTCCTACAAGAATTCTGTAAACAAAAACAATTTTATTACTATCATGTGTGAGCCAAAAGTTTCTCTCTTGCTGCCCAAGGTCTTCCCCCATGAGAGTCATCATGTGATGCTTCTGGGTTGTCCTTAGTGATTGTCCTGAGTGTCTCCACATGCCCATATTTGGAAACTGAATGTAGCGGTTCTGCCTGGGCTCTAATCTCCATTTACTTCTGTTCTGTTTTTGTTTATACAAGAGACGGTCTGGCCTGGTCATTTCTCGTCTTGGTATGTTACTGCTGAGTCACAGTTCAGTTAACCAAGAACCATGAGAATGAAAGTTCTCAACTAATCACAGACGGTAGATTCCCCAATGCAATGAAAAACTCTTCTTTATATCAGGAATATTAAAATGGAAGATTACATTTAAAATAATAATTAAATCTACCCAGTGCTTCATGGTTCTTCTTGTTGATTTCTCAGGGTGTGGTTAGCAATGAACTGAGGTTTATAACTAGCAAGTATTAGTGAAAACCCCCTGATAATTCAGTTTAATGGCTACTTTGACACATTCATCCTGATTTAAACACAGACCCTACAGGTTATATAAACGGATAAGATACAAGTTGTTTTGGTAAATTAAAATCTGTAAATATGTATGATAAACCAGCCAGCTATTTCTTAAGTATTTACATGTAGTTTTCACTCAGCTTACCAGGGCCCAGGGATTTAATTAAGCTGTACTGCAAGTTCTGTTTATGGTTGTGCCATATACACAGGTGGTGCTCAATAAATCTTTGTTGACTTGATGTTGATTGAGTGTATCTGGGGTTTACCTTCACTGTAGAAATTACCTTACATGGATGGCAACGCTAGGTGTATTCACCTGGTAGACAGTGGGTCTGTATGAAGCTTAGGTTTTGCTGGCAGTCAGCAGTTTAAGTGATTAACGAAGAGTTCTTACAATACAGGGAGCAACGATTTAAAGACAGAATTCAAGGCCTCAATATAACTGTTTACATTCTTTTTAATCTGTGTCATAATTCATTTTCAAATATTTGTAGTTGTTATTGTAACAGAAGGTATTTCTTCTTTCTTTTACTGCTACTACACCACCTTGCCCTAACAATAATGAGAGTTCAAATACAGAGTGCTTATTCTGTGTCATACAGGTAATATCTATGGCCACCAGATTCTGTGCTAATAAGCACTTTGCATATTTTTTTTTACTTTCCCTCACAACAGTTTCACAAGGTAGGGCTTTTATCATTTCCATTTTCAGATGAGGCATGTGAGGCACAGAGTGTTAAGTAACCTCCCCAGGGTCACACAGCCGGTGAGAAGTGGAGTGAAGACACGCCTGGGTCTGTCTAATGCCGGAGCTTCCTTTCATAACTACCACACTCTACTGCCTTCGTTACCCTATAGGGTACCATCTAGAACTGGAAATGACGACCAAGAAGGAAGGAAATCTCACTAAAGGGCTGGTAAAATAATCAATATAACCACCATTCAGCCAAAAATACACACGCAGTTGTTGAAATATTGGCTTTTTGATTTCTGAAATGCTGATGACTGTAAGTGAACAGCCTGTACTTCAGGCAAAGGTGATTCTTTTTTAAGTAACTGAATTCCTGAATCAGGTCTCTCCTTCTTAAAGTTCCTGTTAGACTGTTTTTAATATCACAGCAGGCCTTAGCAGAAGAACTGTTGGCATTTTCATTAGTTGTCTTACATTTGCATTTCAAACAAACATTCTGATTGTTTGCCTCATAGATTTTGCCTGGTCTAATGGCCATTAGTGATCATTATTAAATGGAACTGTCTAAAGATTTCACAAGTTTGTTTGGATTTCATAGGCCTTCTTTTTAAATAAGAAAGTCACACAGTCATCTCTAATATTAAAATACATTTAATCTAGGTATAAAACACCAATTAAAAAAACATTAAACTTGGTCTTTAAATGTGAACCCAAGGAAGAGCACTGGCCTGTGCATTTGGAGGCCTGGAACATGCGCCCTGCAATGTGGCTCCAGATAAATGTTCACTGTCTCTGAGCTTTAGGGAGAAACCTGTAAAATGGAACTGTAGATAAGTACCGTTTCCATGCAGTTCTTCAAATTCAGTATTCTGTCGAAAGGATGATCCTGGATTTGCTGGTGGTTTTTCCATGAGAGTGTTACTTAGGAGAAATGCAAAAGATATAGATAAAGATAAGCTAGAACCAGTGACAGATTTTTTCACTTAAGTAGGCCTGCAAGCCTCCTTCCACATGATGTGAAATACTCACTCATCCTGGAGACTTGGACAGTAATATACCCAGTAGTGACAATTATCCAGGAAGGAGCTGGGGATTTAAACAACTGTAGTAGTGGTACTCTATTTTTAAGTTCATGTGTCTGTGTACAGAGAATTTTGCATGCATTCATCCATCGTTTTTAAGGGCCTACCACATAGATGTTATTTTTGAGGAAATATTTTTCCCTATATATTATGGATGAATTGTATTGTCAAACTCCACCTGAAACCATTTCATTCTCATAGGCTCTCATTTGGTTAATTGCAAAATATGGTGAACTGCTAAATGTCTTTTGCTTTTAGGGGGTGGCTCAGTTGCACCATAGTTTACCAAGATATAGTTAGTAGTGCTTAACCAATAATTCAGCAAGCTAACTATGTACAATAATTCCATCCATAGTCAATTAGTTCATATTCTTTATCTACAAAAGCTGAATTCTGATGGCTCAAATCATTTTAAAGTTAAAATAGGCTTCTTAACCACAGACTTACAATAATATTAATAATAACTCACTGTGATTACAAAAATCTACTGAATGTTAACTATGTGTTAGATACTATTCTAGCACTTAACATGTGTTTAACTTATCTATTCTCACAACCCGATGAGGTAAATTCTATTGCCCTGTTTGACAGATGTAGAAACTGAGGCACAGAGATGCATGAGACAACCTGCCAGTGTCACACAACTGCTAAGTGATGTTGGTCAGGTCTCCAAAGCCCACATTCTTAACCAACTTAAAATTATCCATCTGGGGCCATAGAAGGTATTTGTTGTTGTTGTTGTTGTTAAAAAATACTTCATTGTTTTCACCAAATAACAGTGGGGTTGATTGTACCATGTTTGTAAAAATGGAAGGAAAAAGCAGATAGCATCACCCCTTTAGTAAAAAAATACTTGAGGGAATGTTGTCTTAAATATCAAAATAAGCCTGCCTTTAAGAGTTGCTTTTTTTCCTTTTGGCTTCATTTTCAGTTTTTCTCTAATGGCTTTACACCTCCTCTGTCCTACAGAAGTGAAAGCCCTCCTTGGCCCATTCTGACTCATAGTTACCTGTCAGTTCTGTTCTCAGTGGAGACAGCTTTCCTGGAACCCTCCCCTCCTTCGCTACACTTGAGCCTGCTCTCCAGGTCTGCTCACAGCCGGGGTCCTGCTGGCTCTGTGTCTTTCCCATTAGAGGCTTTCCCAAGTGTCTGATGATATTTGGATGTCTGTTCACAGGGAGGGCCAGCTGGAGTCTGGGAGTGGGGAAGGGTGGGACTCAAGAAGCCTGGGCCTAGGTGTAGGATGATTGAATTGGGGCAAGGCAGGGTCTTCTGGGGATGCGTCTCCTGATGTTCTGCAGTGGTGGGAAGTACACAGCATATCATCTGTGAAGTCTTTTTGACAACATCTTTAACCAGAATCTGATTATTGAGAAACAGCTAGACAAATCCAGATCATGGAGCATTTTGCCAGATACCTGTCCTGGTCTATTCAAAAATGTCTATAACGAAAGACCAAAATTAAATAAAAATAAAAGGCAGGGAAGTTGCCCTTTATTAAAAGAGATTAAAGAGGTAGAACAACCAAATGCAGTGTGTCATCATCCCTTGGATCCTGAATTTTTCAAAAAAAAATGCTGTTAAAGTACATTTTTAAAACAATTTGGAAAGTTGAAATATGGAGTAATTATTGCACAGAAATTAATTTATTGCATGTGATAATAGTATTGTGATTATGTAGAAAATTGCCGAAAGATCTAGGGGTGACCAGCCTGGCCAACATGCTGAAATCCTGTCTCTACTAAAAATACAAAAATTAGCCAGGCATCACAGTGGCACATGCCAGTAATCCCAGCTACTCGGGAGGCTGAGGCATGAGAATTGTTTGAACCCAGGAAATGGAGGTTGCAGTGAGCCAAAATCGCACCACCTCACTCCAGCCTGGGTGACAAAGCGAGACTCTGTCAAAAATCTAGGGGTGAAGTATCGTAATGTCTGCAACTTAATGTGAATTAGTTCAGCCAAAAAAGGTATGTTTTTTGCAAATATACATATCTTTTTCTCTCTCCACACACATACTAGTGTGTGTGTGTGTATGTGTGATGTATGTATATAGATGTCTTCTGTATCTGTAGACTTTTTTTCTGGGAACTATTTGATTTATTAGGAAAACATTAATTTCTCAGAGTTGGACAGTGAAGGACAAAGCAGTGATTAAAAATGCAGTGAAACAATGAAAACATGATGTTTATGAGGCCATTTATTAGCCTGATAATTCATTAACCAAAGATTTATTGAGTACCTGCTAAGTCTGCCCTTACTGTGCCAGGTGCTCCTGAGCAAGATAGATCTCAGTCCTCATCTTGGTCAACTCTGCAGCCCAATACAAGTACAAGTAATTAGGGCTGTTGTTTTGGAAAGGGATTATGGCTATATATACAGGAGGTCTCACCCTACTCTAAATTAGAGTGGAGAAAATCGGTGACTTTTCAGCTGAGTCTCTCACCCATAAAAAGATTAGGATTTAACTGTTAAAGGGTGAGTGGATAGAAGGGGGATAGAGAAAATGACAAATGAAGGAGAAACAGCCAGTACAAAGGCCCTGCTTTAGCAAGAAAAAATAATGGCAGTTCCCTGCCTCTGGGAGGGGTCAGGAAGGGAGATCTGAGCAGTAAGCAGGGCTGAGCTCCTGGGAGGACCTGCCAGCCCAAATATCAGGCAGGCGTTAGAGGGCTTGTTCAACAGGGGCCGATTGATGGGAACGAATATCCATTTTTGAACAGTCACATTGGTGATTGCTTTGATGTTATAGAGATGATTAAAGATCTCAAAGTTGGTGAATACTTGGAGATCAGTTAGAAGCTATTGTCCAGGCAAGGTGATGTGATTTAGACTGAGTTGTTTTAGACCGAATTGGTGGCAGCAAAACTAAAGAGTAGGTGACAGCTTAGAGCGATATTCATATAGTAGGTTAATGTGGATGCTTGGATCAGTCCTTAGGTTGTCTTGATGTGGCAGCTAAGAGAGCCGGAAAAGGCTGGGGCCACTCTGAGCTTCTGACTTGAAGAAATGGAAGGATAATGTGAATTTGGAGGAGGACCATGGTCTTTTTCTTGGAGGGAGTAGAACAGGGGAGAAGATGACTGCGGTTTGCGGTATGATGAATTTGAGGCATCTGTAAGACCTGAAGTGCTGGCATTCAGAAGGCTTAAAATGTATGGGTGTGGAGCTCGGAAGTGGGGTTTGGGTAAGATTAGGGAGTTTTTCATAAAGATGGTGTTTGGAGAAAGAGGAAATGACTCCCCTGGAAAGGACTTTTAAACTGTTAAGAAGAGGGCCTGGAAAAGAGGTGGGAGTCTATGAGTTAGGGTCTGGAGGGTGGGAAGAGAATCTGAAAGTGCTTTATTAATCCCAGCACTTTGAGACGCCAAGGTGGGTGGATCATGAGGTTAGATCGAGACCATCGTGGCTAACATGGTGAAACCCTGTCTCTACTAAAAATACAAAAAAGTAGCCAGGCGTGGTGGCACGAGCCTGTAGTCCCAGCTACTTGGGAGGCTGAGGCAGGAGAATCGATTGACATGGGAGGCGGAGGGTGCAGTGAGCCGAGACCATGCCACTGCACCGCAGCCTGGGCGACAGAGCGAGACTCCCTGTCAAAAAAAAAAAAAAAAAAGAAAGAAAGTGCTTTAAAACCAGGTAGTGGGTAGCAGACTCAGGCTGCGAGAGGTCAGGAAGAGAGGACTGAGAAGCCTGCTAGCTTTGCCAGTGCAAGGGTCATGGGGACCCTGTGGGGTGCTCTTTGACTAGAACATGGAGCGCTGGAGAAGTTACGGGTACATGCTACCGTGAGTGGACTGTGAGGTGGGAGGCAGTGAAGACATGGAGACGGCAAGCCAGGAATGCATGCAATTTGGGAACAGAAGATCAAAGAGTGATACTGGTAGTATAGTGGAGTCAAGGAAGGATTTACTCATATATATTTTTTAATGTGAACGAGTCTTGCTTAAGTGAGCCTATGGGGTCATGAGCCTGTAGGGGAGGGGGAAGATTGAAAATTCAGCAGGGAAGAGTTGATTGAGCTGGATCCTAGAGAAGGCAGGAGTGACCTGAGCTTAGCTAGGACTGGACTGAAGAAGCATGAAATCCTCTTTTTTGTAATAAGGTTGTCGGGGCGTGGGGTTAAGGGGAAGCTTGGAAGCTTAGATAAAGGCAGTAATTCTATAGAAAGTTAAAATGAATGTTTGAATAGCAAAACTATTTGGTAGTTTTGAAAGTAAATAAAATGTTTTGCTGTCAGATAGTGTTTATGTGGAGCTGAAGACTTGGATGCCCCTTTCAAGAGCACAGCACCATTGCAAGGGGCTGCTGCAAGGACCTCTGATCGCTTTGAGGGCCCTTGTGCTCAGGGTTGCCTCCGTCACACACACCTGACCCTGCACTGGGTGCTGGATGTTGGAGATAGGAAGTAATTGGGAGAAGGAGGGGAGCAATTAACTAAATACAGCTGAAATAAAAGGCTGCTCTAAGTATCATGGGTATCTAAGAGGGTAATTGGAGAGTTGGATTTTTTTTTCCTGTGGACTAATCAGTAACCATTATTTTGATGCATGAAAAGAACTACAGATAACCTACCAAATAGCAGTTAGCTTTCAAACCGGCGCTCCCAGGAGGAAGTGTGGCAACTATTCAGAAGTTCACTGTCTTTTGCAAAGGCTGAGTACTGAAGTGACACACTTCATTTACTAGAGTATTTGCAGTAGGAAGGTGACCTAATTAGAACAAATGGTAACTTCAGGAGCTTTCTCATCTTCTGATTACAGGGTGGTGCTTCAGATTACTTCCCTGTACTTGATCAAAAGAGATGTGTTGTGACTTGTTAGTAGAATTAATCAGAAAAACACAAAAGTTGTATTAGAATGTGGGTCTGCATTTCTCTCTTCCATTTCCCTTTCAAGAAAAATTTTAAGTTATTCTTAATTGACAAAAGTATCTCTTCTACCTGTCCCAACTTTACAACATTCTCCTTCACCAAATGGATTATACTTTGTAAACGTTTTAAGAGGTTCTTTCCAGTTTAACCTTAGTGTTTTGGTCATACGAAGCGCTCCAGTAAGTTGTCATTTCAGAGTTCAGTAAATGACTCTTAAAAATGTGTTATTTCTATTTCCTATATTCCATTAAAAGCCACTTTGTTTTTCTAATGGTTCTACATTCCTAGAATACACAATCAGAGTGGTTTCCCTTCAGATGTTTTAAAATAACATAAAAATCCTGGACTTTATCACCAGCCCGTGCAGTATTCTATGGCTTTTTTCTTTCCTCCTTGATCGTTTTTTTTGTTTGTTTGTTTCCTGCTGTTGAGTATTTTATCAATCTAATACCAATTTTCCTCTTGGTTTATGGCTCTTATACACTGACTGTTAACCTTTGATATGGAACTCTGTCAAGTATTTTCTGAATTCCAAGATCACTGCCACTCCTTTGATTAAACTTGTCTGTATTATCCTCAGAGGGATTTGCTGCATGTTATGTGAGAATGACTTGCCATTCCTGAAAGCATGTTGGCTATGCCTAATCAAAATGTGCTCAACAAGTTATCAAATAAAGGTTCTTAGTTTTCAGTGATTACATGGGTATTCAATTGTAATTCTGCAGAGAAATCCTGGAGAGGTGGTTTAAATTAATAACAAAAATTACCACCCCAGAGCAGAGTGAACATACGACTTTAAGATTCATGAATGGTATCTTTTCTCCTCACCCTTAGACACATGCTAAGATTACTAGATTACTAGTATTAATAAATACTGTACTTTGTACATTGACCACAAAGCTGGGAGAGAAAAAAAATAACTGAATAATCTCTATATAAACCTTAATGTTCCTGTCATTGTCATCATATCAAAATCAGAACAGCTTCTGCTATTGACTGCTGTGTTCTAGTCACTATGCTAATAATTTTATATATATTATTTAATTGCTCCAACAGATATTTTTTGATCACCTACTATGTACCAGATACTATGGTAGCTACTGAGGATATTATACTCACTACCCACAAGGGATTTATAATTTAATAGGAGACTCCAGCAAGAAAATTTGAAGTCCCACTAGAACATGATATTATTGGGGTATATTAGGAACAGGAGCCAACTTTCTAGCATGTTCATTTTCCTTTAGCAAATTGTATTTACATAGAAATGAGACTTACATAGTGTGGATAAAGCACAATTCAGCTTTAACATCCCCTAGACCTACTCAGGGGAAGCAGATAGGGAGATTGCTAGGAAAAGAGGGCTGGTAAGGGTTACAGAGCCCCTCACTCCAGGTAGGATTCAGCACCAGCTAAAGGCCAAAAGGGATAGAAACTGTAAAGACAGCCGAGGCTTTTCTTGTCTGGCCAGAAGGTAAAGAGTGCCTGCATCCACAGGGTTCACCAGCAGAGAGCAGGAACTCTGAGCAGGATGGTACCTCATTATCTTTGGCTGTCCTAGGGACATGGCCATCATGCCTTCTCTCAGGACAGACTGTGGACCTTTATCCAAATGACAGGCACGTTGGAGGTTGTCAGGTATTCAGGCTGGGACTCAGAAGGCAAACATAAAACTCTAATCTTTTCCAGACATATAAGTTGTAAAAGCCAGACATCTCTTGCATGTCAGACACTGCATTGGTGCCTACATTCAAAGTGCTGTGTTATCAAGGTGCATCAGCCAGCTTTATAGCCAGAGCTTTAACAGCTTAGGAGTTGTCTGGTGAGCAAAGAAAGAGTCATTCTTGAGTGCTTGCCATGATGAGGGCAGGCGCTAATGGGGAAGGAATTGTCTCAAGAGCTCCTACTAAAGTCATTGACCATAGCATGCAGGTGCTATGGAAGTGCCCAGGGTGGCAGTCTAACTAGTTTCAGGGAGACAGAGAGGACTTTCCAGAAGAGATGTCATCTAAGACCTGAAAAATAAATTTGGATGGAGGAGTGTGAGGAGGAGATGGGAAATGACTGTTCAGACAGGCACAGCAGAATCTGCTCTAAGAACTAAAAGTATTTCTATTTCACTGGAAGGTGTAGGAGAATGGGGGTCCTGCAATACGATTGCATTTGCCTTTTTTCCTTGTGTTGACATTTGCACTAATGATGCAAAAGCAGTGGTGGGTAAAACTGCTGGCACTTTAGCATGAATCAATGCAGTGGCTCCAAACCGTAGTCATTTTATTCTTCATTGCCACAAAGTATCTGCAGTGAAAAAAATGCGGTTTCATTTGTAGAAGCAATAACATTATTTTTATTAAATCTCCACCCTTGAGTACTCACGAGTTTTTATTATGCATGATGAAATGGGAAGTACATAGATAGAACTTTTGTCACATACCAAAGCATGATGGTTATCTCTAAGAAAAGCACTTGTGCAGTTGTTTTACTTGCAAGCTGAACTCACCACTTTCATAGAAAACCATTTTTACCTAAAAGAATGACATACAAATATGGTTATTCAGACTTGGGTATTTGGCAACCATTTTCTATAGGGAAATTACAGGAAAATTTTGTTACCAGCGTTAAAATTTAAGCTTTCAAGCAAAAATTAGGATTTTGGAAAACTTGTATCTGCTACCAAGACTTGACAGTTCCGAATACTTAATATTTTTCTGATGAAGTTGGTGGTGATATTAATAAATGTGATATTTTGATAAGTATAATGAAATATGTCAACATTTGTAAGACCTGCATAACTCAGTGAATTAATATTTCCCAAATGATCAATGCATGATGTTACAGAGTAGTACATAGTTAAAAGATTAATTCAAAGTATAAATTACACCAATGGATTTTAACATCACAGAGTAAGAAAAGCTCATTGATGTAGTTTCAGACTCCACATTGCAACTGACCTTTAAGAAGTGACCCCCACTTGCTGAGTTTGGTGTAGTACCACAGCAGCGTCTGCCATTTTCTGAAAAGGCTATTAAAAATTACCCCTTTTTCCAATTATATATGTACGTAAAGGAAGATTTTCTTCATATACTTTCAACCCAATCGATGTGTTGCAACAGACTCAGTGCAGAAGCAGATATGAGAATTGAGTCAGACATTAGAGAGATTTGTAAAAATGTAAAACAACATCACTCTTCCAGTAAATTGTTTTCATTTTGGAAAATAGGTTTTTTTAATAAAATATTTCGTTTCGTGGTAGTATGTATTGTGGTTACTATTGTTTTTTGTAAGCGAATAAATGAATAAAAATTTTTAATTTTAATTTATAATATGGTAAATGCCCACAGATATATGAACAAAAGCTTTTGGGGATTTTCCAGTCATTTTTAGAGAGCGTAAAGAAGTCTTGAGACTAACGCATTTGAGAACCAATGATTTGAATATTTGAAACTGAAAAGCATTTAATAAGGGAATTAGTTGCTTGCCAAGCCATTTGAAGGGCTGGAGGACCAATACCTGGGAAGGCCCTCACTAACTCTTAGGTTTGCCACTGGTTTTCAAAGAACTGGGAAATTGCTAGCGCAGCAGGGTCAGGAACTACCGGAAATCCTGGGTAATTTGTACCAGGTGAAAGGAGATAAAGAGTTGAAGTTAAACCCAGGATTCATGATTGGATCTTGGACTGGAGGAAATGCAAATGATACAAGGCATTACTGGGGAAATCAGGGAAATTTGAATGTGGGTGTATATTAGACATTGTTATATTAATGTCAAATTTCTTTAGTGTGATAATGGTACTGTGGTTATGTAGGGTAAATTTTGCCTGGTTCTTAGAAGCATGCCAAAGTATTTAGGAGTGAAATGTCACATTTCAAATTGGAAAAATGAAAAAAAAAATGTATGTTGATGAGAGGGGTGCGGAGGAGGAAGAAGAGGGAAAGAGATCAATCAGTGGATACCGTCTGCAATTGGAACTTGTGCTGTTAAGAATTAATAGTAATTAACAAAAGCAACTGCCACAAGAGTTGAAAGTGGTTTTCTTTGGGATGAGGATTGGGAAGTCAGTGTTGAAGAAGGGGCAGGTCAGTCAGTGGCTTCTGTGTTTTATTGTAAGCCTTTTAGAATGATTTTGGTTTTTTTTTTCAACTATGTACTTGTATTTCTTAAGTTAAAAATTTAAAAATCAGAGGGAAAATCCTAGAGACGAATAGGGAGGGCTTGATGAACTGCAGAAACAAAAATTGTGGAATTACCAAGTGAACAGGAGTTTGTGATCCCATTAGTTCATATTTAAGTTTTCCAGACATAAAGATGTGATGAGACCCAGAAAATGCCCTTGGGAATAGGTGAATAGATTGAAAGTCTCTGCAATTAAGGAGGTCAGAGAACGAAAAGGCTAAGGTTCCATTTGGCCACCACATGTGTTGAAGTTTCCCACAATAATGGCATGATTTGAAGTGCTAGGCAGGCAGTGCTTGTGGTCAGCCTTCAGTCTGGGTCCCTGTGGTCGGTAAGTTGAGGGGGATGGGACTCAGCTATTTCTGTCTGACCTATGGCTGAACATCCTCAGAGTTTTCCCTTGACATAAATGAAAAGAGAATCCTCTTTTCTCTAAATAACTAAAAATAACTTTTGAATAACTTTTGCTGTTCCTTTTGGTGGTAGGTATTGCTCCCACCCTTGGTCTTAAGTAACTACCAAGAGCATTTGGGTGCAGCTCACACATTCTGGGCATATTGTATATGCAAGATTTCTAAGCCATCCCAAAGCTGTTTTAGCCCACCGGTGGTACTTTGTCTTGCTACGCTGTCAACTGAGAAGTGCCCATAAGGACAGATAAAATCTCATCTGTGGTCATTTGCTCCATCACCGCTGTCGAGTGCTTTGATCCCTTGAGTCAATGCTGCCAGTGCTGAAGCAACTTTAGCCAGTTACTGTGAATGCCCCAATTGCACAGTTGCTGGCTGGCTCAGGCCACCCTGAAGGTCAGTATGGAGTCACAAGATGATTGTTTTCTTCTGGCTGGTGTACAGACCTCTGAGTTGAGATGTCACAGAATTGTTGTGGCCTGTCACCTTCTGTGAAGCCTTCCCTGGGTTACCCCCTCTACTCCCACTCCCCTCCCCCATCATGTACTAGCTGAGTCAATGCTCACAGGGTGCTCAGTGTGCACCTCTTTATGCAGTATCTCACATGTTGTATAGTTATGTATTTTTAGGTATCTTTTTCAACCTTGTTGGGATAGAGAATGTGAATGATGCCTGTATCTTCAGCTCTAGTCATAGTACTTGTCATCAAGTGCAAAATATATATTTTTGGGGTGGATAGATGGGTGAATATAAATAAGATGGACATTAGACTTACATCAAAGTTTTAGAGAAATTTCATTATAAAAGTATTAAACAAATGTGTGTTATTTTTGTATTGTTATTTACAGCTGATAAGGTTGCCAGATGGCTGAATTCCAAGTCGCGGGTGGTGTGGAGATGCTATTTAAAAGGCTCTTTTTTTTTTACTTTTTGGTATATCTAGGCAATCCATCTCTTCTTTTTTTAAGAGGAAAAATACATGTGACCAAAACTCAAGATCCATACAGACGCATGCATGTTGGCTCTCCCCCAGGAATAGAAGTGTGATTTTGAGGACCATTGAAGTAGAAGACCCAAAGTCAAATAGCTGACTGAGACCTTCATTTAGTCAGCACATTGTATCAAGAGCCTCTTATGTGCTGGGAATAGTCCTGGTGGTTGCTATTTGGGGCAGAAAAAATTAGAGAACCAGTTGGAGTAGATGTCACCAAAGAAGAGCAAGACAGTGAAAATAGCTGGGGGAAAAATAGGACAGAGACCCCGTTTTCTTAGGACATTAGTATGTCTCCAAAGCCAGCTTGGGGAACTGTGTCTGAAGTCTACAAAACAATCCATTCTCTTACTTCATTAGGTATTGAGCATAGCTGGTTTTTCACATTCTACCCTACGTTGCTTTGCTTTTCACAGATACTACTGCGCTGTGTTTTATTTTATTATTTTGGAAAGTGGCACTATTTCCCCCTGAACTCTCCTGCCAGGGCTGACTTTCAGTTGATCACTGAGCCTTAGCCTCTGCTCCTTAAGAAGCCCTGATGTCGTTGCCATGTGTCTTAGGCATCCCCTCTTCTTTTCCCTGCCTCCCTGGGATTGGGGGGAGAGAGGATCTGTGCCTGGGACCATGGCCTGACCTGGCCCAGCTCCTGCAGTGGAGTTGAAGACAAAGTATGAGGCTTTCTGAGGACAACTGAAGCTCCTCAATGCTGTCTTATTGTTCTCCTTTTGTGGCATGAGGATTCTGACTTTGGGATGTTTGATCACAGTCCTGCCTGTGGCAGCTGCACTGCCAAGCTCGTGTAGCAAGTGTCTGAGTCAATCATGCAGGGCGTTAAGACTCTTCATAACTCTTCAGTCTTCTGTCAGCAGCTCCTTTCCTACAAGTATCCTGGAGGCTGGGCCAGGACAGGGGATGTGTTCCAGTGGCCAGTCTGGGTGTGGACCAGAGGCTGAGCACACACCTGCCCCACAAGAGAGGGGAAGCTTGAGCCATGGCTGAGACATCAAACTAAAGCCAATGGCTAGACTCTCCAGAGTTGCAGGGATGAAAAGCCAGGCTGTAGAGTGGGGTCACGAGGAGGGTCTTAGTCCACACGTGCAGTTCGTGTGCCCTTTTCAGGAGCCCTGGCTTAGAAGTGGATGGCAGGGGCCCTTTCCTAGACCTGCAGCTTGGCAGTCATTGCCCTTCAGTCTTCTTATGGACTCAAGCCCATCTTTAAAATTATTCCTAAAACTAGAAAGTGACTGCAGGTAAACTGTCTGGAGTATCACGTTCTGAAGAATAGGAACTCTGGCACTGGGAGACATCACTTCTGGTGGTTACCTGGATGGAAATGGAAACTGTCAGGGTAATGATATCTTTTCTCCTCCAACATGTGTGGATGAAGTTACAGTTTTTATCATCATGAATTACTTTTATTTCTGTTTTGCCTCTTACTTTTTGGGCCCAGGCAGAAGCTTTGCACAGTGGAGGCAGAAGGAGATCCAGAAGGGAATTAGCTGATTGGATACCCAGAGAGGAGTACACTTTAAAAGCAGAGTCCAAGTTAGCAGGCGAGAGGAGTGACTAGCCCACAGGGCAGCTTAGGGCAGTTCCTGGAGACAGAAAGAGGGAGAGGGACAAAGGCCAGATTGCTGAGAATAAGTAGAAAAAGAGCAAAGCCTGAAGCAGCATGTGGACTGTTGTCATTCAGCAGTTTGACAGTTTCATTGTAAAGAGAAGAATGGTGGTGGTGGTGTTTTAGGATGGAGGAAGCAAAAATGTGTTTGGGGGTGAGGTTAATAAGCCAGTGGTAGGGAGGCAGGCATTGAAGTAGCAAGAGAGGGGCTCAGAGTGAGCAATATTGGTGAGGGGTAGGAAGATGCCAGTAAAAAACTTAAGATTATTTATTTAGTTGGATTTCTCCTGAAGGATATATCAGTTTTCTGAATGACAAATATGTGCCTTGCACAGTGGTTTTATTTTGGTTTTTGGTTTTGGGTTTTTTTGAGACAGGGTCTCACTCTGTCACCCAGGCTGGAGTGCAGTGGCGTGATCTCGGCTCGCTGCAACCTCCGCCTCCCAGGTTCAGGTGATTCTCCCACCTCAGCCTCTCAAGTAGCTGGAACTACAGGCATGCGACACTATGCCCAACTAATTTTTGTATTTTTTGGTAGGGACGGGGTTTCACCGTGTTGGCCAGGATGGTCTCGAACTCCAGACCTCAATGGATCCGCCCACCTTGGCCTCCCAAAGTGCTGGGATTACAGGTGTGAGCCACTGCGCCTGGCCACAGTGGTTGTTTTTAAAGACTCATTTACAAGATTTGTCCTAATGTCACTACAGTATAATTCCCATCTTGGAGGGGTGAGCATCTGCAGCTGTGAGGCACAGAGGGAAGGTTGATGGGGGAGGGGAGAGAGGGTAGAGCCCCTGGAAGCTATGCAGTGGCCTTACAGGATGATTTGGGATAGGAAATGATGCTACTTTTTTGCTCTGAATCCATTTTTGGATGTTGGTGGTATTCACAGGTTGGATTGATTGGGTTTAGGAAGTATTGTTTAGAATATCTACAAATGATAATGTGTATGATCATTGCTTTGGTAGAACATCCTTAATTTTAATCTCTCTTCCTCTCCCAGCCCCTCTCCTGAGTATGTCCAGAATTTTATCAAGTGGTTTCTTCTTGGTTCTCTTAGTAGGAAGAGGGCACAGAACCCTGTGTCTTGGAGGGGACCCAGCTTGGAGTCAGCTTCTGCTGTATGTCAGGGGCAGCCTTGGAGCAGGCTGGAGGGCCCAGCAACCTCTAGAGTTTGGAAGCTGGATGTTCAGCCTTTTTGGGTGGAATACTGTATAGGTGTTTTTCATTTGTAAGATATACATACAATGAGGGGCATAGGGTAGCATTTTGAAGTTTGATGAGTGGGGAAAGGCTGATTGGAAGGGTAGATAGATAGGCTAAGACAGCTCATAGCCTCCGGGATTCCACAGCCTCGGGAGAAATGACCAAGGAGATAAACAGTGCAGTGCAGCATTGCCAGCGTTGACAGAGGAGCATTGCGGACCAGCAGGTGACTGCATAGGCTTCATACTCTCCTGAATAGCCTTTTAAATTTTAATTTAGATATTATGGGCATCTTAGCAAATTTCACTTAATAGTCACACATGTTGGTCAGTAAGTAATAACTGCTTTTTTTGCTTAGCTCTAAGATGTTGGCATATGTCACTCATGAATCACACAATTGAGCTTCTCTTATCTATGTGACAGTCTCACTTCTAATAGAGATAACATCAGAATAGATTTCTATCAGCCTTATTTGAGACTCAGCAATTGAAACTTCTCTTTCCTATCTTCAGAAGTGTATTTGCTCTCTAGGAAATAATTCTGTAGTGATAGGTTTTAATGTGTCTTGGAGGCTACACCCTTTTCATGGGCACCAAGGGGTTTGGACATTTAAGGATAGACAACCCTATACTGTTGCTGTAGCGAAACATAACACACAGGAAAGCCCGCCGGGGGAGCATGCTGCTGAATGCATTGTGAGGGAATAGACTTTGATGTTCTTTTCACATGATTTGGGGTTTCCTCAATAGGTAGGTAGAAGGAAATAATACTTGTCTTTTAGATTTAGGACTTACTTATAGCTTTTTCAAAACATCATTAGTTCATGAACCAAGACTAAAAGACATGATTAGAAACAAAATAACTTAAATCAATTGTTGGAAATTCATATTTGGTGTTCAACTGTAATACTATTTTAATTTAACTCTACATTTTGGTAGCAAAACACATGAGTTAAGGAGCATTTTAATTTCAAAATTAACTGAGTCTTGAGAATCAGAATGAGTCTTGAAGTATAGCCCAGTTTTGCAAATCAGATTTTTAATTGAACTCACTATTGTTTAATTATGCTTGTCAGGTCTTGTCACTGTCACCAGCGGTGTGGAATTTAGGTACCTAATGCTGTGAGCTTTAGTCAGTAGCTTAAAACAGTGTCACTGCAAAGTAATGACACTACAGTGGGTTATAGAAATTATGCAGTTTTATTTTGTAGTCACATTTCACGTTGTTATGTGGTGGAATATATATCACATTTAAGCTAATAATATGATTTTATTTTTATCTGGGAAATACATGCCAGTACTACTCAGGAATTTGCTTAATCTGGCTTATATTTTGCAGAGATGTCATCTCTAAGCTTTCAAGGTAGCATTTAATGTTGCTTTATTTTTTAGTCAGCATTATAGAAAAGTAAATACAAAAAACTTCATGCAGTTGTTTATGTATTTGCTTTTTGTGTACCCATGAAATCATCTTTTATTTGGTTCAGATTTTACATTTGTGGGGCTCCTTGGCCAGGGAGTCAGGCAGAGGCTATTCAAGGTCAAGGGGAAAATACATGTGTGATTGTAGTGTTATTTGTTAAGGTTCTTTTCTGTTTTATGTTTTCTATCTTCTAAGCCAGTCGTGAAGTTACACTGTGTTCAATCTTGTTCTCTAGGTTCATTTCCAGGTTTATTATTAAAGTATATTAAACTTCTTGTTCAGCAAAGTGTGAGCTCCTGTTGTTGGATACTTGAGCAGCACTGTTATTTTGTAAAACACACATACTCATACCCAACAAGACATAGGCTGTTCTGTGCTGCAAGCACAGACACTCCTAAAGGCAGATATTTCACAGGATTTGTATCATTTTTGTCAAATTCTAACTCTCTTATTTGCAGTGACCGAGTTTTCATACATTTGATGATAGTTTTTGAATGAACATTGCTATGTGGTTATAAACTGATGGCAATGGCATTCATTTTAACTTAATTCAGAGACAAGAAAAGAGCAAAACTCTGTAGGCAAAGGCTGTGTTCAGAGTTCCATTGCTTTCAGGATTCATGTCATCAGGGCTCAGTGTTCTGGCTCCCCTGAAAAAGCTAATTCAGTTTCTTTACTTACCCCGCAGACAGTTGGCTGTGTGCCACGAGCTGTTGACAGTTACTGCTTCTCTTGAGGCTGATTAGCATGCAATGTTACACTGTCCCTAAGAATAATTTTGCTTACCTATATAATAATTCAAGAATTTAATCATTTCCAAACATGTCCTAAATTATTTAGTCCTTTGTCAGCATCTCAATTGAGTTCTAGAAGTTATTTTTTTTTAAACATTCACTGTGAGTGTAGTAGTGTGTTAAATACATTAAGGAAAGTGTTTCCAAACAGACTGTTGTTTCTAAAAATAGATTTCCTTGCATTCTTTTGTTACATTATAGTTGCATCTCTCATCTGAGGATAACAACAGTCCTGTGAGGCCAAAATGTTAGCTGTGTCTCCCCTTTTCATAGAGGAGGAAACGGAAACTGAGGCCAAGGTAGGGTAAGGATTTTGCCCAGATTCACGTAGCTGCCTGTGGTCTGCAGCCCAGCGCCCCTGCCCCCTCCACCTCCTGGCAGGCCTGTGGGCAGATCCTGTCTTCTGGGAGGGGAATGGGCATATAACCAGAACACAGAAGAGGATTATAGTGTCTAACCCACCATCATCAGGTGTGCAGAGACCATTAATCTCACAGAGGAGATTCGTATTCTGCTGTTGTAAGAGGAGGACTCCTCTGGCAGTGAGGGGAGGACTGCGTCCGGCTTGGCCAGGGGTCCACCAGAGGTCCCCCGTCTGCCACTTTCTGAGTGACAGCCAAGCCTGGGTCATTCTTTTCACCCCACTCACTGCATCAGGAAACTGTGTAGTTTTTGAGGTTTGCATTAAACAAACATTTGATACCCTTTCATTCTGCTCCACATTAAAAGCTAGACATACATTTCATTATAGGAAAAGCAAAAACATGTAATAGAAAAAGGCAGTTTATTTCTTATTTTCTAACCTTTGGGATTTTAAAATTTTGACAGTCATCTCTCTGTTCTCTCCTCTCTTGGCCCAACGTGCTGTCACTTCTCCGTGGTAGGATTGCCTTTCCCTTCTGCCTGCTCCATACAGTGTTATACTCACCAGCTCGCAGATCTGTTAGCAAATACTGTTTAGTCAGGCTCTTGCTCAGCCAGCTAATACAGAGCTACTATTTATGAAGGGTCATTCACCAGGGAAGCACTCTGCTAACTACTTTTCACATAGGACCTCCTGTAATTCCTCCAACCACCTCATTAAGTTGGGTATTCTAACTATTCCTATTTTATATATGAAAAAATTGAGGCATAATGAGGACACCTGCTCAACATCATGTAGCTAATACGTGATAAAGCTGGGGTTTGAGCCCTGTTTTGCTGGACTCCATAGCCAGTGGTCTACCAAAGAAGAGACTGATTTTGTCCCTTCCTTGGCCAGATTAGGTAGTTGTGATCTATCATTGTTTTCTGGCACATCTCCCTTCAAATAATGTAAACCTTTTCTAAAAAGTAGCTAGCAGCTTTTGCACCTAGAGAATTTTTTTTGTCTGTTCTGATGTTCAATTAAGCAGACTAGTCTAGTGTTCAACATATAAGCCAAGAATTGCACTTTCTTCTTATTTATGCCTTATGGCACTAGAGCAAAGAAGTAGTTCCAGGTGGATCTTCTGATAATAAAAATGATTAGTGTTGAGACCAACATTGTTACTTCTTTACTTGTTGCCAATTTTTACACATTTGAGAACTCTGTAGTTGACTGTGTAGTCAGTTGCATACAAGTTAATGTCTTGTGCGAGATTTTAAGGTTAATTTCTTCCTGCTTACTCTTCCACCTCCCAGATGTTTTCCTTTATTTTCCCTAGGAGATGGAAATGGAAATGTTATTCTTCTTTATTGTTGCGGGTAATGCCTTAAGAAAAATCAGATCCAAGACTGTGTGCATGCACGCACATGTGTGCGTGTGTGTGTGTGTGTGTGTGTGTTTGAGAGAGAGAGAGGTTGGTGGGGAATGAAGAGAGAGGATTTAATTGCCAAGATGATTACAGATTAAGCTACAAAAAGCAAGAGAGCTATTGGTCTGAAACTGTGTTGTGTCTGTAGAGTGCACTCTGATTCACAGAAAATTTTGTCAACATTAAATGCGATGGGAGTTGAGTTTTCAGAGGTGGTAACTATGAAGGGGTTGGTCATGTAATGCTGTGCACATATTAGAGCAACAGGCAGTGCTCTCGCACTGCTTTTACCTGGATTTATAAAATGCCCAGTCCTTATACTCTTGAGCATGACCAGATCCATTTCCTGTTTTTTTCACATTTCTTTTTCTAAGAATAAACAGAACCCTAGGAAGGGAAGGTAGCTTCAAATACAAGCCATTTTAAGTATCCTGGTCTCTTAATTCCTTTTTTATTTTTTTTTGGATGACTTGAGGACAATAAGGTGTTTGTTTATTTATTTATTTATTTTGGTTTTAAGGAGCAGAGAGTTTAATAGGCAAGAAGGAAGGAAGAAGACAGAAGGAAGAAGCTCCCCCGTACAGAGACAGATGGGGGCTCCAAAACTGAAAGAGGAGATCCCCCTCTTAATTCTTAAACTATTTTTAAAATGAATGTTGACTTTCCTGAAGTTATAAACTGTTTTTAACTCTTATCAGTCCTCCTTGATTTTCCTTGTTCAGGTTCCATCTTTTTAACATCCTTTCCTCTCGCAGTAACTACAGCATGATTTGTTTTACCCCTCAGCACTCAGCTATCACAGTCATAGCTCTCTCATCTGAGCAGCCTCTCCCTCAATCTTACAAACAGTAGGCATCCACAAGGAAGTCAAAGAAAGGGTCTCTGAGCTGCCACACACTCATAAGAGGCCTCCTTAGTCCTACTCCCAGGACACATTTGTTCTTGTTTATGGATGATTCTTAACTGGCTGATTATCCCATTTCTATTTCAGTAGCCAATTTAAAAGCAGAAAATTAGATGTGGAAAATTGTACTTAGGTTGGTAAACTGAAAAATGACACGACATGCCTTGACTCTATTCAGTTAGAGTCATTTATTTATTTTTACATGTTTGTAACTTGCCCCATTCCACAGCGGACTTGAGGCAGCTGACATTCTTACAGAAAGAGTCCCTTGTTATGTCTTTAATGGATGCAGCCTCCTTAAAACAGCTCAGGATTGAAAAAACTCTTGTGCAGAACAGTTAATTGAAGTGTTCTGCTAACATTTTTTGTTGCTTTATTAATGCTTGCCCTGGGAATCATATCATAAACAGTTTAGGTAAACAATAAGTTAACAACACTGAGAATTTTCCTGTTTCACCAAACGTGTCTTATCTACAGGCTGCAGACATTCAGCATTACCTTGTCCCTTGCTTCTGTTCTCTTTATAAAGCTCTGGACAAGAGGCACACAACAGACGTGTCCCAGCTGCTGACTCAGTGTGACAGAGCACTGTTGCCAGTGCCCAGGTGACTGCAGTGGGCCACACTGCAGGATTGATGGTTTAACTCTCTGTAGCTTCCAAATCAGATTATTTTCATTTGCGCAAAGGCACACCAGCAGGGGTGTGTACTGTTTGACGCACAGATGACAATCTGGCCGGAAGCTAGTACTTGGGGAAAAAAATAAGGGAAAGGAAAATGATAGTTTTGAAACAACATAGTTATAAAACACAGCATGTATCTATATTTTTCTTCTGAAAAATGTGAAAATTTTCACCCTGGAAAAATACCCAGAAACCAAGCAATAGCTTCCCTGTGTTTTGGCATTTATATAACAGTTTGTATAAAAGGACAACGCTGATTCCAATACTACGTGTGATTGTGCCAAAAAATCATGAGATGAAACAATCAGTATGTTTGCACTTTTGGTTTGAAATTTTTTAAGAGTATAACAATGAAAAGCAAAAAAGGAGGGAGTGAAAGAAGAATCTGCCCTACAGTTGAAGAGCATAGGGGAGGTGGCATAGATTGAAAAGCCAGGTGTCTGCATAACCAATGGTTAGAGAACCACCACCAAGATGAGGAGGTGAAGGAGATTAGCATGAAGATGGGGAGTAGGAAGGAGGAAATGCCGCGAAATGGTGCCAACTTGTTTGACTAAAATTCAGAATCCTACAAGGACTTCCAGAAAATATAAACAGCTGCACAGTTTGAATTATATACTTCCTACATTTCTTCAGTTTTCAGAAGCACGTGATTCTGTCCTTTCAGCAGTGCTGTGAAGGAGAGGAGGCACATAGCCCTCGTTTATAAGCCAGGTGACCGTTAGGCCTCATGACATTCTGTGCCATGGACAGCTGTAACAGACTGGAGACAAAGCCGTGCCTCCACCTGCAAAACTGGCCATGCTTTCTAGAAAGCCGAAGTTGCATTTCATAGACTGCACCAGAGGCTGTAATACCCACTTCTAAAAAGAACAAACACTTTGTGAGGCACTGAATTTAGGCCATTGGGAAGGAGAGGAAGGGCCTACCTAAGGAGGATCTGTGCCCAGGAAGTGTTGCTCAGTCCCTGAGACATTAATAGGAGGGAGTTCAGGTAAGGCAGCCAGTGGTCACTTGGAGAAAGGAGGATAAGTGGGTTCGAGGCATCAGCTTGCCCTGGACCTGCAGTGTTGGCAGCAGGTTCCAAGGATTTGCCTGCCAGCTGTTGAGGCTAAAAATCTAGGAATAGGCACATGGTTTTCCAACCCCCTGTACTCCACCTAACACAGTGCTCAGGAATAATTGTTTCATTTTATAAAACAAACTGCAGAAGACTTGTATTTGCCAGATCCCAAATTGGAAATGAGTGTCTTCTCTAAAACTCCTTTGTCTGACTGCCAAGGTAACTAGACTTATCACGATGAGAGACTAGGCCAAAACACACACCCATAGGGGCCCAGCATACTGTTTTAAGAGTTCTCCCTTTTTGTGTAGATGCTCAAAGGGAAATTGTACTTACGGAAACCTTCAGCTGTCTGAAACCATCGGTGAATGGGTGATTCTATAGAGAAGAGTTTTATAAATAGTTGATAATTTAAATGTTCAGATTTTATTTTAACCTTCTTTTGCATGGTTATGGCCTCCCTTGAGACGAATTGCTTGGTTCCTTTTGTGTGAAAGAGGGATAACAACCCTCAACTGGGAGAATACTGATGAGCTTAGCATACGTATCCTGATAACATGTGACAGCCACGAGAGGAACTCCATGAAGTTTAGCTTCCTGCCTCTTGCCAGCCTCGAAGAGACTACACAGCAAGAAGTCCTTGACTTGAATAACAGTTATTTTGTGTTAAGGTAGATTTCCTCTATGCACAATGGCCCTAGGCTGCTATTCTTTTTTAGCTTTGGACTTTTTTTTTTTTTAATAGTTTTTCCACCTCCTTTTCTTAGTTTTGAAAAAAAGTGTACTGATAAAAAACTTTACCAACTTCCTGCTGTATTATGCTAGAAGCTTTATCTGTGTCACCTCATTTAATCTTCATGGCAAGATGTCTTTTTCATTGGTCTGCATATGTGTGGCTTAATTAAATCATTTCGTAGCTGTGATTCGTTTTTTCCAAATTCCAGAAGTTGTTTTGCTGGATGTAGATCAGAAGTGGGAACAACTTAGTTCCCTTAATTTGCCTAAGGCAGATTTTCCTTAAGTCGCTATTAAAAGTGCTCGCATTGTTAGGTGAACCAAGTGTTGAATGGTACTTTACAAAGGTAAGAACATTAACATCTACCACTTAGTTGAAGCTCACCACGTGCCTGTGCCAGACACTGTCTGAAACCCTTCATGTATTTCCATTAAAACAGCTCTATTTGACTTAGAGGAACTGATATCATGCCTTAAAATGAAAAAAGTGTTTCATCAAAGGCAATATGAAAATAATTTGTTTTGATGGAAAAACTGTCTTTTTAGTGCACAGTGAAAGCTTAAGAGGATAGGGAGCAGAGCCAGCTCTAGTTTGTACATATTAGAAAAGGATGCCCTCTCTGGGCAGACACTGCACAGGCTTGGTGAATGGATGGTCCTCTTGTGCCTCTGATTCTCTGACGCTAGGCTGTGTGGCGCAGGGAGCTGAGTGCAGGGTAGATTTCAGCTTCTTGTGCGCTGTTGTGCATTGCACAGCCTGGCCTAACTACATGGCAGCTGAAGTGTGTGTTTGCATGTTGTAGGTGGGGTAGAGTGGGCGAAGGTGTTGATGGAGAAAGGGCAAAGGATGAACGAAGGAGAAGGGAACACGTACAGGACAAAATGATACCTTGGCAAATGGTGAACAATCGAGGACATTATTTGAGAATTGGGAAGGAGAGGAAGGGGTAAATGGCTGCAGCCGACCCCTGTTCAAGGCCTGTAAGGCAGTTTGGTCCTCCCAGTGACCCCTGATGCTCGTGCCTCCGTCCACCTCTACAGCCTGTGGCCAAAACCCAAAGGAATAAAGAGGGCCCTGGAAAACCCAAGCAAATTGCACTATTCTCACCACCACTGCCGCTGCCAAGGGAGTCTTTCTTTCCTTAACCGTAACTCCCTCTCTGGTCTTAATTTCTAACTTCAGAGCTTAATAATGCTTCTTCTTAAGGGGCAGAGGAATTCTTAGGCTCCCAGTGCTCTCTGGGAGAAGGACTTAGAGACACTGGGGGATGGTGTGAAATACTTTAGAGCTTTGACATTCTCCCCCTTGACTCATATGGGGGTTCCCTGTCACTGAGTAGTATTCAGCCCATAGGTGGTGAGACCCAGCCCTTGGTCTCTGAAGACCATCCTGGTCTCTACTCGCATGTTGTCCTGTTCCCCTATGGCTTGCAGATGTGCAGAAAAAGGCCACAATTGTGGATTGGGTGCAGTCATAATAATAGGAAAGCAAAATATGAAAGCAGATGTAGAGAGAGGAAAATCTAATTGTAAAAGAGCCTGTTTATAAGTTGCATACATGTCTTGATTATTTTTCTTCTTTTCATACTAGAAAATATTTGATCATTTATTATTATTAACTCCATTGAGGGCCAAATGCAGATTTCAATACTGTGTTTAGTAACTCTCTGAAGTTGCAGAAGGGCAAAATAAGTCACAGTAGGTTTTTCGTTCATTTTTCTAATTTAGGCATCATTCACTCTAATTTCATAAGATTTGAATGCAGTTTGCTAAAATTCCAGAAGGAGATTAATTTACCAGTTCGTGTCATATAATACTTGTTTTCCCGTACCATCCAGCACCCATTTTGGCAAATAGAAATATACAAGGATGGTGGAGATCGATGTACTTTAGAGTGTATTTCTGAGAGCAAATGACTTCATAGTCTACAAAATAGTGGGGCAGTATAAATTCATCTTATGTGAAAATATGGATGAACATGGCTTTTAAAAGGAGAAAAGAAAGGAGACCGATGAATGTGTATATATACTTTTAAAAGCTCTGGTTTAGAAATCAGAACAGGTTCAGAAATATCCAGAATAATGCCTAGATGGCTTTCAATATTCATTTGAATGGGCTGATTTCAGGTGTCCATCTTCAGTTATAGGAATACTTGCTTCCATACAATGATTTAATACTGCTTGCAGACCTCATAGAGACGTGATTTAGACTCAGGGAAAAGCAGATTCTGGCATTGTTTACTCAATCTGTCTTGAATCTCATATCCCACCTGGTGGTGACTATGACCTAGTGTGTGGTCTGCACAGTTAATAAGTTGGAATCTTCTCACTTGGAAAGTCCATTGTGATTTGCCCTCTGGTGTCTTTTTAAAAACTCATTAATAGCTTACTCAGAAACTTAGCTGGTAAAATTGTTGCACTTGAGAAAAGGGCCATCTGTTCAAAGTTCAGTAGGGATAGAATTCTTACAGTATAATGTAAAGTGTTATGTATCTTTCTCTCCTTTTAGAAACTGAGCTCACAGACAAGTTCTACCCACTGCAGTTTGTCAGGATTTTTTAAATTATTAGCTCACAAAAGCAAATCAGAATTTAATATATTTTTTGTGTAATAGTTTGATTTCTGTATATATACATGGAAGGAAATGTTTTGCTACATTTTTGCAGGGCTTGTTGTATTTTAACAAGGTAATCTTTTTTTCACTGGACTTGTGAGACTCATAAAAATGTCAACACGTGAAGTATAGTTGAATTAAAATGCAAAAACCTGGCCCCCATACCCTCTTCCTGTCTGCCTCAGCTCCCTTCTCTGGGTCCCCTCCTATTTGGTACATAATCCTGCCATAGCACCAGCCACACTGCCCTGTAATTGCTGATAGTAATTACTAAGTGGTTTCTCCCCCAGTGCTCTGCCTCATTTGAAGTTCTTGGTGTGTGCACATAACTGTATGTTCAGTGGATGTCCCCATAGCCTACCGTAATGCTGGGTGCTTAGTACGCGGAGAGTGAGTAAATACATGTGCGTGTGCATATGTAATCAGTGTTTGGTAAGGATGAACAATGAGGATGGAGGTCTGACCCTGGTAAACAGGGAAACGATGGGGCCCGTCCAGGAATTCCGAGCAGCAGCTGTGTGAACTTTGGACTTCAGAGGCACAGGCTGAGGTGGGGCATCAGGCTGCTGTTAGGAGAGCAGTGTTGGAGCGAGGCAGAGGCTGGCTGCTCCAGGAAGATTCCTGAGGTATCAGGAAGGTTTCTGAGAGCTCCGACTGAGTACAGCGTGTGAAAGAGGTAAGACTACCAGGAGTGATGCGACCACAAAGCTGTCAGATGTGGAGGATGAGGAGCCCGTGATTAGAGGGAGTTGGAATGAGGCTGGTACCACACCAAGTCCCTCCTGGAGCTCCCAGAATGATGGGAGATGGGGCCCACGTTGGGCTGAATGGAGCACATTTTCAAGTGAGGTCCTGTGCTAGCTGTGGGGGTGGCAGAGCCTGGGCCATTCTACTGGGGACACGCCAAGAGGGCTGCAGTGAGGGAAGGGGCAGGGGCAGCGGTCACAACGCCCAGCAGCATCACCTTTTCAGGAGTGGTGGTGCCCACTTTGGTACTTCTCCCTCGGTTTTCCTTGTCCTAGAGGAGGCAGAAGCCACCGAAGGAGAGCCTGGAGAAAACCTATCCAGAGAAGCCTCTGACTAGGGGCAGCCCCAGAACCACTGCACAGCTGCCCTTCCATGGTCTAGCATGTCACCAAGGTGGGCAGGGGGTCCCTTGCTCCACTAGTCCCCATTCTGGTGTTTGGGGATATGTATGTCATGTGGAAACTGAGGCACAGAGAGGTTGCAAATCTTGTGATAATATACTGTGAAACCTGGATTTGAACTCAGTCTGGTTTCAGAATCTGTGTTTTTAACACTAGTCTGCACTCCCTTTCCCAGTGCAGAAACTGACTGCCAGAGTGAAGGTTGCCAAAGGAAGACCCAGCATACCAAACAGGAAAAAAAAAAGAAGAAGAAGAAGAAGTCAGGTCAAGTGAGCCTGAGTCGCTCTCATAGTTTGATTGAGACCCCAGGCTCACCTTGCTTATCTGACATAGGTCTGACCCACCTGTCTCGTTAGCCCACCACTGCCTGACCCAGCAAGGATTTCGCTCCCAGGTTCTTGCACATGCGTGGCTAACCCAGGCCCAGGCTGCTTCTCCATTCCTTCCATTTGCTTTTCACCCCTGCCCACCTCACTGATGATCAGCCTCACTGGCCAGCCCACCAGTGCTGCCATCTGCTTCTTGGATGTATTCCTTGCTGCCAGGCAAACCTTGCTTCCTGGATTATTTGGAGGCAGAGAGGTGCTTTGTCCTTTTCTGGTAACAATTAATGACACAAAGGCAAGGTGAAAAGGCGCTGTGCTTTTTTTCTAATCCACTTGTATGGATTTCAGACCAAATTTTTAAATAAATGTACAGGTAATTAAGTATCCCTCAAATTGTATTGATGGGCATGTGTTTGCACAACAATTACTTTATGAAGTCGTAGTTTACCTTCCCCTTCCAGACGTAGATGCCATGGCACTTGTGTTAAGATTGGTAATATTCTGTGAGCTGTTGGAAACTTTTCGAATGTGCCCTTTAATTTATTTTACTGAAAAAGAAGTTTATGCCCTGGGATGTCTCCATTACAATGAAATGATATTTTGTTTGTTCAGGCATAAGTTTTGAAATTCTGGAGTACCTTGACTGATATTTAGTGAACTTTATATCTTCAGATATTAGCACTTTAAAAACTCATGTTTGGTGATAATCAAATTTTGCAGAACATGTACCTTAGTAGGAATTACTCACATTAAAAAATGACTTTTTACTTTATGAAATACTCACCACAGTGTTTCTTTAAGTAGAAGGCCCCCAGGGCTCTAAAATTTGATTCCTCTATAAAAGTTTAAATGTCTGTGGCAATTTTCAGGAATGTGTCTATTATACAAAATGAAAACAAATTATCTAATAAAATATTAGTTATATTTTATTTTAAAGATAGTTACCAAGTTCTCCTCTTCCAGTTGCTCAACATTTCAGCCCAGAAGTCATTAGGTGGGCCTGGGCAAGGTAACTGTGTGTGTGGGGAGCGGGGCACTGGGCCAGGGCAGGCCAGCTGGGATGACTAGGTTTGGATGGCAGAGCTTGAGAGGGATGAGATGGGGGTGTGTGAGGAGTGGCAGTAGCTGCCCAACTCAGGGTGTTTGAGCCCACTTAGAGTGAGGAGAGTGCCCCACTGGGGCTGGGCCTGGTGGTGGCAGTGAATGAGTGGTTAGTTACATACAGGAAAATAGATCAAATACCTAAGTATATCTGGGATAACTGGAGCCAGATTTCTCACTTCAGAGAAAATAATTACAAAAATGGAAAGGAGAAAACGAGAATGAATGCTGTGGTGGTAGTTTTGAATTGGAGTTATTGGTATGAGTTCATGGATTTCAGTACGTGCAGACATAGAAATAAGTATAGATGCAAATATGAATATATGTGTACATAGCTATAGACTTACATGTAGTCTCTAGCTCTGTTTGCTGGCGAAGCCTGGGAGCAGCAGCACTCCAGTAGCAGTAAGTACAGCGGACATCCAGATCTCGGTTTCTATATATCATTCTGCCCAGAAAGGAACCAGGGCTCCTTGGAGAACTGACCAATTCCAGGGTCTGGGGAGGGAAAGTACAAAATAGACCTGAACATTGTGTTGTGCCAAAAAGTAAGAGAGTGCTCAAAAATTACAGAGGGCTTTCAGAAGGGCTCATAAGCCAGATTGAAGGAGTTCCACCAGCAAATCTGGACAGTATAAGCACCGAAGTAAATTTTAAAGTTACCCACCAAAAAAATGCAGATTCAAACTAAGGAATGAATCTGTGCCACTGCTAGGAGTGGAACTAAAAAGCCAAGGGTTACCCCTTCATTGCTTCTAGGCATCGAAAATAATGTATCACTCCTAATATACGTAGTACAATGCTTTAATAATTTTATCTGAATAGAAGGCCATGCTTTCAAAGAAGGCTCCTGCCCTGTAAAACTTTCATTTCAGGAGATAATAGAACAATAGCCATGTATAAAAGACAGCATTTTCATTTCAAATGGATATTAAGCATTTCTAGTTTGTGACAGGAACATTATTATTTGAAGTCAGCCATACTGATCTATCTTGCTGTGGTTCATCTTTCCCTTTTTCAGCATGATGCAGCCACTCATCAGTGCCACTCTGGGAACCTATATGTAGATCCATAGCTGTTGGAAGGAAAAAGAAACAATTTTTTAAAACCCTGGAGAATTAGACTTCTGATCTATACTATATATCTATAAAGGCCTAATTTTTATTCAAGGATACCTAAGTTGAATATCTTTTATTTATTTTTATTTTGTTCACAGTTAATCATGTATTTTATAATTAGGTGACAAAAATATTCAGTAACTTTATTATGGGAAAATACACGATTATAAACTTAACATTTTTTAAAAACTGGATTAAAAAATTCACCTGCTTAATTTGCGTTAAGATTTAAAAAATGGCTAGGTGGGTTCCAAGATGGCTGAATAGGAACAGTTCCAGTCTACAGCTCCCAGTGTGAGCGATGCAGAAGACGGATGATTTCTGCATTTCCAACTGAGGTACCAGGTTCATCTCACTGGGGCTTGTTGGACAGTGGGTGCAGCCCACGGAGTGTGAGCTGAGGCAGGGTGGGGTATCCCCTCACCTGGGAAGCGCAAGAGATCAGGGAATTCCCTTTCCTAGCCAAGGGAAGCCGTCACAGACGGTACCTGGAAAATCGGGACACTCCCACCCTAATACTGTGCTTTTCCAACAGTCTTAGCAAACAGCACACCAGGAGATTATATCCCACACCTGGCTTGGGGGTCCCACACCCACAGAGCCTTGCTCATTGCTAGCACAGCAGTCTGAGATCGAACTGCAAGATGGCAGCAAGGCTCGGGGAGGGGCGTCTGCCATTGCTGAGGCTTGAGTAGGTAAACAAAGCAGCCAGGAAGCTCGAACTGGGAGGAGCCCACCGCAGGAGGCCTGCCTGTCTCTGTAGACTCCACCTGTGGGGGCAGGGAATAGCTGAACAAAAGGCAGCAGAAGCTTTTGCAGACTTAAGCATCCCTGTCTGACAGCTTTGAAGAGAGTAGTGGTTCTCCCAGCACGGAGTTTGAGATCTGAGAACGGACAGACTGCCTCCTCAGTTGGGTCCCTGACCCCTGAGTAGCCCAACTGGAAGACACTTCCCAGTAGGGGCTGACTGACACCTCATACAGCAGGGTGCCCCTCTGAGACGAAGCTTCCAGAGGAAGGATCAGGCAGCAACATTTGTTGTTCTGCAATATTTGCTGTTCTGCAGCCTCCACTGGTGATACCAAGGCAAACGGGGTCTGGAGTAGACCTCCAGCAAACTCCAACAGACCTGCAGCTGAGGGTCCTGACTGTTAGAAGGAAAAGTAACAAACAGAAAGGACATCCACACCAAAACCCCATCTGTACGTCACCATCATCAAAGACCAAAGGTAGATAAAACCAAAAAGATGGGGAGAAACCAGAGCAGAAAAGCTGAAAATTCTAAAAACCAGAGTGCCTCTTCTCCCCCAAAGGAATGCAGCTCCTCACCAGCAACAGAACAAAGCTGGACAGTGAATGACTTTCACGAGTTGACAGAAGTGGGCTTCAGACGATCGGTAATAATAAACTTCTCTGAGCTAAAGGACGATGTTCAAACCCATTGCAAAGATGCTAAAAACCTTGAAAAAAGATTGGACAAATGGCTAACCAGAATAAACAGCCTAGAGAAGACCTTAAATGACTTGATGGAGCTGAAAACCATGGCACGAGAACTGCGTGATGCATGCAGAAGCTTCAGTAGCTGATTCAATCAAGTTGAAGACAGGGTGTCAGTGATTGAAGATCAAATGAATGAAATGAAGCGAGAAGAAAAGTTTAGAGAAAAAAGAGTAAAAAGAAACGAACAAAGCCTCCAAGAAATACAAGACTATGTGAAAAGACCAAATCCATTTCTGATTGGTGTACGTGAAAGTGAAGGGGAGAATGGAACCAAGTTGGGAAACACTCTTCAGGGTATTATCCAGGAGAACTTCCCCAACCTAGCAAGGCAGGCCAGCATTCAAATTCATGAAATACAGAGAATGCCACAAAGATACTCCTCTAGAAGAGCAACTCCAAGACACATGATTGTCAGATTCACCAAAGTTGAAATGAAGGAAAAAATGTTAAGGGCAGCCAGAGAGAAAGGTCGGGTTACCCACAAAGGGAAGCCCATCAGACTAACAGCAGATCTCTCGGCAGAAACCCTACAAGCCAGAAGAGAGTGGGGGCCAGTATTCAACATTCTTAAAGAAAAGAGTTTTCATGCCAGAATTTCATATCCAGCCAAACTAAGCTTCAGAAGTGAAGGAGAAATAAAATCCTTTACACACAAGCAAATGCTGAGAGATTTTGTGACCACGAGGCCTGCCTTACAAGAGCTCCTGAAGGAAGCACTAAACATGGAAAGGAACAACTGGTACCAGCCACTGCAAAAACATGCCAAATTGTAAAGACCATTGATGCTAGGAAGAAACTCCATCAACTAACAAGCAAAATAACCAGCTAACATCACAATGACAGGATCAAATTCACACGTAACAATATTAATGTTAAATGTAAATGGGCTAAATGTTCCAATTAAAAGACACAGACTGGCAAATTGGATAAAGAGTCAAGACCCATCAGTGTGCTGTATTCAGGAGACCCATCTCACGTGCAGAGACACACAGAGGCTGAAAATAAAGGGATGGAGGAAGGTCTACCAAGCAAATAGAAAACAAAACAAAACAAAAGGCAGGGGTTGCAATCCTAGTCTCTGATAAAACAGACTTTAAACCAACAGATCAAAAGAGACAAAGAAGGCCATTACATAATGGTAAAGGGATCAATTCACCAAGAAGAGCTAACTATCCTAAATATATATGCACCCAATATAAGAGCACCCAGATTCATAAAGCAAGTCTTTAGAGACCTACAAAGAGACTTAGACTTCCACACAGTAAAGTGGGGGGACACTTTAATACACCACTGTCAACATTAGACAGATCAACGAGACAGAAAGTTAACAAGGATATCCAGGACTTGAACTCAGCCCTGCACCAAGCAGACCTAATAGACATCTACAGAACTCTCCACCCCAATTCAACAGAATATACATTCTTCTCAGCACCACATTGCACTTATTCCAAAACTGACCACATAGCTGGAAGTAAAGCACTCCTCAGCAAATGTAAAAGAACAGAAATTATAACAAACTGTCTGTCAGACCACAATGCAATCAAATTAGAACTCAGGATTAAGAAACTCACTCAAAACTGCTCAACTACATGGAAACTGAACAACCTGCTCCTGAATGACTACTGGGTACATAACGAAATGAAGGCAGAAATAAAGATGTTCTTTGAAACCAATGAGAACAAAGACACAACATACCAGAATCTCTGGGACACATTTAAAGCAGCGTGTAGAGGGAAGTTTATAGCACTAAATGCTCACAAGAGAAAGCAGGAAAGATGTAAAATTGACACCCTAACATCACAATTAGAAGAACTAGAGAAGCAAAAGCAAACACATTCAAGAGCTAGCAGAAGGCAAGAAATAACTAAGATCAGAGCATAACTGAAGGAGACAGAGACACAGAAAACCCTTCAATAAATCAGTGAATCCAGGAGCTGGTTTTTTGAAAAGATCAACAAAATTGATAGACTGCTAGCAAGACTAATAAAGAAGAAAAGAGAGAAGAATCAAATAGATGCAATAAAAAATGATAAAGGGGATATCACCACCGATCCCACAGAAATACAAACCACCATCAGAGAATACTGTAAACACCTCTATGCAAATAAACTAGAAAATCTAGAAGAAATGGATAAATTCCTCGACACATACACCCTCCCAAGACTAATCCAGGAAGAAGTTGAACCCCTGGATAGACAAATAGCAGGCTCTGAAATCGTGGCAATAATTAATAGCTTACCAACCAAAAAAAGTCCAGGACCAGAAGGATTCACAGCCAGATTCTACCAGAGGTACAAAGAGGAGCTGGTACCATTCCTTCTGAAACTATTCCAATCAATAGAAAAAGAGGGAATCCTCCCTAACTCATTTTATGAGGCCAGCATCATCCTGATGCCAAAGCCAGGCAGAGACACAACAAAAAAAGAGAATTTTAGACCAATATCCCTGATGAACATTGATGCAAAAATCCTCAATAAAATACTGGCAAACCAAATCCAGCAGCACATCAAAAAGCTTATCCACCATGATCAAGTTGGCTTCATCCCTGGGATGCAAGGCTGGTTCAACATACGCAAATCAATAAATGTGTTCCATCATATTAGCAGAACCAGAAACAAAAAGCACATGATTATCTCAATAGATGCAGAAAAAGCCTTTGACAAAATTCAACAGCCTTCATGCTGAAAACTCTCAATAAACTAGGTATCAACGGGACATATCTCAAAATAATAAGAGCTATTTATGACAAACCCCCAGCCAGTATCATACTGAATGGGCAAAAACTGGAAGCATTCCCTTTGAAAACTGGCACAAGACAGGGATGCCCTCTCTCACCACTCCTATTCAACATACTGTTGGAAGTTCTGGCCAGGGCAGTCAGGCAGGAGAAAGAAATAAAGGGTATTCAATTAGGAAAAGAGGAAGTCAAATTGTCCCTGTTTGCAGATGACATGATTGTCTATTTAGAAAACCCTATCATCTCAGCCCAAAATCTCCTTAAGCTGAAAGCAACTCCAGCAAAGTCTCAGGATACAAAATCAATGTGCAAAAATCACAAGCATTCCTATACCAATAAGACAAACAGAGAGCCAAATCATGAGTGAAGTCCCATTCACAGTTGCTTCAAAGAGAATAAAATACCTAGGAATCCAACTTACAGGGTATGTGAAGGACCTCTTCAAGGAGAACTACAAACCTCTGCTCAACGAAATAAAAAAGGACACAAACAAATGGAAGAACATTCCATGCTCATGGATAGGAAGAATCAATATCGTGAAATGGCCATACTGCCCAAGGTAATTTATAGATTCAATGCCATCCCCATCAAGCTAGCAGTGACTTTCTTCACAGAATTGGAAAAAACTACTTTAAAGTTCACATGGAACCGAAAAAAGAGCCCACATTGCCAAGTCAATCCAAAGCCAAAAGAACAAAGCTGGAGGCATCAAGCTACCTAACTTCAAACTGTACTACAAGTTTACAGTAACCAAAACAGCTTGGTACTGGTACCAAAACAGAGATATAGACCAATGGAACAGAACAGAGCCCTCAGAAGTAATACCACACATCTACAACCATCTGATCTTTGACAAACCTGACAAAAACAAGAAATGGGGAAGGAATTCCCTGTTTAATAAATGGTGCTGGGAAAACTGGCTAGCCATATGTAGAAAGCTGAAACTGGATCCCTTCCTCACAGCTTATACAAAAATTAACTCAAGATGGATTAAAGACTTAAACGTAAGACCTAAAACCATAAAAACCCTAGAAGAAAACGTAGGCAATACCGTTCATAACATAGGCATGGACAAGGACTTCATGACTGTAATACCGAAAGCAATGGCAACAAAAGGCAAAATTGACAAATGGGATCTAATTAAACTAAAGAGCTTCTGCACAGCAAAAGAAACTGTCATCAGAGTGAACAGGCAACCTACAGAATGGGAGAAAATTTTTGCAATCTACCCATCTGACAAAGGGCTAATATCCAGAATCTACAAAGAACTTAAACAAATTTATAAGGGAATATTAACCCCATCAAAAGTGGGCGAAGGACATGAACAGATACTTCTCAAAAGAAGACATTTATGCAGCCAACGGACACATGAAAAAATGCTCATCATCACTGGCCATCAGAGAAATGCAAATCAAAACTACAATGAGATACCATCTCACACCAGTTAGAATGGCGATCATTAAAAAGTCAGGAAACAACAGGTGCTGGAGAGGATGTGGAGAAATAGGAACACTTTGACACTGTTGGTGGGACTGTAAACTAGTTCAACCATTGTGGGAGACAGTGTGGCCATTCCTCAAGGATCTAGAACTAGAAATACCATTTGACCCAGCCATCCCATTACTGGGTATATACCCAAAGGAGTATGAATCATGCTGCTATAAAGACACATACACACGTATGTTTATTGTGGCACTATTCACAATAGCAAAGACCTGGAACCAGCCCAAATGTCCATCAATGATAGACTGGGTTAAGAAAATGTGGTACATATACACCATGGAATACTATACAGCCACAAAAAAGGATGAGTTCATGTCCTTTGTAGGGACATGGGTGAAGCTGGAAACCATCATTCTGAGCAAACTATCACAAGGACAGAAAACCAAACACCATGTGTTCTCACTCATAGGTGGGAATTGAACAATGAGAACACTTGGACACAGGGTGGGGAACATCGCACACCAGGGCCTGTGGTGGGTTGTGGGGAGGGGTGAGGGATAGCATTAGGAAGTATACCTAATGTAAATGATGAGTTAATGGGTGCAGCACACCAACATGGCACATGTATACATATGTAACAAAGCTGCACATTGTGCACATGTACCCTAGAACTTAAAGTATTTTTTTTAAAAAATGTAAAAAGTGAAGCCTGGTGAGGCCTGTGAGTGTATTTGCGCTAATCTGTAGGAAAACTGGAAATGAAGGTGAAGAAGGCAATGGAGCATGGAGTTGGTTCCACTTGTGCATAGCATGGGGATGGAGGGCTGGTTGTGGGTGCTGGCAGGGGCTTAAATTGCCCAAACCTGGTAACAGGGACTAGGAAGTTGGATCTTCCCAACAGAGCTTTGCATGGAAGCCTTTTCCTTCCTACTACTTCACTTTCTTTTCTGAGGGTGTTACGTTTGTTTCACATCTAAGAAAACTAAAACAAGGCTTAGGAAGTATATCAGGAAAAAACTGTCATCTCTACTTCAAAGTTTAGTATTAGCTTGGTGCAAAGGTAATTGTGTTTTTCATAATTACTTTTAATGGCAAAAACCACAATTTCTTTTGCACCAACCTAATAGTTAATATTCCTTTACTAGAACCACCTAAAAAAAAAAGTTAATACTGTGGTGAATAAAATGTTACCTGCTAGAGAAGTAAATAATACAAAGGCCTAAAGAAAAAAGATTATTATAACTACAATGTCAAGATATATCCCCCCAAAATTTGGGGACTTCCAGAGAAATCTTTGAAAATGCACATTGTACTTAAAGGGAACATGGAGAAACTCAGTCTCAGAACTCTGGCTCACTCCCGTGAACTCCAGTTGACATCTTGAGCTTTCATCCTCTCTTCTACGCTAACGGGTGGCATCTTTCTTTGTTGCTCAGGTCACCTTTTAGAGCCAGGCCTAGAGCTGCTGGCCTAACTGTCCTAGTCTCAGACTGCCAGTGCTGCTGTGGTCACCTGTATGCAGGGGCTGGCCCTGCCAGAGTCATGCAGTCCAAGCCTGGCCATCCAGGGATATAGTGGTACAAGCAATACTTGTTTGTAGAACATGGTGTTTATGGCAAATCCGTATCTTTCAATTTTATAGAAGGATGGAAGATGGATATTTTCATTTCCTTATATTATTTCCAATACATAAGCATGTATCCTGCAGAGGAGCTGTCTGCCCAGTTTTCTTGTTGCTCATCCCTGTTAGTAAACCATGGGGAAGACAGGGAAGAGAAGGGCATTTCTGCGTACATTTAGGTACAAAGGCATAACCTAGCTGGTGAGGTTAGATTTCCACTGAGTGGTTTTTGATTCAATTTCATTATCTATGTAAATACAAGGTATCAAACTCATAAAATAATTTAACTGTTGGTCCTTGACATTTTCTTTTGTTTCTCTTTTGGTCCTAGTGGGATTTCACCTCCCTCCCCACTATTACTTTAAAAAAATTATCACTTTAAAAATATGTCACTTAAAAAATTTTTGTTTTGATTTTTTAAAGTTTAACTCTTGTGAAACTAATAGAATTTTTAATTGTTTTTTAATTTCTAAATTGACCACTTTTAATTACTCTAGTATGTTTCAAAGTAAACATACTTGGAGTTGATTTAAAGCACGTGTCGAGAGGTGTGTATATACTGGTACCCACATAGCGTTATTCTAGCTACGGCTCTTTGTGCAGAGATAAGCTGTCATGTCATGAATACCTGGAGGAGGCCTTTATTCTCAGGTTTTAATGACACTTTATGTAATAACTTTTACAGCACCTCTAAAGCTGTGATCTTAGGATGCTTCTGAGGAATGAATGAGATTCCAGCATATCCAGACTTCTAGCTGGCTTTGAGTATTGTGTGTGTGATGCATGCATATGCATGCCTTTAGTCTCAGTCCTGTTTTTGATAAATTCAGTAGCTAAAGCGTTTACAGTTCTGATTCTACTCTCTCTTGTTTTTGCTGCCTTTTACTCATGGTGCATTGGTTTTTGTATTTTTATTTTTTTATTATGAGTTCATATTTCTTGGAAGCCTATCTGGGGTAATTCTCTGAGACAGGAGTTAAGGGCAGGTTCCTCCAGAGAGGAGCTGCCTTTGCTTTTCCCAGGTGACTGGAGCCACCACCCTCCCCTTCCCTGGGGAGCACTGGAAAGTCAACTTTCAACTTGGGGTTTTTTGGACCTCAAGTTATTTCTGGCCACAAACTTTTAGAAGTGCTGGCTTGTGATTATGAATTCCTGGAGGTGCATGGATCTCTCCCTGTTCTATTTGTACCAAGATTTGAGATAGGCAACTTTCTTTGTACTCTGGAGGTGTCAGTTTAATTGTTTTCTTCCAAATACTGAGGCTGTGGTCCTTTGGGATGCCCTATTAGATGCTCCATCTTGGGCAGCCCCTGGGCTTTTCCCCCTGCTCCTAGCACTCTCACAAGACTGTGAAAATCAAAGGAAAATTCTGTCCCCCTTTAGCAAATGTCCCCTCCTTGCTTCTTGAGATTCCTGCCCTTACTTAAGCTTTGACTTCTAATATTCCTTACTCACCAGTCAGGTCCTATTTATTATTGACCTGTTTTTAACGTTGTATACATTTTTAGTTTTCAGTATGAGAATTTATGTAGAATTGGTCAGAGTGCCTACTTAGACAAACGCCCAGAAATGGAAATCCTCAATTAATTCCTAAGAAATCAATTAATTATTTATTTAGCCTGTCTGCTTTCCACTACAGGGGCTAGGAAGATTCACAGAATCCATGGCAGAAACGCATCCACACCTTGCTTAATATTCAGTATTCACTTGTTCAGCATCCCATTCTACTCAGACAACTCTAATTTTTAGATCTTTCTTTCTTAGGTGGAACTAAATTATCTCTTCCATTAATTTCTCCCCATTGTTTAATATTCTGTTCTTTGAAGCAACACAGATGAATCTCCCTTTCCCATGTGGCTTCATGTATTTTGGGCCTCTTCCTTCCTCCACCACTAAGCTTCCTCTTCCCTCGGTGTCTCTAGCTGCTTCTTGGGCAATATGGTTTGAGGTAAATCTCCATCCCCAAGCATCATAATTGCTGGTTATTTCCCTCTATTTGATATCTAGTGTGTCCGTTCCTCAAACACTGCATGTTCATAGTTAGACATACTATTCCAGATATGACCTAAACATGTCAGAGCATGTGGACTGACCAGATACTTCTTTTCATGTTGTCTGTGTCTTTCTGTGTAGCTCTGTGGCACCGTTCATTATGGTTGATAGAACTAATAGTCAATCAGTTCTTATTTCCCCACTCCCTACTCCTCCTACCCCCAACCCTGAGCTTTTTCATGCATACTGTTTTAACTCAGATCTTATTCATCCTCGAATTATGGACAGTATGTCTTTAAAAAAAGATAAATGATGTTGCTGTTATATGATTCTTTTTTAATGGGCATATTAAGGCCCTGATTTAATTCTATTTATCTTTGCTTAAGAATAATTTTCTTGAATAGAAAATTATCTAGAATCTGAAAATCTCCTAAGTTGTTTAAAAGCCTACCACTTTGACTTAACCTATTGTCAGTCAGTTCTGCCTGCAGAAGTTGGTAGGTATTCAGTTATAATTAATAATAACCAACTCTGCTGAGTTAATATGCCTCTTGCAGTTCTATTGACTTTTAAAATGTTATATTTTACAGAGGAATTTCATTTACTGTCTTTAGGGGAAGAGATTAAAGTTCTTAAAATCTCATTTTACCCAACATTTGATGTCAATTGCTGTTTCGTATTAACTGCATTAATTAGCATTCCTGCTGATTTCAGTCTTCCAGTAATACATCCAAAAAATCTATTAGGTATATTTTAGGTTCTTGTCATAAATATTTTTAGGAGGCAGTTCTAGCAGTGGTAATAGCAGTTGAAGATGCTTAGGGTTCTTAATCCATCTCTCTAATGATTTTGCCGCTGTCGTAATAAAACCCTCATCCCTCCGTGCTCTTAAGTAACTTTTGTTGGGTTTCCTGACTTTTGATGGAAGGGTTCACTAGGTTGTGTAGACTTACTGTGATTTTATTTGTAATAAGGTTTGTTCTAAATTTCAGGCACTGAATTTGGAGTAAAATTAATTCATTACTAAGATAGTTCGTGAAACTAATTGTACAGAGACACGAAGCTTGTATCTAAAAGCCAGGTGAGTGGCAGATTCCGGGCCCACGAACATATTTGACAGAGATGTTTAACCAGGAGGATTTGTGGGTTAAAGTTATCTTAAGGTTCACATGAAGGGATTTGTTCAGTGAACTAGAAAAACAATGCTTTTCTAGAGATAAAAGAGGTTAGAAGAGTAACAGGTAGGAAGGTAGCTGAAAACTTCCTTAATGTGATTAAACCAACTCAAGCAGTAAATTAAACATACTTTATTGTTAATGTTGAAAAATGTTTATTTCATTGGGTTTGATTAGAAGCATGAATTGATTCTAAATGTTATCACATTTTTCAGAGAGGCCTTTTTATGCTAATTATGTGTTAGTGAACTGGAGATCTTAAAGTATAAATTCATCTTTGTAAAAGGGCTACAATAATGAAAAACATTAATTATTAAACCACAAATGATATTTATTGCCTGTCTTGCTCTCTGCATTTTCAAAAGTGCAAAACAGTTGCCTTTGTGAGTTTTAAATAGTCTAGAAAGTCTAGAAAGATGAATATGTGTTCATTCTTTGGAATTGAAAATAGGGAAATAGTCCTCAAGAAGAGGCTATCTTAGAATATCTGCTTTTAAAAATTCCTGGACTTTCCAAGAGAATGTCTCCTAACTTTGACTTACTATCAGTTATTTGAGTTTGATAGTCCTACCAACATATGAGAACTGATTTTTTAGAGTAAGTAGGTATGTTGTATAATGCATTATTTGTTTAAGCATGCTCTTCTAGACCTTTATTTTTAAACCTGCCCTTATTAATACTAATTACAACATATTTGTAAGGTATTTTCCTGTTTCTATTCTCGTTTGATTTCCACAAGAGCTCTGAGTGGCAAACAGAGTAAGCCTCCTGTTTATCCTGTTTGTGGATATGCATACAGACTAGACTGGAGCCCAGGTCTTCTGAGTTCAGTGCCCTATGGTCCTTCCCCAAGCCCCGTGCACTTGTGAAGGGACACGACCCCTCAAAGCACTGGTGATTTGGGAAGTCCTTTAGAGAAGCAGTGAGAGCACAGAGCTCAGGGGGAGTCGTGGCTGTTGTGTGACTTTCAGCAAATTCCCCGAGTCTACATTTTTTCATCCATAATCAACTCTTAGTTACATTTATTGATAGAAATGACAAGGAGGATGGATAATGTGAAGTAGACAATAAAAGAAATAATCTATCAGTAGCAGAAAAGAGTAGGATTTGGAGATGAAGACCCAGGTTCAAACTCAGCCTCCCCTTCTGGTGAGCCAACAATGGCAACAAGTCACTGACCCCTCTGGGAACTTCCAGTCCCTTATTCATTAAGATATTTGGGCCAGATCATGAAGGCCTGATAAGCTGTGTTGAGTTTGAAATGTTGTTTCAAGGGCAGTGAGACAACACAGAAGTAGTTTCAGCAGGGATGTGTGACACGATCAGATTTGTGTTTTAGCACCGCCACTCGGGTGCAGTGTGGAGGGGAAGACTGGAGGGCAGGAGACCTGTTAGGATAGGAGGCTGTTAGGGTATCCTGGGGCGAGACGATTGGGGGCCTGACGGTGGAGCAGGAGAGAAGGGGATGGACTCCAGAGATGCGTAGGAGGTAGAAATGACCAACTGGGTAAATGATTGGATGTGGGGCTTAAGGAAAGGGAGGCAACAAGGATGATGCCAAAAGTGAAAGTGTGAACTGGATTACAGACAAGGTTGTGTTAGTGATGTTAGCAAGAATAGTTTCGGTGCAGTTACGGGGGTGAATTGCCATATTTTAGATGGTTGGTCAGTGAGGGGGTAACGAAATGGAGACAGTACAGGAAGACTACTCTTTCAAGGAGTTTGGCTGTGTTAGTCTGTAGTGGTAAGTGGAAGGAGATGAGGAGCAAGAGGAGATCTTTAAGACAGGCCATGTTTGAATGCCAACCTAAGAAGCCAGGGAAGAGGAAACGGAGTAGCTCTAGAAGAGGGGACTAGGGGGTAAAGAGATGCTGATGCTCAGGCTCAGGTGGAATGCTAGCTTTGGATGGATGTGGGTCCCCAAGGCAGAGTAGCTGTGGGGAGGAGCTTAAGGCTGAAGCCTGGATACTTGGATTTGGATCCTGCCCCCATCTGATTAGACCCAGTTGCCTTCTCTGTAAAGTGGGTCACTAAGAACAATATGACATTATGACCATGTTTGTTTTTCCCTGTATTCCACTGCATTATCTTTATACATATTTCCTTAAAATAACGAGAAAGCAAGAACCCATGGGGATTTTTCAAAGTGAAAATCCCTGTGCTGAGTAGTGAGATCTTGACAGTCTCCCCTTGCTTGGCTCCTGGAACACTGGAAACTGGACCAGTATCATCCCCAGGAGGTTTGAGTATTCTTCTCTGAGGAAATCAACCACATGGAGAGAAAAAGACCTTACAGATAGCAAAGGGTAAGGATCCTGCTCCCTCCAGTAAAATGAATGGGACTCCCAATAACCCAGTGTTAGGCCTGCAAGAAAGAACTCCTGAAAACTAAAATTTAGTAACAAAAGATTAAAGCAACTCTTAAGATTTAAAAAAATCCCTCAAAAAGTAGAACAATTGGGGGGGAAAAAGAATATTTGGGAAATTTGGGAATCAATTCAGGAAGTCTGACACCCAACTAATGTGAGTTACAAAGGTAGTAGTGGGCAGAAAGTTATAGAGAAGTAATTCATGAAATTGATGTACCTCCAGATAGAAAGGGTGCAGCAAGTACAGGAGTGTTTTGCCTTTTATTCTACCTGTATTGCCGAGGGCCTACCAGAGGACAGGCTGTGTCCAGTGCACTAGAGGCACAGGAGTTGGGGGGAAGCAGACAAAAACCCGTGCCATTGTGGAGTATATATTCTGTTGGAATTACATTAACAATTTTTTTAAATGACTCACACCAGGGCACTTTATTGTGAAATTTCAGAACACCAGGGATAAAGGGGAGATAGTAAAAATATCCAGAGAGGGGAAAATGAGGTTTGATTTAAACGATCGGGAATCAAATAGCATTGGAATTCCTAATGATAAAGCTGCACGCTACTTTTGAGGGGAAATGAGTAAATGAGTTCCAGCCTGGTTCTGTACTTAGCCCAACAGTCAAGTACAACGGTGGAACTAAGACATTTTAGATCCATAAGGACTAAAATAAACTATTTAGCTGCTATAAGGATACACTCCACTAAAATGAGGGAGCAAAATAAAGAGGAAGACAAGTGATGAAGGAAACGAGATCCAGCACAAGAAGGCGGCAAAGGGAATTCCCAGGATGGTGAGAGGCACAGAGCTCTGTAATGGCCTAGCAATCAGCTTCCAGGTAGGCAGAGGCCTGTGGAAGGAATGGCTGTGTGCGAGGGGTCCAGGGAACAGGAGGACCAACTGAGTGGCCACCTCATGGGTTCTGTACAGAGGATTTTATAGTTGTGTCAGAAGGTTTGGGGATGAATTAGTAATAGGAAAGTAGAAAACCAAGAGACTATGAACAAAGTTATAATTCCAAGAGAAACAGAGTTATTGAGAAAGGAAATACACTCATAGTGCACTACAGACTCTGCTGTGAGCATTATATACCATAGTCGTAGCCATGAAAACAGTGACTATCAATTGAAAACAAAATTATTTTATATTAGCAGCTTGGGGGAGGAGAGTCTGTGTGAGGAAGCTAAAGTCTCATCATGTAAAATAGGAGGTCAAAAGTAACATGTAATCAAAAAGAACTAAAAGTAGAACTGCCATTTGATCCAGCAACCCCATTACTGGGCATCTACCCAAAGGAAAAGAAGTCATTCTATGAAAAAGACACTTGCACATGCATGTTTAGAGCGGCACAACTTGCAATTGCAAAAATGTGGAACCAGCCTAAATGTCCATCAGTCAGTGAGTGGATAAAGAAAATGTGGTATATATACACACCATGGAATACTACTCAGCCATAAAAAGGAACAAAATGAAGACATTTGCAGCAACTTGGATGGAGCTGGAGACCATTATTCTAAGTGAAGTAACTCAGGAATGGAAAACCAATTATCGTATGTTCTCAGTTGTAAGTGGGAGCTAAACTATGAGGACCCAAATGCATATGAAGGATGTAATGGACTTTGGGGATTCAGGGGGGAAGAGAGAAAGGGAGTGAAGGATAAAAGACTACACATTGGGTACAGTATACACTGCCCAGGTGATGGGTGCACCACAATCCCAGAAATTACCACTAAAGAGCTTTCCATGTAACCAAACACCACCTGTTCCCCAAAAACTATTGAAGCTGAATAAATGTATTTCTAACTTCCTTTTTATGACTCCTTTCATCCGTGGCTTATTTTAAAGTATCGAATTTGATTTCCAGATATTTGCGAGTTTTCTAGATGTCTGTCTGGTTGATTTCTAATCCATTGATTAGAAACAGAGAACAACAACAGAAAAAAGAAAATGAAGGGAGTAACTTGGTAGGTCATGTAACACAGAACCAACCTGCCAGGGGAATGTGTGATTCCCCCTTGATATAAGATGCAGAATGGCAGCCATCACTTGGGAGTGTGTCTTTTGAGAGCCTCCAGCTGTTGACATCTCTAAGCAGATTCCAGCTGTGAGGGGGTTGGGATGACGTTATTGCAGTGAGGCCCCTGATGGAGCTAACAGGCACTGATCTCTGCAGGCTTTCTCCTTGTTTGAGAGGGTTTAGAGCATGAGAAGCGCCTGGCCCCAGTTCCTGGCACTTTGTGATCTTGGGCAAGTGAAGTCACAACTCAGTTTCTCTATCTGTGAAATGGGGATAATACTACCTCCTTCTAAGGTTGTTGTGAAGAGTAAATCAGTTAAGGTAATTGAAATCTTTCAAATAGTGCATGGCACATAGTAAGCATACTGGGGTTTGTTATTTGTTTACTTTTGTTAACCTTTGCATTTTTGGGTCATTATTATTGTGTTGTTTTCTTTATCCAGTTCACAAGAATGGATCAGTACCTCAGAAGTGGTTCTTTGAAGTATAAAAGGAGTGACAAAAATAAGAAAAACTACAGCTCAAAATAACATAAGCATAAATAGTGAAGGGAAACCCAGTGTCATTATAAAATGTGAATCTTAACATCCAGGGACCAGTTAATCTTTCAGGTTGATAATTTTAGTCAAGTCACAGAAAAAGAAAAATTGTAAATAGAAAGTATCATAATGACTTTCTGAAAATTGAATTTTACTTGGGAGGTGATTTATTTGTCCGTGGTCTCCAGTGCTTTCTCTTTTATGAAACTTTGTCAAATAGGGGCATAAAACCCCCAATGCTTTTGAGTCATTTTCAGACAGAGTACAGTGGCCTCTCCAGTAAACCAGTTGAGTCTTCCCAGATCAAGTACAAAATAGTGTTTTCCAGGGTGAAACTGATGAATTTTGTTACTAAGGGCCCAGAATATAGAACAAAACCTCAGAGGCATCATTCATAGTTACATTCATCCTAGCAAAAGTAGATTTGCTGAGAAGTTTGCAACATCAACCTCCAAACTGATGGCAAACATATTCAAAAGGAAAGAGGAACAAGCTTTTGGCAAAATCGTTGATCAAATACTGCTGTTGCATGTGACGTAATATCAGGGGTATGCAATGTGGAAAGCAGTCATGCATGAATGAATATTTCACTTTATAGTTTGTTGAATTCACTGTGTAGAATATGAATCAGTCCTTAGAATATGTGTAACACACGAGGGAGAAATGTTCAGTGACTTTCTGTAATCTTTGTCGTTGAAACCCTTCGCTTCAGGAGAGATTCTTTTTGTTGTTTATTTGGAAGGCACTGATAATGAACAAAAGGTTCCCAGACATTCCTAATGACAGGGCACCAGCTGAGTAGGCAGCAAGGAAGATGCCACTCTGCTAATGCTCATCCTCCCTCCACTTCTTCCACCAAGAGCAGGATGAAAACTCCATCACTGAATGTGTATTTTCCACTGGGCTGTGTAAATAGATTCTCAGCAATTAAATAGCTCAGCTTTTCTCCATTGAGTTGTGCTAGCTGTTGAGGAGACCTTTTTGGAATAAGGTATGAAATAAAATATTTCTTCATGGTCTTGATATGAGTAAAGACCATGTCTGTGATAATCAGTTGGCTTAGACAGATGGCATATTGCATAGGCTTTTCTCTTTTCAGACTGAATCTGTCTCTTCCTGGTCAATGACAGAAATAAGAAATAGAATTTTTTAAAACTGGATAATACTGCTGAGACTGGATCACTAAGATCTGACTGTTTACTAGCATGTATGATTTTCATCAAGGAAGCATAAATGTTGGGCATATGTAACAACTGGAGGTAAATATAAGCAATAAATGAATGAAGAATCTATTTCCCACTTCTCTTAATTCGAAACATTGCATCTCCCAGACTTAAAGGATAACTTAGGTTTCCAATAAATTCCAAGCGAGGCGTTTAGTAAATTTTTCCATAATATCTGGGTTCATCCTTGGTGGAAATATCTGTACTCCTTAGTAGAACAAAACACTGCAACAGTTACCAACAGTCTGTACAGTGCATGAGTTGTGATTTTCTAATTGATGTTAATGAAAATATATTAATTAATTAGCTTAGATGTGGAACCAGAATATTACTCAAGCTAAATGTGTCATTGAACCCAAATGAAAGATTGTGCTGATATGGAATACTTAAAATTAATTTAAAAATATATTTTATCAATATTTTTCTAAAACATGTAAAACCATGTATGATAAACATGTAAAAATTATTAATTTTATAATTATCTATCTGCATGTCTACAATATGCCCATTAAGTGAATTCCTGGTTGGCAAAATTTGGAATATATGCCTTAAGGGTTGGAGAGTTGTTATTCTGGCCTGGTGTTTATGTGATTCTATACAGGCAAATTTTCTTTCTTTGGGAACTGTTTCTTCATCTATAAAAATGAGAATAGCCAGATAGTTTTACTAGTCAAAATAGCAATACTACAACTCTCTGTCCACAGGTTCTGCATCTGCAGATCCAACAAACTGAGGATCACAAATATTTGGGAAAAATAACAATACAACAAAAAATAATACAAATTTTGTATTGTATATCAATAAGCATAATAGCTATTAACATAGCATTGGCATTGTTTTAGATGTTGTAAGTAATCTAGAGATGATTTAAAGTATATGGGAGGATGTATTAATACATATATTATATGCAAATACTATACCAATTTATGTAAGAGACTTGAGCATCCTCAGATTTTGGTATCTGCAGGAGTCCTGGAACCAGTCCACCATGGACATTGAAAGATGACTGTAGCTACTAAACTAATAGACTTTTCGAACTGCAGAGTGCCTTTGAATGCCATAGATCATATAAATCTTAAAGTTACAGGAGACTTCAGGAGTAATCTACTTTATCCTTCCTCTGCAAGCATGGATCTCCTCTGGAGTGCACCTGGTGCGTTCTCCATGTACTTTCTCTCATGGGGCAAACAGAGGTTGTAAAGTTTGCTATGACTTGACAAGAATAACAACTCCATTACTGGGCAACTTGGTACCATTTTCAACAGCTGTAACTGTTACAAGGTTTATATATTTACACTCAAATCTGATCCCCCTTCCCTTTAACCGTAACTTTTATACCTTGGTTTTGATTCTGTCCATCACAGCCAAACAGAAAAAGTCAACATTTTCTCTAATGTTAATAACTACTTAAGCTGCTAATCTTCCCCTAAGACATCACTTCCAGGGCAAGTTGCACTAATTCTTTCAACCCTTCCTCCTGTGTTTCCCATGTCCTTCTCCTTTCTGGCCTCTCCGAGCCTCTGCATTTGAGTGCTCTTCAGGACAAGCGTGGTCTACCAGTATTGATTAGAGTGATTTTTTTGTGTTGTTTCTCTGTTAAAAGCAGTGTTTACGGACGTAGGCCAACTGTGTACCAGGAAGTATGGGCTTGACATGGTTATGCATTACTTTATTTAACCCATATTACTTTGCAAATAGTTTTGATTATCTGTAGTACGCTGGGAAACTAAGACTCAAAAGTTAAGTAAATTGTTCAAGGTAATTTACCTAGGAAGTAGCAGCGCTGTGTCTCCTATCCCATTTAATTATTCCATCATACATTGACTTATATTGTGCAATTTTTCTCATACTTACTATCTTGGCCACGTTTCCTTTTTAGAATTTAAGAAATATTACATTCTTCTGAAAAACCTTTAAACTATACAGAAATATATAAGAAAAACCTTCTCCACCCCAGTAACCATGTGGTAGTGTGATACGAGAGTACCTTTTTACGTTGTTGGTCTACTGCTTACTTTCTGTACCTAAATAAAATACAGAGATACGAATGTGTACCTGTGTCTCTGAAAAGATTGAGTTAATAAATATAATGGACCTGTAGAATTGTGTCTGGTACACAGCAAGTGCTCAAATGTTGCTATTATATGTACAAACACATACATAATGTGTGTATGAAAATCAACATACACACACGGAATTCTTTCAAAACCAAAACAGGAATGGGAACAGTCTCTGTATACAATGCTTAAACTACTTTTATCACCCAAGATTTATCGTGTATATTCTTCCGATTATTATTTCAGTCAACTGTAGTTTTTCTTTTTGTTGCTACAAAGTATACTCTATCCCCTTAATTTATTTAGCTGTCCCCTTACGGATGGATGTTTAGGTTGTCTGCATGCTGTTAGAAATAGTGGTGCAGGGGACTGCTTGAGCATAGATCTTTATTCATGAGAGTTGATTGTCTGAACCTACACATATAAATGTACATTTATCACTTTAAAAATGCCTTATCTTGTTACATTTGGCCTGTTTTTATAATGTAGTCATTGGGTAGATTTTGACCCTGTCATCAGTGGATTCACTGTCTTTGGTATTGCTTCATTTTAAAAATTGTGATCAACCTACTTTCGTTAACATCTTGAAAATCATGGATTAACACAAGACAGAATTCTGTAGTTGCCACCAGAGGGCTCCTGTTATGTTGAAACTGATTTTATAGGTATAATCATTCACCCAGGTATAAATCTACTTTGGGTATTATCTTCTAACTATATTTCTCCATTGTATGTATAGAAATGTCGAGACAGACCTTGTCAGATGCCTTCATGGAATCTTGTTAAGAAAGTAGTCATTTAGTGAGTAATCTTTGCTACCCAGTCTGGAAGGATGACACTATATTCTATATTTGGAGAAACTTGAAATATAAACGACAGATGTCTATACTTTGGAAAGTGTCTGAAAAATGTCTAAAAATGCCCACTGTTTTATTGCCAAGAGAAGGAAAAGTGTCAGTGCTATTTTGATTTTGTTAGGCTAGCTGCCACGTAACTGGCTCCAGTGTTGATGCTCCATTTGGCAATTTTTTAGCACGATCAGATTGAATATAATCAGTTAAACTATATTTTCAGAATATTTGGGTTGATTTAAACCATTAAAAGTAGTTGCCTAAATGTGAAATACAGTCCAAAAATAATTTTCAGCGTCTACCATGCTGCTATTATGCAACGAACATGTCATATGAGCCGACCAAATATGTGGCTTCTTTGAGCATAGTAAATAATGAGAACATTAAGTTTCGCGCACATTTTAATTTATTCTTTAACTTTTTAAGATCAAGGACTCTGAAGTGAGAGAATACAGATCATTATTCCTTTTTTTTTTTAATCTGAAAGAATTGAAGCACAGAGAATTAAAACAGCCCAGAAAAAGAAGCGATACATCCCGATCATCAGGAGAGTCAGGGAAAGCTTCACACAAGAGGTGGCTTACCGTTCTGCTGAGGGTGACTGTGAGAAGGAGCCTCCAGGCTGGCAGGGAGCCTTGGTGGAGAGGCACAGGAGAACATGGAGGGTTGGGAAGCAGAAGGAAGGCATGCAGGAGCATGGATGGGGAGGCTGACCTGAAGGGTGCCATGAGGAGGCCGGATCCTGGAGTCTTGAATTCCAGGCCCAGGAATTTGGCCTTGAATCTGCAACATGAGAAGCTGGTTGGGAGGTGTAGAGAAAAGGGGTGACTCTAATCAGGCTCAGGCACAGAGGAGACACCGAGAGGGCTGTTGCTGCTCCTTAGTATTCTGGGGCTTGGCTGTTGAAAACCCTCCCCGGGGGTTGCTGAATGCCATGAGAAGGGCAGTCCATGTGCTGCGGCTGCTCCTGCCATGCCACTTGTAGAGGATATCATGTTTCTTCTTAGGAAGTCTCAGGGAAGCAGGGTTAATGGTCATTTCAAAAAGTAAAATGCACATCTTCTCTCCCAGTTTGTGTCCAGTTTTGGTGTTTGTGTTTCCGTTGGGCCTTTCCCACAAAGGCTTGAGTACTGTTAACAGGTAATCCCTGTCATAGTGGTGCCGTGAATTGGCCATGGGATATAGATTATGTGATGCTCGGAAGTGTGTATTGGCTTCAAAAGATTGGTACAGGTCTCTTTTAGTTTCCAAACATTCACATATGAGAATTCTAAGCTTAAGGAATTAACGTCCACTAAAATTCAAGCGGTATTGAGCATTTACTCTGTGCCAGGCAGGGATAGGGGTGGGAGAGAAGAAAAGTAAGGCCCTGTGCCCTGGGCATTAATGGTTCCCTCTTTCATTTAACATCCTTTACATATATCATGCATTTGCCCATCCACCCTCATCACATTGTTGGTTATTCTTATTTACATGTTTGTTAACATCAGTGTGAAAGCCTCTCCTCCCCCAGATAACGTTTTCCCTCCTATTTAAATCCTGCAGCCTCAGCATCCCCACCAAAGACCACTTCCTCCTCCATTCAACTCTTCCAAGGTGCAGTCAGTTTAATTCAACGGATATTTCTGGGACTATTAGGTGCAGAGTCCCATGTGAGTATCTAAGGGACAAGAACTGTTCTTTGTAACCCCAGTACTGAGCATGCTCCAGGTGTGTCTCATGAACAAGGAAGGGCTTGTGTTCCCCTGAGGAGGCAATATGGGAATACACACAAGGAATTACACAGCATTTGGGGCAGCAAGTGGCTGACAAAATGTGTGGCTCGTGTGTTCAGCTCTGTGGGAACTCAGGTTAGAGACTGAGAGTGACTGACACCAGGAGTGTGTCTCTCACTGCTCTGTCCCATCAATGTGTGCCCTGACTCAGTCACTGAATAAAGGATCACACATGCCTAGCATGCGTCATGCGAATCTTGATGTCACTGAAATATTTTTGAGGTGGGGAGAGCATTTTTGGGAGATCTGTTTGACTTTTGTGCACAGACTAGATCAGAGAAGTGTTTCACACAGGGAGCAAGATCAGTGCTCTCTCGTGTTCTCTAAGGGGCAGAAGTCCCCTTTGCCTGTAGGTTTTGGAATGCCCTATCCTCCTTACTGAGGATGCTCCAAATGGGGCTGTATCCTCTCCCTCTGGTAATGCCATGTTTTCTGCCCAAACTTTGGCTTCAAGCTTATTTCCAAAAGCCATCGGCACTGGCTGGACCTGTGGAGCACTGCCTGATGCACTGACGGTTCCTACTGAGAGCTTGGGCCACACTGGAAACATTTCTATTTGTTGATGGGGGTGAGATTTCAGCCAGGTAAGTCAATACTAGAAGTTATATGGTGGCTTAGATGAGGTTTTCTAGAAGCAAAGTGTATTAGTTAGGGTTCTCTAATGGGACAGAACTAATAGGATAGATGAATAGATGAAAGGGAGTTTATTAGGGGAATTGACTCACATCATCACAAGGTGAAGTCCCACAATAGGCCATCTGCAAGCTGAGGAGCAAGGAAGCCAGTCTGAGTCCCAAAACCTCAAAAGTAAGGAAGCCGACAGTGCAGCCTTCAGTCTGTGACCAAATGCCATAGAGCCTCTGGCAAACCACTGATGTAAGTCCAAGAGTCCATAAGCTGAAGAACTCGGAGTCTGATGTTCGAGGGCAGGAAGCATGCGGCATGGTAGAAATATGAAGACTAGAAGACTCAGCAAGTCTCCTCATTCCACTTTCTTCTGCCTGCATTATTCTAGCTGCACTGGCAGCTGATTAGATGGGCCCATCCAGATTGAGAGTGGGTCTGCCTCTCTCAATCCGCTGACTCAAATGTTAATCTCCTTTGGCGACACCCTCACAGGCACCCACCGAACAATACTTTGCATCCTTCAGTCAAGTTCACACTCAGTATTAACCATCACAGAAAGCCTGTGCAAGTGATTTACTGAAGAAGTACTGTCAGGAGAAACCAGGAAGGAGGTGAGGGAAGCAAGTGAGAGCAAGGGAAGAAGCTGGGAAAGAGTGCTCTTAGCCCAAGTCTAGCCTCAGCCTGACCCCCTGGGGAGCTCTGAGGCCACATAGCCACCCCACGTTGAGCAGGGGCTCAGCCCTCTTTCCTTGGTTCTGAGCTACAGGCCGCCCCTGGGGGCACCATCTCCCAGGCATTTCTGGACTAAGTGGGCCAAAGAAAGTTCTCTGGAGAAGGGTTTGTCTGTGAGCTATTAGTAGCCAGCACTCAGCTGCTCACAGCGGGCAGCAGGAGCTCAGCCTGGGAGGGCCATCGGCAGAGGCTCCTTCAGAGCCAAGTTGACATTGTTACTTCTTCTGCCTCCTTCCATTCACAGATGCAATTATCCTCCTAGGAAGATAGTAGCATAATATTTGTGTAGCACTTTGAACTTAAAAAGCCAAGCTTATTTTCTTATTTTATTTTATCCCTGCAACAATCCTGTAAGGCGAGCAGGGTAGTTGCTGAGTCTTTACAGTCAAGTGTTCTAGTACGCGAAGCTTAAATGACTTAAGATCAAGCAGCCGTAGTTTCTGCTGAGTATTCTGTTTGATCCTTGCAGCAGTTCGTTATTGTTACCCTGTTGGTTGATTGTTGTGATGCAGGGAGGTGGAGTGACACACTTGTGTGCTCATGGTTGGTATGTAGTGCACTTGTAATTGTGAGCCCCTGTTTGATTCCACACCCTGTTTCAGTCTCGTCATACCCTGCAGCCTCTGCAATTGGTAAGCAAAATCAAGTCCAAAACCCAAGTTTTTGACACGAACTACTCTTGGAAAGAGGCTGCTAAGCATAAATGTTGGGGGACATTACATCTAAAATGTTAGCTGTGCTAATTATTTAAAGCTAGCATAGCATAGCATATCAGGACAAGTTGTTAAAGCTTCACATCAAGAGTAGTCACTTGGGATGTTTTAGCTATTCAATTTGTATTCATCTTGGATTCTTATCTAGATTGACATGACAGCTTGAGGTGCCAAACGTATACACCGTAATTCTTTTTTTTAATAGTGAAGCATAAATGGATTATGATGTAGGACTTTGAGAATTGTTATTAGGTGAGTTTGACAATAGCACAGGGTAATAATGTCTCAGACACCTAGGATACTTGGGAGAATAGGGTATTCTGCTTCAATAATTTGTTTGTTCAGCAAACACTGAATGCTCTCTGTACCAGAAATTGTGCAGTAAGGAGGTAACAATTCATAGTCAAGTAAATATAGTTGTCATAGCCTAGGGTAAGGGTGCTATAACAGTAGCCAGACTTGATAAAAAGGAGTTTAGGCCTTTAAAATTATTTTCATAGCTAATGGTAGCACACTCCTGTTTTAGAGTAATATTTCCCAAAGCAGAGGTGTTCCTATACCTTGTTCATCAATATCACAATGTCTTACTGGGACACCTGTTGTATGTAAACTACTGTAACCCATTCTGTTACTTGCCAAATCAAGAAGCTTTGAAAGAAGTCTTAGAAAATATAGTTGTAAAGTTATTTATATAAAATCACATTTAACCTGTAACGTATTGTAAGATGAGTGTTGGTGAAACACCTTCTTTGTCTGGGGAATAACCTGTGGTTTGTTGCCTTGAGCCAGGAAAGAATTCAGAACATGGACACATGGGTGGGTTAAGGAGCAGGAAGTTTAGTAGTGGAAAGGTGAGAGGAAGAGGAGAACAGCTTCTTGCAAGAGAGAGGAGATAGAGGGAGAGCGAGACGTCTGGAAAAAAGGAGGATCAATAACAAGTTCTGAAATTGAGGCAGTAATTAATATCCTACCAACCAAAAAAAGCCCAGGACCAGATGGATTCACAGCCAAATTCTACCAGAGGTATAAAGAGGAGCTGGTACCATTCCTTCTGAAAGTATTCCGAACAATAGAAAAAGAGGGACTCCTCCTCAACTCATTCTATGAGGCCAGCATTATCCTGATACCAAAACCTGGCAGAGACACAACAAAAAAGGAAAATTTCAGGCCAGTATCCCTGATGAACATCTATGTGAAAATCCTCAGTAAAATACTGGCAAACAGAATCCAGCAGCACATCAAAATCCACCATGATCAAGTCAGCTTCATCCCTGGGATGCAAGGCTGGTTCAACATATGCAAATCAATAAACGTAATCCATCACATAAACAGAACCAATGACAAAAACCACATGATTGTCTCCGTAGATGCAGAAAAGGCCATCGATAAAATTCATCACCTCTTCATGCTAAAAACTCTCAATAAACTAGGTATTGATGGATGTATCTCAAAATAATAAGAGCTGTTTATGACAAACCCACAGCCAATATCACACTGAATGGGCCAAAGCTGGAAGCATTCCCTTTGAAAGCCAGCACAAGACAACGATGACTTCTCTCACCAGTCCTATTCAATATAGTATTGGAAGTTCTGTCCAGGGCAATCAGGCAAGATAAAGAAATAAAGCGTATTCAATTAGGAAAATAGGAAGTCACATTGCCTCTGTTTGCAGATGACATGATTGTATATTTAGAAAACCCCATGATCTCAGACCCAAACTCCTTAAGGTGATAAGCAACTTCAGCAAAGTCTTAGGATACAAAATCAATGTGCAAAAATCAGAAGCATTCCTATACACCAATAACAGACAAACAGAGAGCCAAATCATGAGTGAACACCCATTCACAATTGCTGCTAAGAGAATAAAATACCTAGGAATACAACTTACAAGGGATGTGAATGATCTCTTCAAGGAGAACTACAAACCACTGCTCAAGGAAATAAGAGCGGACACAAGCAAACGGAAAAACATTCCACGCTCATGGATAGGAAGACTCAATATCGTGAAAATGGCCATACTGCCCAAAAGATTCAGTGCTATCCCCATCAAGCTACCAGTGACTTTCTTCACAGAATTGGGAAAAAAAACTACTTTAAATTTCATATGGAACAAAAAAAGAGCCCAGATAGCCAAGACAATTCTAAGCAAAAAGAACAAAGCTAGAGGCATCACACTACCTGACTTCAAACTATACTACAAGGCTACAATAACCAAGACAGGATGGTACTGGTACCAAAACAGATACATAGACCAATGAAACAGAACAGAAGCTTCAGAAATAATACCACACATCTACAACCATCTGATCTTTGACAAACCTGACAAAAGCAATGGGGAAAGGATTTCCTACTTAATAAATGATGTTGGCCAGGCGTGGTGGCTCACGCCTGTAATCCCAACACTTTAGGAGGCCAAGGCAGGCAGATCACGAGGTCAAGAGATCAAGACCATCCTGGCCAACATGGTGAAACCCCGTCTCTACCAAATATACAAAAATTAGCTGGGCATGGTGGTGCACACCTGTAGTCCCAGCTATTCGGAAGGCTGGGGCAGGAGAATTGCTTGAACCTGGGAGGCAGAGGTTGTAGTGAGCTGAGATGCGCCACTGCACTCCAGCCTGGTGACAGAGCAAGACTCCATCTCAAAAAAAAAAAAAAATGGTGTTGGGAAAACTGGCTAGCCCTATGCAGAAAGCTGAAACTGGACCCCTTCCTTAAACCTTATACAAAAATTAACTCAAGCTGGACTAAAGACTTAAACATAAGACCTAAAACCATAAAAACCCTAGAAGAAAACCCAAGCAATACCATTCAGGGCATAGGCGTGGGCAAAGACTTCATGACTAAAACAACAAAAGCAATGGCAACAAAAGCCAAAATTGACAAATGGGATCTAAGTAAACTAAAGAGCTTCTGCACAGCAAAGAAACTATCATCAGAGTGAACAGGCAACCTACAGAATGGGAGAAAATTTTTGCAATCTTTCCCGTCTGACAAAGGGCTAATATCCAGAATCTACAAGGAACTTAAACAAATTTACAAGAAAAAAACAACCCTATCAAAAAGTGGGCGAAGGATATGAACAGACACTTCTCAAAAGAAGACATTTATGCAGCCAACAAATACGAAAAAATTTCCATTATCACTGGTCATCAGAGAAATGCAAATCAAAACCACAATGAGATACCATCTCACACCAGTTAGAGTGGCGACCATTACAAAGTCAAGAAACAACAGATGCTGGAGAGGATGTGGAGTAATGGGAACGCTTTTACACTGTTGGTGGGAGTGTAAATTAGTTCAATCATTGTGAAAGACAGTGTGGCAATTCCTCAAGGATCTAGAATCAGAAATACCATTTGACCCAGCAATCCCATTATTGGTTATATACCCAAAGGATTATAAGTCATTCTACTATAAAGACACATGCACACATTTGTTTATTGCAGCACTATTTACAATAGCAAAGACTTGGAACCAACCCAAATGCCCATCAGTGATAGACTGTATAAAGAAAATGTGGCACATATACACCATAGAATACTATGCAGCCATAGAAAAGGATGAATTCATGTCTTTTGCAGGGACATGAATGAAGCTGGAAACCATCATTCTCAGCAGACTAACACAGGAACAGAAAACCAAACACCACATATTCTCACTCATAAGTGGGAGTTGAACATTGAGAATGCATGGACACAGGGAGGGAAACATCATGCACCAGGGCCTGTCGGGGTGGGGGTCTAGGGGAGGGATGGCATTAGGAGAAATACCTAATGTAGATGACAGGTTGATGGGTGCAGCAAACCACCATAGCACATGTATGCCTATGTAACAAACCTGCATGTTGTGCACATGTATCCCAGAACCTAAAGTATAATTTTTTAAAAAGTGGGGTTGGGGGAAGGTGGTGGACCACAGCAGATTGTATAGGCAGGATGGAGGAGATAGTGTTTGATGTACGTAGGGCCCACAGATTGGTGTGATCAGGTGTGTCATTTACATAATGTGTGGGGAAGGCTGGCTGCCCCACTCTAATCTTATTATGCAAATGAATTATCCTTGGCTGGCACCATCTTGTCTGCTCCTTACTGTACATGTGGCTGGCAGAGAAGGGAAGATGGAGCCACCACCTTGAACATGGCTAGTCCCTAGTTCCTGCTGGCATTCACTCGTGCAAGCTCCCAGCTTGCTTGTCTATGCAGCTCAACTTTACAGGGTGCTCTTTGTTAGAAAATGATTTGGGGCTGCTTTTCATTAAAAAGAAAAGCCTTACTGAGGACTCCAGTACCCTTTCTTACTATCTGTCTAAGTAATTTCATCTTAACTCCTGTGTCATCGGTGCTCATGATGGAGTCAGTTTAGGTTAGGCAAGACAAAAAATACCATTTACACTCAGGAGCAGTGGCTCATGCCTGTAATCCTAGCACTATGGGAGGCTGAGGCAGGAGGATCATTTGAGCCCAAGAGTTCGAGACCAGCCTGGACAACATAGTGAGACCCATCTCTCCAAAACACAAATTAAAAAAAAATATTAGCTGGGCATGGTGGTGCACACTTGTAGTCCCAGCTACTCTGGAGGCTGAGGTGGGAGAAGGCAGAGGTGGGAGAATCTCTTGAACCTAAAAAGATTGAGGCAGCAGTGAGTTCTGATGGAACCACTGCATGCCAGCCTGGGCAAAGATCGAGACCCTGTCTCAAAAAAGAAAAAAAAAATACCATTAACTTCAAAGTAAAAATTAACTATAAATGTAAGAAGCCAGGTGTGAGTCTGAAGAAAGCATATATCCGGAAAATATTTATTGAATTCTTATTAAATAAATTTTTTTATTTTAGAATTTTTTGCAAAGATTTTATGTGGAGATGAAGTCTGCTTTTCTTATTTAAGACGTAATTAGAAAATGCAAAACTTCAGTTTTCTTGGGAAGTAACTAATATGTAGAATAAATAAAATTCTGAGTTAACCTAGTGTAGATCCTCTTAAATAACAAAGGATTTTATTTGCAGGTAGATTTCAGACAGATTTCCTCTCCTCTACCCTGCATGCTCTGATTAATGTAGGTTACACCTTTTAAAGTGGCAGCTTTTTAGAATGTATGTAGGCTTCAGCGTGTAGGCTTCCATATTCAAATTCATATTAGTGTGTGCTACTGGAAGTTGCCAGCTGTCTAACTAGCTAGGTAGGATACCCTGCCTTATCGCATATTATTTGCTTTGATAAACATTGAAGTTTATACTGTTATTTTTCTTTTCAATATGAATTTTAACGTTCATCTTTATTCTTAATGTTTGCCTGCTCATATATAAGGCTCTGTATTAATAGTATATAGTGGGCATCAAGGGCAAGTAGGATATTATTTAACCAAAATTACCTTGATAACAAATAAGTATATTTTCTACTAAGTACCTGCCAGATCAGAGAAGAGTTAAGTTAATTGTGTATGTATGTGCTAGGAAATGTTCTAGGTATTGGAGATAAAAGTGTTGAACAACATAGAAGATGATCCTACCCCCTCAGAGCTTACAGTGTAATGTGGGCTGGCAGGAAGAAGTAAGTAAGTAAAATAAACAACAACTAGTTTCTTGTAAATGCTCTGAAGAAAATAAAATAAAATTAGAGACAACTGGATTTGGGTGTTATTTAGTATTTGATGTTATTAGGAGCATAATTCGATGGTGAATTAAGTTTAAAATTGTTTAAATTATTAAAATTATTTAAGTTTAAAATTGTCATCAATTCAGGTGTACTGGACTTTCTCTTTCTATATATATATGTATCTATGTATATATTCATGTGAAACACAGAGGAACAGAAGAGATTCTAAAATGTATGCGAAAAAGAATTCCACTTCCATGCATGAAGAATTAACTGTTACAGAATTCACTGCCTCTCCCTACTGTAAACAACTGGACAAAATATATTAAATGACTGGTTGCAGACAACAGGCAGCTCAGGGCTGTGATCCCTGAGAGAAGGGAAATAAGTGAGGTGAGCCCCAGCTTACTGCCTAAGGCAGTTTTCACAGGCCCAATAACAAGGAATAAGGAACCAAACAGCCCTATGATCTGAGTTGAAGAGACAAAGATTACAGTCTGAGGAGGTGAGGCAGCTGAAATTTGTAAAGGAAACTGCCAGAGATGAGGGGGCTTCATAGAGGCATAGAGCTTTGTAGAGCTACAGAGGATACTCTCTGAGCCCTTGGTCAGGTACTGTTTTGTTTGTGTGCATGGTGAAGCGCCACAGAATGGGGAAAGAACTACTGGAAAGCAATAGGCTGAACAACTTCTGTAGCTCACAAAGGACTGGGATTAGTTATGTTCCCACCTGTAGAGTGAAAAGATCTCAAAATACCAGGGAAATCGGATAGAGTCTGCAGAAGAGTGTCACCTTAGTAATGAGGATAAATTATCCCTAGATCAAAGTGTGCTCTGGACTTGCCCAAACAAAGCTTAAAAGCAAGTCTTGGGAGATAAAACTGTTCTAAAGTTAACTGCCTACCAGAACAAGTCCAACACTCTTAACAAAATCAAGAACCGCCCCCCCACCCCCGCAAAAAAAAATTAATGGCCAGCATCCAATCAAAAATTACCAGAAACTCATGGAAGTAGTAAAATAAGACCTATACCCAGGAGGAAAATAAATCAATAGAAACAAACCTAGAAATTACAGATGGAATTAAACACAGACAAGAAGGTTAAAATAGCTGTTACAAATATATTCTCTATGACGTGGAATGTAAAGGGAAATGTGCATGTTGAGAAGAACAATGTCAGAAAAAAGGTTCAAGTGATGAAACTTCTGAAGGTGAAAAATAACATGTCTGAAATAAAAAAAAAAACACTGGATTGAGGTAGCAGTACATTAGAAACTGAAGAAGAAAAGATCAGTGAACTTGAAGGTATTGCAATAGGAAGTTCCAATATGGGGCAAGAGATGAAAAACTGAAAAAAATAAAGATAGCCATAGTAAATTGTGGGTATATATCAGGTGGTCTCAAATATGTGTAAATGGTGTCCTAGAAAGATAAGTGGAGGTAAAGGTAGCAATTTTAAAAGGCCAAAATTTTTCAAATATGATGAAAATGATAAAAGTCTAGAACCAAGAAGCTCAGTGAGCTCTAAAAAGAATATAAAGAAAACTATAGTAAGACACATGACAGTTAAATTGCCAAAAAGCAATAATAAATAGAAAATCTCAAAATCATCCAAAGAAAAAAGGCAATATGCACAGAGAAACAAAATTAAGAATGAAAAAATTAAACAGAAACACTGCAAGTCAGAAGACCATGGACCAACATCTTTAAAGTACTAAAGGGGACGGACAGAAGTAGGGAGAAACAAAGGGAGACTATCACCCTAGAATTTAGCATAAATTTCTTCAGAAGTGAAAGAGAAGTAAAGACTTTATTTCAGAAAAACAAAAGCTAAAAACAGTTATCACCAGCACACCTGCACGACAAAAAATGTTAAAGTTTTTCAGGCAGAAGGAGAAAACAACAGATGGAAATTTAGATTTATATGAAGTGCTGAGTACTAGACGTGGTAAAAATGAGGGGAAATATGAAAGACACTTCTTTCTTATTTTTGATCTCTTTAAAAGAATATTGACTTTTAAGCCAAATTAATAATAATGTATGGGGTTTATAACATGCATAGAGATAAAATGACAGCAGCATCAAGGACAAGAGAGAGGAGACCATAAGATTCTTGTATTGTTTAACCCAGGAATACAAGGTTGGTTAATCGTTCAAAAGTTAGTCAGTGTAATTCTACAGACCAAAAAGGAAATGGTATGATCGTCTCCATATGCATGCACAGAAAGTACTGGATAAGTTAAACGTTCATTATAAAATCTCTCAGGAAACTAGGAATAGATGAAACTTCCTTACTTGATAAAGGATGTTTTTGAAAAACTTAACAGGTAACCACACTTACTTGTTTTGTTTCACAACAGTATGATTATGCACATAGAAAATCCTACAGTAGAAACAAAACGAGAAGCTATTCACACTAGTAAGTACATTTAGTGGACTTGTAGGGTACAAGACCAATGTACAAAAATAAGTTCTTCTATATTAGCAATAAGTAATAGAGAATGGAAAATTTGAAGGCAAAGCATTTAAGATAGCATATGAAATACTTATGGATAAATTTAACAAAATGCATGTAATATTGCATACTATAAACTGCAAAACATTGTTGAGATAAAGAAGACCTAAATAAAATGGAGAGACGAACCATATTTCTGGATATTATTGACATACCATATTCACTTGATATTATTTAGATACCAATTTTTCAAAAATTGATATACATTCAGCACTATTCCAATAAAAATTCCAGATTGCCTGTTTTGTGACAAAAAATTTAAATGCATATTTGCTGTATGACCCAGCAATCCCCCTCTAGGTATTTACCCAGGAGAAATGTATATATCCCCAGATATATACATTTCTGGGTTATAAACCCCAGCTATATTTGTGAAAGCTAAAAACTGGAAATAGTATAAATATCCTTTAAATGTCCATAGAATGGAATAACTACTAATAGAGAAAAAGGAACAAACTACCAAGACACATAATGACATAGATAAATCTCAAAGGGTTTTGGTAAAGACACTGAGTATGTAAGACTACATATTAAGTTTACATTTGTATGAAATTCCAGAAAAGACAGCTATAGTGACAGAAACCCTATCAATGGTTCCTGGGGGAGGCAGGCAGTTTCAGGGATTGGCTGCACAGTCATGAAGGAACTGTTTGGGGTGACGGGACAGTTCTATGTCTTGACTGAAGTGGTGGTTACATGACTCTTCATTTGTCAAAACTCCTCAAATTGTACACTTAAAACTGGTGAATGTTAGTAAATGTAAACTATACCTCAATAAAGCTGATTTTTAAAGTAGGGAAACAGTTTTTCATAAAGTAAATTTGACGATTTGGTAATCCTTGTGTGAGTAAATAGTACGATGGATTCCTCAAGAAGCGAACACACTCTTTTTCTGAAGTGACAAAAGTAGAACTGTTTACTTTGCCTGGGGTCAGCCCATGTGCAGGTTATGAAGTTCTGTTAATGTGACTTCCTAATGAATGGATATGGACACATCTATGTTCAGCTTAGAATAACCGGGAGAGTAAAGAGATTTGAAGCCATGTATTTTGAAGAAAATCAGAATGAGTGAGAGATGTTTCACCAAGGGAAGGAATCACTGGAGGTGAGGTGAGGTACCGTGAGGCTGTCTCTAGATATTTGAAGGACTCTAGTATGTGGAGGGATTGAGGTATTTTTTTTTTTTTCTTAAATGTTCTGGCTGCAGGGAGATAGCTGTCTACCCACCACGAAGCTTCCCAGTTATTCAAGTTTGGTAACTTTTTAGACTGGATACTATTGACAAGGGCAGCATGCTGTAAAGGAGATTCTAAAAACTTCTGAATAATATGTGCACTTTCAGCTTGCATTAATACTTGGTAACTGTGTCCTGTGATGCCACAGATGACTCAGATTCAATGGCCACTCATTTCTATTGCTTGATCTCTCTGCCCCAGCTGACAGTTTTGCTTACGGCTTGTTTCTGTTCATTCGTTCATGAGTTCATTCTTACAAATTCGATTTGCACAGTACCATTCTTTACTGGTTCTTCTCTTCTCTTAATGTTGTTCTTTTCTAATGATGGAAACAGGATTTGATGGGTGACTGAACTACATCGCTTTCAACTACATCGCTTTTCAAGGTGATTTCCAATCCTATGGTCTCATAAATTATAAATGATTACAAAAGTCCATATAAATTCTGTCCCCCAAACTTGGAAATTCTTTTGTAAAGGAACAAAGAAAAGAGTATGCAGTGCAGTATAGACTTGCCCATCCACTTAGGAAATGTCTTACCCTAAGTCAGTTTCCTTATTTTACAAAATGGAGATAACAATATTCACCTCATGGTGGTTGTGTGGATCAGATGACTGCAGTAAAACAATACATGCAAAAACACTATGCCTTGAAAAAGCACTAACTACGCAGAATGTTCACTGATTTGGTTATTAAGGTGTATATATTTATCTTATAAATCTGTTGTGAGTTTCTTATTTGTTAGCTGGAGTTGTATCCATGTAGGAGATTTTATACATGTAGATGGCTAATCTGATTAAACTTCACACATAAATATATTGACTGAAGATTGCTGACTTTCTGTCCCCCATAAATAAGACTTGTCTGCTCTGGTTATCACATAGTTTGACTCTCGAAAAGTTGCTTTGGTGGGTGATGTCTTTAGGGTTTACCATTCAGCATAGGCTTTATCCGTAAGAGGGCAACACATTATTTGTTGAATTTATTTACATTCTATCTCTTTCCAAAAGTACTAGAAGCAGGGCAAGTGTATTTTAAACTGCAATTTACAGGCAAAATCCTAAGGCAAATCTGTCCTTTCATTTATTTGTCTTGCTTTAGCTAGACAGCAAGTATAATAACCTAACACTAACCCTGGTATTTTTAGCTGCAGTTCCAGGAGTTTTGTTCCACAGTAACACCCAAGAAATAAACATTTTACCTACTGCATGGATAGACTTTTTAATCAATAATAATAGTCATATTGACTTAATAATGAATTAGATCTGAATCCCCAGTGTATTCAATATCAAGCCATTTGACTTTTCCTGTTGATTGTTTTATTATAAGCAAAAAGATAATCAACCACAGATTTTTTTTCATATCAGAGTATTTTCCTTGAGATGTTTCTCACAACCAATTCTTTTCGCCATTAATTTCTAAAGAAATGTAAATTTTAATTTTAATAATAGCTGAGGATGGGATAATAAAAATAATTCTTTACCATAGATAGAATGTATTCTCACAATGTGAAGTAACATTTAAAATCTGTGCCACGGCTTTCCTCTTTGGCCGATTTGTAAGGTTTTAGTCACATGCCAAAGGACTCATGGTTAGTTGACGTTAGGGCTGAGCCTCAAGCTGAGTGCCTTGTTCCTGATCTAACTCTCTCCCCTGGCACAGGATGTCCTAGTGCTGTTGCTGTCACTGCATTGATTCTTGTGTTATATAATATCCCTGACTTTTGATCATATTCTCTACCAAATACAGCCAGAATGTAAAAGTTTTAATATAGAATATGCTCAAGGGAAACCATTTTTGTGTATAATAACTTTTACCCAAATTTTTTTTTAGTGACCTGTTTTATCTGGGGGTTGTTTATAAATTTTCTACACTCTGATGTTAAATGCCTTGATTCTTTTGCTCAAGGATGTGCAGTGGCGTGATCTTGGCTCACTGCAACAACCACCTCCCAGGTTCAAGCAATTCTCCTGCCTCAGCCTCCCAAGTAGCTGGGATTACGGGCGCCTGCCACCATGCCTGGCTAATTTTTTTTGTACTTTATAGTAGAGACAGGGTTTCACCATGTTGGCCAGGCTGGTGTCGAATTCCTGACCTCAGGTGATCCTCCCATCTTGGCCTCCCAAAGTGCTGGGATTACAGGCATGAGCCACCGCACCCAACCTAGTGACCCAAGATTTCTTTACCCCACATTTCTTTTAAATATTCAGCCAATTGACAAATACTGATAAATATGCAAGAATGCAGGATATAGAATTTTTATGAGCCCTTACTGAAGAAATTACCAGAAGACAAATTTCAGCCAAAAAAAAGAGGTGAATGCAAAACTATCATCTAAACATTGAATTACACTCTATCTGAAGGACTAAAACAAATGAGAAAATGATTGCCACAGAATAGAATGTAAATATTATTATTCTGACAATGTAGAAATAATAGAATTTATAAAAGGTGGGCAAGGAAGGAAAGAATGGAGAGAGGTTCTGTAAGCATGCTAATATCCTCAGATTTTATAGCTGGGAGACAAAAATTATCACTTAAAACAGGAAGATATAAATATATTTAAAGGTTTAAAAAGCAAACAGCAATAAACAGTTTAAAAATAATTGAAAGTGTACACAGAAGGATGACAGAAAATGAAAATAGTCTTATTGTTCTTATTAGAGAGTTAATGGGTGCAAACATTTTTATAGTTTTATGCACAAAAGTAGCTGTAAGAATAGAAATATGCCCCTTCTCAGTGATCATATAAAATACAGGTAAGGCAAAGAAAGCACAGATCTTAATGCAGACGATTTTTTTTAAAGACAACAGAAGCTCAGAAATTGAAAAAATTTTTTAAAATACTATTTGCAATAGCATAAAAAATGTAAAACACAGTTGATGCTCATTATTCACAGATTCCATATTTACACATTTACCTACTGACTAAAATTTACTTGTAACTCCCAAATTAATACTCAGGGTCCTTTTGCAGTTATTTGTAGATGTATGCACGGTGGCAAGAAATGTGAGTGGCCTGCCCAGGGCACACATTCCCAGGTGAGGTCCAACTAGGCGAAGCTCTGCCTTCTTGCTTCAGTTCTCATACTGTCAACAAGTGTTCTTTGCATGGTATATTTAGTGCTAAGTTTTTCTCACTTTTTCTTGGTGATTTCACTGTTTGAAATGTTCCCCCAACCATGGTGTTGAAGTGTTCCCCAGTATTCCTAGGTGCAAGAACACTGATGTACCGTACAGAGAAACTACATGTTAGATTATCATTGTTCAGTTAATGTGCTCTTGACTGCGAGTTCAGTGTTAATGAATTAACAATACAGTACACCAGAAAAAGGAGGAGGAGATTTCCCAATACATAGATGAGGCCACACTAGAAAGTGCTACAGTAATATGCACAGTGTATTAGGAAGCTGTGGGAAAGATGGTAAAGTGGCTAAATGATGGGAAAGTGGCGAAATGTATGAATTCATGAGATGAGAGCCAATTTAAAAAAGCATAGTGGACACCATTGTTCTGAAACTGAAAGCCAAAGAAATTTATGGTCACATTACCCAGGGGCAGGAAAATGGTAAACCCAGTTCTTGGTTAGTGTTTCGTTATAAAGATTATTATGTGATTATTTGTAAGAAATATATATTAAGTGAGGTATTTTTAAACAGAAACACAGAAAACAATTATTTGATCATTTGACAAAAATGTTGCAACAAGAGGCTCCTAGGAACTGAATCCTGTATTTTCCTTAGGAGCAGTGGCTCAGTATTCGGTAAATCAATATTTATGACAACTTGATAGAATATAACTGTGAATGATGAGAATTGACTGCACTTAGGGATAAATCTAAGAAAAGATGTGGAAGACCTTTATGCAGAAACTTATAAAAACATTGCTGAGAGAAATTGAGGACCTAAATATGTGGAGAGAGACACCATGTTCATGGATCAGAAAACTCAACAGTGATGTGAATTCTACCAAAATCTGTAAATTCAGTACAATACCAATCAAAATCCCAGCAGACTTTTTTAAGAGAAATTAATAAACTGATTCTAAATTTCATTTGAAAATGTGAAAAACCTAAAATTGCCAAAACTGCTTTGAAACATAAGAACAGAATTGGAGTACTCCCAGTGACTTCAAGACTTTATTTTAAAGCTACAGTAATTAAGACAGTGTGGTATTGGTGTAAAGATAGATAAATAGATCATCACAGTGGAGCCCAGAAATAGACCCATATATATATGGACATGGTTTTTGACAAAGATGCAAAGGCAATTCTGTTGAAAAAGGATAGTCTTTTAAACAGACGGTGCTGTTTCATTTATACATGCAGAAATATGAATTTGATTTATACTTTTCAGCGTGTACAAAAAGTAGTTCATCATGGATCATAAAACTAAATATAAAACTTCTAAGAGAAAACATAGAAGAAAAATCTTTGCAATTTTGAGTTAGGAAGAATTTCTTAGATATAAAACCAAAAATGTGATTTATAAAAGAACAAATTGATAAATAGACATCAAAGTTAAGAACTTACGCCTTTGGAATAAACTGTTCAGAGAATGCAAAGACAAGGTACACAGACGGGTAGAAAATACTTGCAAATCATTTGTCTGATAAAGAATTTGTATTCAGAATGTATAAACTCTCAAAACAACAGTAAGAAAATTCAATTTTTGAAAATGGGCAACAGAATTGAACAGAGACTTCCCCAGAGAAGATATATAGATGTCATATTTACATATGAAAATATTATCAGCCTCATTAATCATTAGGGAAATACAGATTAAAACCACAATGAGATATCACTACACACTCATATGTATGGCTACCATTAAAAGACTGACAATTCCAAAAGTTGGCAGGATTGGATCTAACCCAAAGTTCATCAACAGATAAGTGAATGAACAAATTGTGGTATATCATTAAAACTGAATACTCTGCAATAAAAAAGCAGTGAACTGTTGATACATGCATATGCTGAAAACAAACTATACCTTTTTATAAGCACTTGACTGTTCAAACATTTGGGTAATATTTCTAAACATAAAGCCAAAATCATAGAAATACTAAAGAAAAATGGAGAATTCTTCACTTAATCTAGGAGTGAGGAAAGCTTTTCTAACTATAAAGTAAAATCCAAAAATCATAAAGCAAATATTGATTTGTTTGACTCTAGAAACTTTTTAAAAAATCTGCATGGCAAAAAAACCCACAACACTTTAAAGTCAAAACACAAATGAGTGGGAAGATTTGCAACTCATATCACAGACAATGGAAATCTTTTTTAATATATAAAGAGTGCCTGTGTCAATAAGAGACAAGCAACCCAAAAAATATTGAGCAAAGGGTATAAGCTGTTCATAGTAAATAAAAAAAGAGATAACTCTTAAGCATTCTTAAAAGCCTTATTCATAGAAATGCTAATTAAAAGCACTATGAGATTACTCTTTTCACATATCAGAAGGTAAAGATATCTGCCATTTTATGCTTTACTCCCTATAGTGGGGAGAGTGGGGAAAACATACTCTCATATACTTCTGGTGAGAATGCAAATTGGTGTAACTTCTGTGAAAAGTAGTTTGACAATAACTATCAATATCAGAAGTGGACATACCATGTACCATTTGATTGAACAATTTTGTTTCTAGGAATTTGTCCTATAGATATATTTCCCTGTATGCAAAACGAATATCTGCATATTTGTTGCAGTACTGCTTGTAAAATAAAATTTAAATAATTTAATGCCTGCTAAAAAAGATGCATTAAATAAACCATGCTGCATCTATACATTAAAAAGAATGAGACAACACTGTAACTACATTATATAGACAATTCTATAAGTTATTGTGTTAAAGAAGCAGGGAACAGAACATTGTATGCAGTATGCTATCATTTCTGATGTGTATACTGTGCTGGTATAGGCATAGACTTTTCTCTGGAAGGATATATAAGAAACTAGTAGTAGTGGCTTTCTTAGTGATAGAAGATTGGAATTGGAAGGGAGATACCATTCACTGGTAACATTTAGTAACTTGTGTACATATTACCTTATTTAAAATATCTTTTGCTCTACAAATCAGTCAAGAACCCGAGGGACCCCATAAAATTAAGTGTTATAGAGATTATGAATGTTATAGTAATCAAAATAATTGGCTAATAGTAATTATGTGTTGTGTACTGTCCTTTGGGTACTTTGCAGACATCATCTGAGTTTTTGCAGCGAAACCCTTCAAGGTAGTTGTACTTTTCAGATTAAGAAATAGATTCAGGGTATGGCCTAAGAATACACAGCTAATAAAGAGCCTTTTAAGAAGTTCAGTTTAATGATGCTTGAGGAGTAACATCCAGATATATCCAGGCTTTGAAGAAAAACATTTGTGAATGGCATTGCGTGGCAGCAGGTACTTCCAAGGAAAGACATTCATTATTTTACTCAAAATTTTGTATATTAAGATTGTAATCTGCATGTTTCCAGCAGGCTCAACCTCTTGAAAATACCAACTGCCAAAATATATTTTGCTTTTTGAGAATAAATATTTTCATGGTTCTGTATAACTAGAATGTGGCCTTATTGATCTGGTTTTATTCCATAAAGAAAATGAGATTCTTCAGCAGATGGACAAATTTTAAATTTAGGCCAAGTCTTAAAAAAATTCAAGTAAAATGAGGGAAAAATTGGAATCTTCCCGTTTTTGTTTACATCTTTTAAATGGGGACTTTTGCTTCTATCACTATAACTAATCAATAGGATGTTGTATTTTGTTTTCTTTGGAGCTTATCCTTGTAAGTTTCAATCTTTATATTCCTCAGTTACTCAAGGGATCATTTTGACAGCTGATAAACTGGCTTACATATTAAAACAATTACATGGTAAGTCATTGGGTATCTTAGTATAAAATCGATTTATGTCAGATTCAATTTATAGCATTTGGAAGTTTGCCTGCTCATGCCAACAAACTAGGACTTGCATTTACTACTGACTCACTATAACACACAATATATTGTGGATGCCTATGTACTTTTTCTCCAGTGCTCTTTAGAAACAAGTTATGTACCTTGTTTTAACTAGTAAGTGCATTTTTGAAAGAGCAATAGGCAAATCGAATTATTCAACAAGGAATTTTGCTTTTTCAACTTAGTCATTCGCAGGATGCTTTATTTTTACTTATGATTCATTTTTGTTAGGTTTACTTGTTCAAAGTTTTGCTTCCCATGGCAAGTAGCTCATATATATGTCAATACTTAAATATTTAGAGAAGTAAATGTAGGATGTCACAGCAGGTGATTCATATGCATCCTTTAAAGCATTATCTGTTGACTAGATAGATATCTCCTTACAAAATTTACCAACTCCTCTTCTTACAGGAGACTACGGTTAGATTTTCTCTCTCTCTTAGTCTTAATATGTACAGTAAGAAATCCTATCATTATTTTAATTTTTACTATAGCACTTGGCATTTCACAAGAATGTTGCACCTTCATTTCTTCCCCTGCGGCATTTTGCTCACATCTGGAAACATAAAATGTTCAAAAGCAAATGCAATGCTGTTTTAAAGAATGGGGTTGTTCAGGGTCACTTTCTCCATCTCTTATCAGGTGAGTGTGGCCCTCCCTACCTTTCTCTAGGTAACCATGGGTGGTCCTTACTGCAGGATCAGTCCCTGAAGTGACCAGCAGTTACGATGCCTGCTGTGTGTGTGTGTTGAGATGGGTGTGATTTCAGAGCATTGCCTCACACTGTGGTATGTGACGCTTTCAGATCTGCACCCCTGCTGCATCGTCTCATGCTTTGTAGGGAGCTGCTACACGGAGTCATTGTTGGGAGGTGCCATCAGAGTCTGCATTAAAGTGTGTGCTTTCAAAACTGAGACGAAAAGGCAGAAGAACTTTGAAAGTCCTGATTGGTTTTCATTTATGGTAACTAATGTACAGTGTGTGATTGGTAATGTGAACATGTTTATATAGATATGTGACTGAGTCACAGCATTCTTATGTGGGAAAGCTACACTTTGCCCCTGTTTTCCAAAAGATGTGGGACAAATAAAGCAATAAAAAGAATTGATTGGGTTAGGTGCAATGGCTCACACCTATAGTCCCGGCACTTTAGGAGGCCAAGGCAGACAGATCGCTTGAGCCTAGGAGTTAGAAACCAGCCTGGCCAACGTGGAGAAAACCCATCTCTACAAAAAAATACAAAAAATTAGCTGGGTGTGGTGGTGTGCGCCTGTGGTCCCAGCTACTCAAGAGGCTAAGGCAGGAGAATTGCTTGAGCCTGGGAGATTGAGGCTGCAATGAGCTGTGACTGTGCCACTGTACTCCAGCCAAGGTGACAGAGTGAGACCCTGTCTCAAAAAAGAAAAAAAAAATAGATTGCACATTAGGTTGACTTAATACGTTCTAAAACACAATGAAAAAATCCATACAAACTTCAATATGAACCTTTCACTTATTTAGCAATTTGTCATAAACTGGGTAGATATAGTAGTTGAAACTCAATTCTTAGACAGCAGTGACCTTTCTGGGGACAAGGCCAGCACTTGTACAGGTGACAAAACTGAGGCCAGAGTACTTACGTAACTTGCCCAGAGTCCTACAGCCAGCCCGTGTTGGATTGGAGATTCAGCCCAATCTGTACTATTAGCGAAACAGTACACTGCTGGAATTGAAGGCTGGTTTAAAAAGACTGGAGTTCTTACCCTCAAGGAGCTTTTCATCTAATTGGAAATGGTAGGATTCCTGGGACCAGGTGTCCACAAAGCATGTGAATGTCACCTGCCCAACTCTCTGGCTGCAGCCTTTGGTGTTCATGTTTTCCCAACTATATTCAAGTCAGATCATCTTCTGAAACTGGTACCACCAACCAGATCTAGCTTCTTTGTACTTGAGCGTGACCCCAAATTAGAAACAGACTCTCCTCACATATTCTTACTTTCTCTGGTGTCTGTGCTTGCTGATAGATTGAGCGTGCCTGCCCCAGCCCTGTCCAGCACTCTTGCGTGCCATAGATTCTGTACCAGGGTTTATCGAATAGCTCAGTAAACCAATCCAGGATGGGCTCAGGAGTGGCCCAGGGCCGAGTTCAACGCTATTGCCTCTAACAAATAGGCCTATGATTTTGATTTACTAGAAAATGCTGTTGATTCTGATGAAATCCAAGTTAGCACTTTGTGACTTTCTTATCGTGGCCATGGTTCCGGCGCTTGTTTGAAATATGGTTCCTTGAAAAGGTAGAATATTTTAAAGAGTGTGTTTCATGCAACGTAAATTGTGAATTCCTTTAGCCACCTCCTCTCTTTAGAAATAGTACTCACACATATTTTAAACATAAATTGACAAAGATGGCAGAGACCTCATCTTCCCTGTAGCAAATTGAACCAGACTGATTGAGGATTTATTGCCTAATTATACTTGTCAGCCTGACATAATAGTCATTAGTTCTAGAAAAATATGTTTGTCATACCAGGATTATCTCTAATTAATACAGTCAATATCTAGCATATACTTAAAGCCAAACAGAATAGTGGGGTCCAAAAAAATGTTATGGACTGCAGGGAACTGCTCTAAATACAGGTTCATATTTGAAGGGAGAAAGTGCCATGTTTTATATACATCATTTTCTCTTCTTTAAATCCAGTGAAATCAGTGCTACTGACATTGACTCCCTTTATTGATGAATTATAAAGGTAGTAGTTGAAAGATCAGAGAGGTTATGGTTGGTGAGTAGCTGAACTCAGATTCAAACCTGGTCCAGTGTGTTGTTTTTTTCAGCATCAGAGTCCACTAGCCAAGTTGATCTCTGCAGTATCTACATGTGGTTATTCCATTTTTCTAAAGTACATGTAAAGTTTGAGCTCAGCAGAATAAAACCAGGTAGTCATATTGAGAAAGCCAGTTTGATATAAATGTTTCTTCTGCCCGATGTTTAAGCATTTGCTGGATTATCAGTGGCTACTGCAGTGAGGTGATGCAATTTTAGATGCAGTTAGTATCATGCCTCACGGGATAATTAGTACCTGCCCATATACGTTTGATACCCTCTAGTCCTCACCCTGCTCTGCCCCGACATCACAGTGTGCACAGTGCTCGAGATGGTAAAATCATTCAGCAGTTATTTCCAGGCTGCCGCACGCTCGCTGTAAACTCATTCATTTGCTCATAAATGTGCAGCTTTCTGCCATAAACATAAATATCAGAAGTTGTTTCTGAATAACAAAGGTTCAACTCATTGGCCCCACTCAGACCTACCCCCAAACAGTTTTATTATTATGTTTTCCCATACCGATTAAAATGTTTCTACAGCAATACACCTTGACATAGAAAGTTTGTATTTCATAACCAGAGCCACTGTGAGAGGTCAGTATAGTTATTTTTCCAATTTCGTTTGGCCCTTTCTGTGGTAGTCATTTTGTATAGTTGTTTATTTAGATTTTATAGTGGACTGAAATATTAAATTACCAATTAGATTTAACAGTTAAAGTGGCTGAAAATAAACTTGCCTAAAACACACATCATCATCTGCAGGGGAGCCGATACTTAGTCTGCGATGCCATATTAAATACTGCCATGTTGTGGCCATCATTCAGAAGGCTGTTGAGAACACAAGCGTACATTACGTTTCTTGGTAGAACCTAGAAGACAAAGAGGTCACTAGCTGTCCCAATAGAGCGTTCAGGACGTTTCCTAGCCCTGCTCCCATCGGGCAGGCTGTTAGAGAACCTCTGACTTCTTCACAGAGAGCAGATCGCGTGAGCCCAGGCAGAGTGAGGAGATGCATGCTCATCCCAGAGCACATCCAGCCCCAGGGACTCTTTCTTCCCAGGCATTTTGCGGGGACCTGAAAGGCAAGTGCAGTGGGCAGCCTCAGAGAAGAGCACCACGTTCAGATATGTGGTGCAGAGCTCTTCAGAGCAGCTTGGTATCTAGAAAACGTTGCTTCAGCATACAAGCCACACCAGATCTCTGGCCCTCTATTTTTGAGAGGCAGAAACAACCCTAATTATATCTACACACAAAGAAGACTATGCAGAGTGTGCTCATTTCAAAAACATTCATTTGATTTAGCCAGACTATTGTGTGGCCCAGGAACAATAACTGCAGTTCTATAATAGTCAACTTCCGGGATGTCTAGACAAGAGGGATATTAAACTCCTGAGTCATTTGGTACTAAGAAAGACTTCATAATAGAAAAATTGGTGTCCTTTGAAGAAAAAGAATTTCATTTTATTTGAAATGCAGATGCGAGCATGCACATGTATGTGCGTGCATGCATACACACACGCATGCACACCGCATTCCCTTAAATGAGGCAGACTCTAGTAAGGCATACCTCTTGGTATACAAAGGCAGACCTAGTAAGGCATACCTCTTTGGTATACATCATACATGTAGTTTGCAAAGCAGCCTCATAGTTTCTAACATACATGGTGATTTTCTTCTTCTGCCTTCCTAGTGTCCCCTCTATTCTTGCTCTAAATGTATTAAGGACTACAAAAATGTCCATGTGACACACTTGGTGGCCTTTGTCTTCTCTGGCAATACTTTGAATGATTCACAGATACTTTTTGTAGTCTATAATCATTTTAAATATTAATACAAAATTTTCTTCACATCTCAGTCTTCTAACCAGAGATTATCACAATAAAAATGCATATTTGCTTTAAACACAAACAACCTCTTAACATACATTCAGGAGCACATAACACTTCCATTAGAAACATAGACCCTGCTCTGTGTAGAGACACTGCTGCCTGCCATGGTAGACACACCTGTTCCGTTCTCTTGGGTGTAGGTAAGACGTACACACAGATAACCGTAGTGTCTTGGGTGATGAGTCACATAAGATTTTTTAAAAAGTGCTCTGGTACCAGTAGGCCTTGTAAGCTGATTGTTTCAGTTGTCTTTTGTTGTGTAGAAAACTACCACAGAATTTAGTGAGTTCACAAAAACCTTCTGTTTTATTCATTATTTTGTGGGTCAGGAATCTGGGAAGGGCACCACTGAGTAGTCAGTCTCTGGTCCACATCTGGGGCAGCTGGAGCTGGAGGATCCACTCTCACAGAGGCTTCTCCATGCACATGTCTGCATCTTGGTGCTCCCAGGCCTCCCTATCCCCATGTGGCATTTCATTCTCCAGGCCCTCTCCCTGTGGCTTTGGCTTCTTGGAGCCTAGTGGCATGTACGTAGTCAGGCTTCTTGCCCACAGCTGGGAACCCCCAGAGCGGCAAATGGAAGCTGCAAGCCTTTCCTGACCTAGTATCAGAAGTCCCATGTGTCACATCCACGGCATTCTCTTGGTCATTGAGCAAGCTACTGAAGCCAGCCCAGATGCCAGATGATACATGATGATTGCACAAAAGCATCTTCAGGACAGAAAGTTAAGGGCTGCAAAAAAGCTGATTATAAAATTCCTTTGAGGAATAAATCAGTTTTGTAGCTACTGGCTGCCCAACAGCTACTTTGTATTTGAGGAGAAAAAGTGAAATGTTACACATTGTTTTGCATTTGATTTTTGCCTTAATACAGTGAAATCAGCCCGGCTTTGACTCCCTATTGGATTAATTATGAAGGTAATAATGCTAACTGTATGTGAACAACAGTGGCAAGAGAGGGCTCAGGGGTGACATGAAGTTTTTAAGTGTGAGTGACTGTTGTGCTATTGACTGAAATAGGAAACCCAGAAGGAGAAAATGTTTGAACCAAACCATGTAATGATGCTGTACACTGCAAGTGACAAAATGCCTAACGAAAAGCAGCCTAAAACCCTGATTTTTATTCCAGAGGTCTGGGGACAGGTAGTTCCACGTTTGATTCAGCATCTCAAAGATGTCAGGGCTCTGAGCCAACTTCTGTGAGAGTCTTTTGACCTTCCTCTCACGTTGCAAGGTGGTCTACTTCAGCTCCAAACATCATGTCATATTTTAGTGACAGAGAAGGGAAGGAGTCTCTCTCAGTGTCTCTCATCCCCAGGAGCTCCACACCAGATGTCTCCTAAGTCCCACTGGCCGAAAGTGGATACATTTCCATGCGCTAGCCTCAGAGGAGAGTGGGAGAGCTAGCGTGGATGTCGTCAGGCTTTTTCGCAGGAAGCCAGCTCAGCCAGCAGGGAAAAGGACATTAGTAAGGCAACCAACAGTGTCTGCCACAGTGATAAATCCCATTTTCTCTCTCCATACAGTTGATAAAGGCTCACTTAGCAGCCTTATAGAGCTTGAATTAAATGGGCTAAATCATAACTATAATAAATTAATATTTTCTGGATATGTGTTAGTTTCTCTATTGGCTTTCACTTTGTGGTTGAGAGCTAACACTGCTTCTTAACAAATAAAAGATTTAATTATTTATTTCCCTCATACTTTAAAATTTGGATGAAAATTCTTTGGCTGCCATTAAGACATGTTACCCATTGTTTATCCTGCAATACTGCCTTCTGTTATCATTACATTTTATATAAGTGCCTTTACGTGTGTATATGGGTTTATAAGAGGAAGAAAATTCTCTAGACGTATGAACCATGTTTGTTTTAGAGTCTGGAGACTCACAAAACTCCCTGACATTAGTTTTGAGTTGTAAGTTGAAGCAGGACAGCCAGTTCTAACTGTTCTCATCCCTGAATGGCAAAGGCTGGCAGAGCTGAGCCTGTGACACAAGCAGCATAGCTGTAAGAAAATACATATCCTCAGCTGAGAAGAAAATACTTGACTCACATCTGGTCTGGGCATCTGGGATTGCAAAGTAAGGCTTAATTTCTTCAGCTGGATAAAGCTGAAATTCTTTAATCTGTTTATCTGTAATTGCCCAGTTATATTTTAACCTAATAACATTTATACTGTAATAAAGTGGTTTTTATAGACTCAAAACATTTGAGCTGAGAGTGTCACTACTGGTACCTTTGCTAGTGAGAAGTAGGGAAGGTGAGGGGAAGACCTGAAGAAAGAAACTCTAAATCTCATCTTGTATCTGTAGCAGTTCATTCGTTCATTCATTCATTCATTCATTCATTCGTTTGACATTCATTGAATGCCTGCCACACTGTTGATGCTGGGGTGGAAAAATAAATAAGACTGAACGTGTGTTCGAGGCACATGCAGTGTTATGAGAACAGAGGTGGCGACCTGCGTTCTCATCACAGCTGCCCAATAGAGAAGTGAATATAGGAAATCATTATTGTCTACACCAGCAGTCCCCAGCCATTTTGGCACCAGGGACCAGTTTTGTGAAAAACAATTTCTCCACGGACCGGGGAGGCACATGGTTTTGGGATGATTCAAGCACGTTACATTTGTTGTGTACTGTATTTCTATTATTATTTCATTGTAATATATAACTAAATAATTATATAATTCACCATAATATAGAATCAGTGGGAGCCCTGAGTTTGTTTTCCAGCAACCAGACAGTCCCATCTGGGGATGATGGGAGACAGTAACAGATCATCAGGCATTAGATTCTCATAAGGAGCGCACAGTCTAGATCCCTCACATGCGCATTCACAATAGGGTTCACGCTCCTATGAGAACCTAATGCCGCTGCTGATCTGACAGGAGGAGCTCAGGTGGCAATGATAGCAATGGGGAGCAGCTGTAAATACAGATGAAACTTCGCTTGCTCGTCTGCCACTCACCTCCTGCTGTGTGCCGTGGTTCCTAACAGGCCACAGACTGATAGCAGCCTGTGGCCCAGGGGTTGGGGACCCCTGGTGTACACAGCAAGCTGCTTGAGCTGGTTTTCTTTATGATGTTAAAGAGCTTTCTAAATTTGTGTTGATGTAGTAAGGTCACAGCATTATGTTACAGTAATTGTGTTTGAACTAAGTTATAGTGAATGCCAAGAAAAGACCCTACCTGCTCTCCTTTCTGATATTTTGGAAATAGATTCCAAAACAACTTAGGGCCTTGGAGAAACTTTTATTTCCAAAATACTGGAAATGATTGGCTCAAGTCAGTGAATCTGTCATTTACTAGAAACTCTATTTCTGAAAGTCATATTTTAAATGTTAAAAAATATTGTTGAACAATTGATACTTCTAACAAAAAGTTCAATGCCATATGTACTTGCAGACTTTTCCGTAAGACATGACCCAAGAAGGAAAGTGAAAATTGATCTCAGGTTTAAACTCTTCTTTAATTTCCCCTAACCACCTAAATCTGACTCTATTTTAGACTTTAATACATGGAAACAAGGTCATGTGAGCCCTAATTCATGTAATTGAAGGAAGTCTACACTTCCCCATTTATTGACGATGATCCTGCTGGTGGCCTTAGGCGCCCTGGTTTTTACTGCCACCAAATCCCAGTCCTGGCTTTAGTCTCATCTTTTCAGGCCAGCCCAGCCCACGTTTCTGCTTTCCATAGGTGCAGCATGTTGGACCCCAGGGCACCAGTACTCCGGGCCTTTGTAGGGTCAGGACTCTTCTCCTGGCTTAGCATTACCAGAGGGAAATCCTTGCCAGAACTGGAAGTGACTTCGAGGTGACTATCATGCTAGTTCCGAAGTTCCTCAGCCACCCATGCTGCAGGGTGTGCATTACCTGCTGCCCCGGAGCCACTCCCCACCTTCATGGGATTTGTTTCTGCCTGCAGTCTCTTTTCCCACTTTCATACCTTCCCCAAATTCCAAGGCCTCCAAATCACAGCCCTTGGCTAGTACTTTTTTAATCTAAAAGACACAGAAAAGGCATTTTCCTAACCTAAAAGCATTCCCCTTTCCTAACCCTGGCCATTTGCCTTAAGCAACGTACAAAAATGGCAGAAGTCTGATATCACAGATTTTCTTTAAATGGGCTCAACATTCAAAGCATCCTACATCAGTGTTTTCTTTCCATTTTGGGGGCTTGGGTAAGACTCCCCTTTGCTGTGGGCAGTTTCCAGGTAATGTGATGCTTTCGCTATAAATACCCTTTTTCATGTGCTACATAGTCTTATAGTTTGGGTCACAAGAATATTTTTATAATGAAACACCTTACAATAATTTGTGTCCAGTAACAACTTGCAGCCTATAAAATGGCTGTTTCTGGTGTTTTCTAAAGTGGCGAGGAAGTGTCTCTAGGACAGAAATCTCCAAACCCCAAGGTAGTGGTCTGTGGCCTGTTTGGAACTGGGCCGCACAGCAGGAGGTGAGGAGCAGGTGAACAAGGGAAGCTTCATCTGTATTTATAGCCGCTCCCCATTGCTTGCATTACGGGTTGAACTCCGCCTCCTGTCAGATCAGCGGTGGCATTAGATTGTCATAGGAGCACGAACCCTATTGTGAACTGTGTGTGTGAGGGATCTAGGTTGCGTGTTCCTTATGAGAATCTAATGCCTGATGATCTGTCAGTATCTCCATCACCCTCAGATGGGACCATCTAGTTGCAGGAAAACAAGCTCAGGGCTCCCACTGATTCAACATTATGGTGAGTTGCATAATTATTTAATTACATATTACAATGTAATAATAATAGAAATAAAGTATACAATAAATGTAATGTGCCTGAATCATCCCCAAACCATCCCCCTGATCCAGTCCATGGAAAAATTGTCTTCCACAAAACCAGTTCCTGGTACAAAAAGGTTGGTGACCACTACTCTAGAGCACCCTGTCCATGGCTGTGCTAGGCCTCAGGTGACCAGAGCGAGTCTTCATGAGACAATGACTTCCCAGTGAATTTGGGAGAAATACTTAAATGTTAAAATAGCAAATGTGTTAGGGAATAAAAAACAAAATTTATAATTTAAGGTAAGCTGTTTTAAGCATGAGCAACTCCATTTGAGGGCTGCTCCCCAGACATCTCCAGGTTCAGGTAACCCTTCCAATTCAGGCAAATGGAGTGGAAGTTTGAGAAACACCATACTTAAGCAGGTGCCATTGTACAAAAATGTATAACCTTTAAAAGTATTTCCCATTATTGCACTCGTTAACTCCTTGTTTTGCAGATCATTTGTACACTATAGACATTTTATGCAATATGTATATGCCATGAAAGTTGTGTTGGAGTTGATATATTTGTAAATTGAATGCATTTAAAATGCAATAGATACTTTATAGGAAACCCTAAAATAAATTATTTTGTAATCAACTCCTGATTGTTAGTTTTATAAGTTTGAGTTTAATAAATTATTTTTCTTAAAGTAGGTTTCTTCACTATTAAGATAAACATGTACTTTTTACAAATTGTTTTTCAGTTTTATTGAGGTATAATTAACAAATAAAAATTGTATATATTCAAGGTGTACAGCATGATGATTTGATATATATACACATTGTGAAATGATTACCACAAAAGTTAATTAACACAAAGATTACATCCAC